>NC_000011.10:133839869-134149057 GCF_000001405.40 Homo sapiens
AAGAGTTTGATTAGTAGTTGAGAATTTTCCAAAATTAATGACAGACACCAAACAACAGATCCTGGAATCTCAGAGAACACCAAGCAAGATAAATGCAAAAAATAATAATAATAATAACAATAATAACTATACCTAGTCATATCACATTCAAACTGCAGAAAATCAAAGACAAAATTTCTTGAAAGGGAAAACACCTTATCTATAGAGGAACAAGGATAGAAATTATATCCAGCTTCTCCTCGGTTACCGTACAAGCAAGATGAGAGTGGAGTAAAATATTTAAGTGTTGAAAGAAAAAAAGATTGTCAGCCTAGAATTCCGTATCTTGCAAAATTACCTTTCAAAAGAAGGACAAATAAAGACTCTCCAACCATCAAAAATTGAAGGAAATTGTCACTAGTACAGCTACCTTGCAAGAAACCTTAAAAGGAGTTCTTCAAAGAGAAGGAAAAGGATATAGGGCAGAAACTCAAATCTACATTAAAAAGGAAGAGAGCTAGAGAAGGAATAAGTGCAGATAACATAAATGTCTGAAACAAACCAGCACACTTCCCTCAAAAAGTTCTCCCTGCCCCAGCCACAGAGCACTCCTTCTTATGTTCCAGGAGCACCAATATCGCCATTGTCACATTGCTGGAACGGCTGCTGTCTGTCTCCCTCAAGGCTGTAAGTCATGTGTCCCCAGAGCCAGGCCTGTGAGGTACTCAGCATCTGATGAATGGACAAATGAATGGCACAGCACCCCAACCAGCAACAGGGCGGGTTGTTAAACAGCACATCTCTTTATTCGCAGTTCAGCAAGAAGACTCCAGTGCTGACACTGTCGCATGAAGAGCTCACCTGCTGGAGTCTTTCTGCCCAGGTCTGGCCCTTCTTCAGGTCAAGCAGAGAAGGATGTTCTTCTGATACAGGTTGCTGCTGGACCCTGAAGGACTTCCACCTGGGAGGTAGAGAAATGCCCAGGGGACACAGCAGGGAGATGTGGTTGGCCAAGGGGTAGGGCTGATGATGACTCCCTGTAACCCCACTGTTCTCCGCGTTCCCAAAGCTCCATCTAGAGAGCAGAAACCCATGGAAGAATCGTCAGTGGTGCATCAGGCAGCTGGAATTGAAGCCTGAGTCTGTTTCTTCCAGCTCAGAAGCCCCTGCGAACTGTGTACCCTCCCAGCACTTCCTGTTCTTCTCTAGTAATATGAGCAAACAATTGATGCGGCATTTACCATGTGCTAGACACCATCACCCCCAAGACAACCCTCCAAAGTAGATACTCTGTTGCATTGAGGAAATTGAGGCACAGTGGCATTATGTAACTTGCCCATGGTGGAGCTGAATTGGAACCCAGCATCTGCTCCCGGGCTTGACTTAAGTTCTGCCTTCTGTATAATGGGCACAACAACGCCCTCTCTTAAGGTTGTTTTTGGATCAAATGATAAACCCTGACAAACTACCTTGTGCAGAAGCTGGTATACAGTAAGTCCTTGATAAATGCCGGTACTGCTCTCCAACAGCCTTCCTGTAAGCATGCTGAGGTCGCTGTGCCTAAATCTCTCCCTTAGCCGCAGGATGGTCAGCACAGCTGTTCACCACAGGCTCAGGGACTGCATCCCGGATAGCTCTTGTGGTTGTTTATCCTGCCATTGGCCTTCCACCTCCCAGGGCCTCATAAACAGCCCCCGTGTGACCACCGGGCCAAGCACAAGGCAAGTGGCCATGGGACCAAAAGTCACATCACAAGTTGGTGGCAGGTCTAAAACCTACACAGCATCACTCCTGACACTACGATCTGTGACTCAAGGTGAGGTCAGCAGACCAGCAGTGACAATGCCCAGAAACTTTTAGAAATGCAAAATTGCAGGCTCCACCACAACCTCCTAAACACGAAAGCCCGGGCCCATGAATGATGGAGAGGCAGTGCTCTCTGACACCACAGAGTCAGGAAACCAATCAAATTTGACTTCAAGTCCTTCCACAAACTTAAGAGAGGCGTTGCGGGAGCCTAAGGCAGCCAGCCCTCCTCTCCCACTACTGGCCCTGAGTGCAGGCCCTTCCCCAGTAGGGAAAAGCTAAGCCTCTTTACCAAGTTCCCAGCTGCAGTGCCCCTTCCCACTGCCCAGGATAACCATCTTCTCTGCCCAGTTCCTCATCCGTCAGCTCTCTCACCTGTTGCTCTCAGCAGTCTGAGGAGGAGGGTCTCATACTGAAGTCCTGAGCTGAGACATCTGTAAGACGGGATATGCTGCAGGGGACAGAGGAGAAGGGCCAGGTGGAGGGAGGCTGCCTGATAGCAGAGCCTACCCAGACCACGGCACAGGGGCTGCGGTGGGAGGGCAGGCCGTGCCTAGGCCGTGGCCACACTGGGCCTGGGAGCACAGTCATATGAACAGGCCCACAGCCTGAAGCCCTTCTGTGCACTGGCAGACACCATGGGAGGCTGGCAAAGCCCTGTCATGTGGAGCACAGAAGACAAGACGCAGCCCTGGGAACTGTGTGTCTCTGCTCTTGATGTTGGCATACCAGAGATAGCATTGCTGGGTGTGGGCGGGAAACCCAGCAGTCACCCCCACCCTACCTGCCCCCAGTCAGGAACACAAATCAAGCAGTTCCAAACAGCTTACCTTCGTCTCACCTGCTCTATTCGATCTCGCATGATGTCCTCTGTCATCTCACTTGGCACTTGGAAGATACGAGTGTGGCTGCAAAAGGCCATTCGTACATTGGCATATGGGATCTGAGTTTCTTTCTTAACAGGCATAGAGAGCTGCTAGAGATGGGATCCTGCAAACAATGACTCTTGCCCTGACACCATGAACTTTTGAGCTGGTCTCTCCCCCTTCTTGACTCATGAGCACAAAGCTTTTTTTTACTAACCAGGTACCCTTGAGCCCCCAGTAATGCTGAACAGGTAGCAGACTGTCCCGGGGAGAGCCAGGGACACAGAGCTGAGTGCCCTTACTAAAGGCAGCAAGCAGTGGTCTCGTGAGCCGTGGAATTCACCCTTCTGAATTCAGTCTTCTGAATTCCTCTCCTATCATCAGCTCTTGATGACCTGCATCACCCCACACCCACTGTGGTTCAGAGATGCTTCTAGGAAAGCCTACAGCGAGGAAGCTGTGGGGTCCCCTGGGGAGCCTCCTTGCTTTGTTTCATAAAGGGATATATATATTTCCTGACTATATACTTACTGAAATAAGAGGGGGACACCAAAACCAGTGGGTTGTGGGGGGAGATAGGCGGAGGCTTTTGGTTTAAAATCTTTGTAGAAAATCCAGAGTGGAAAAATTATATGTAAATAATTGACTGATTCCTGTAGCCTGTCTGAAAAGCTTAAAACTAGTTTTTTTATACAGACGAGATTTTTAAAATATTGGAAGATGATGTGTGTGTTATCCAAACCAAGGAGCACAATGTCCGCAATTCCATAGCACAACCACGTCAGGCACAGAAAAGCCTGGATTATAATCAACAACATTTATGATTTTAGGGGCCTCAGAAGGCTTCCCATCCAAAAAAACTCTTTCCCAGGGAGCTCTCAGATCCCACCATGTTATTCCTTTTGGTTATGAAATTACTGTGCATTTGAGTCTTCCTAAAAGGCAGATGCCACTAGAAGGGGTAAGCACATGGAAACCGTTTCTTGAGAAATGGAGCCTCCTTGATACAACAGATCAACATCGATGATGCGGCAGGGAAAGGAGGAAGAGAGGAGGAAGGGGAGAAGTCTCCTTCAGGTTCCCGTAGGACCAGTCTAAGCCCTCAGTCCCTCTCCTGGGAAGGGGTGGCTGATGTGCTCCAGAGACCCCCAGTGAACACAGGTGCAGGAAAGGAAATAGGAAAGCCTCTGTCTGAAGCATGATGGCTTCAGGCCAGCTCCCTGGGCCTCGGGGCTCAGCATCTGCAGAGCCACGAGAGGCAGTGGGGACGGCTGTGAGCTGGCAGGCACCCGGGACGCTGGCGAAGCCACCATAACCGAGTGCAGAATTCTAGCCTCGGGCGCTGGGAAGCCTCCCCACACCTCAGTTGCAGATGAAAACTTTGGCTTTTGCATTTTAAGAGCTTATTTTCTTTTAGCTCTTTAAAGTGCAGCCACTTCTGAGCAACTCAAGTGCAAAAATAACAGAAATCTGAAATGTATTCAGAAGCATTTAAGAAATGGAGTGCAAGCCCAGTTTTCCAACCCCTCAAGTCATTTAAAAATGTAGAAATGAGCTGGGCTTTCAAGATAGCAAGGATATTCCCTTAAGACCCCAAAGCAAGGCTGAGGAATTTGTCAGCCAAAGACGACATCTCTAGAGAAGAGCATCTGAGGGTTCGTGAAGAGAGGGGCTTGCGCATCTCTCCCTCCCCTTCCTTCGCCCAGGGCAAGTGGGACACCTTACCTCCATCTTATGAACTGGATTCGTGTTCTCTCCTCTAGGACCTCTTGGCTCTGGTTTGCCAACAAATCAGACTTAGAGAGGTGGTGCTTCACCTGGGAAATCCAGAGGGTCCATGTGATTCCTGCCCAGTGTGGCCCCCAACTGGGCTGGCACAGAGCCCAGACGAGCACCTCACCCTTGCCCAGAATCATTTACGGTGCACCTCCCACCTCTCCCCTCTCCCTCACCGCTACTCCCAGGCAAGGTCTCAAACTCTCATTTACCACATCTCTGGTCACGTGGATGTCCTGGCCATGGGTGGGAGGGGAGTCAGTGGACATCTTCTCCCTTACACCCTGGGAAGGGTGGTTGATGGACAGCTTTTCCTTTATGCCCCGAGAAGCCTCTTCTTCTGTCTGAAAGGTGAGAAATTCCCTCTGAAAATGTCACTCTGCATCCAACCCTGGGTCTTCTTCTCCTCTTCCTTTCCTTTTATTCATTCTCCATCACAACTCACACACCACATATTCACACACATACACTCCTTACCTCACTGTTCCCACAATAAGCTACTTCCCTGTAAAGTCCTCAGAACTCCCTAAGTCCCTGGCCCTATCCCAAGGTGTTCCTGAGACACCCTTGAGCTGGGAAGGATGCAGCTGAAACCCTTAAGCCAGGATGCTTGAGAAGCAGGACGGCGTTAGTGGTGGTGCTAACACATTTCCTGCCAGGACACAAGCCACAGTGTCCTCCAGCACATGTGAAGAAATTAGACTCAAATCTAGGAAGGGTGTCTGGCAATGAACTTGAGTTCCAGTTCCATGAAGAAGGAAGTCCAGATCCCCACACCCACTGAGACCACTTCTCTAGCATTTTGGATATCCTGAGTCATAAAGAAATCTTACTCACTTTTTTCAACCAATGATGTAGTACAGACACAGCCTCACTTTCCACAACGTCAATGTCCTGGAACAAATTGGCAAGTTGGTGACCTCAGAAAACCTAGAAATTCAGCTCTTCCCACCCAGCCCCCGCAACTGTTACTCAAATTTATTTGTAAGATCTCTATGAAGTGCAGCAGGGTCCCACAGGGGGAGAAGATATATGAAAAATTATTCCATGTGACTACCACCAAGCTGCTTACCGAACTGGTTATTGGTAGGAAGGGAAGCCCTACACCTTTCCGAGCAAGAATATACACAATCCATGTCGTAATTATCATCTTTGAATGTATACCAGGCCCCCTTCTTGGCTCCCTCCTTCCATTGAAGCTGCCTGAGAACTCCTATGGGACAGGAAGGTCATTGAAGGGAGGTGTCCACCTGATTGGCTGACCCATGGTGATGTGACAATGGCCTCCCTTTGAAAATGATGTATGTGAGTATAAATGCCGTTGCCAAGAGCCCCTGCATTTCAGGCTCTGGGTGCACTCCTATGAGTTACCCTGCTTCAAGGAGCAGAACCATTGAATAAAAGATTGCTGTCTAACACCATTGGCTGACCCTTGAATTCTTTTCTTGGGAAAGCACTAATTTGGGAGCTCACCTCCAGGCAGGAGGATGGGGTCTGGAGCCAGGAAACCTAAGGCCGATTTACACTGACTTCCTAGAACTAAATCAAAAGGAAAACCCCAACTTTCCGTGCCCAAGTAACAAAAAGACCAGAGGCTACGCCCTTTGCAACCCTCTCCTTTTCTGCATGGCAGATGAAAAACTGAAAGTATCTCTGATTGCTCCCCTCCCACAATCAGGCTGGTTGTGGGCCAGGTCTTCATTTGCATAGAGATATAACTTTATAACTTCACTTCAGCCTCTGATTGGTCACTTTCCGCAACCAATCAGACTGATCATGAGCCACTACTTCATTTACATAGGGTATATACCAAGTAACCAATGGGAAACCCCTAGAGGGTATTTAAACCCCAGAAAATTCTGTAACCAGTCTGCTCCCATCCTGTGGAGTGTACTTTTATTTTCGTTAAATCTCTGCCTTTGTTACTTCATTCTTTCCTTCGTTTGTGTGTTTTGTCCATTTCTTTGTTTAAGACGCCAAGAACCTGAACACCCTCCACCAGTAACAACCTGTCCCGCAACAACTTGTCATGTGCTCTTGACCTAATCATTAGTCCCTCTGGTCTGAGTTTCTTTGTCTTATACTGAAAGGGATAGAGTTGTGTCCCTAGCTTTCTTCTAACTCTAATATTCCAAAAATTTTCCCACGTTTATTCTTCTCAGGATTATAGAAAACCTTTTATCACTTTCTCCAATTCCCCTGATACAGCCACTACACGTCTTCCCTCTCAACAATTCGCCTCAATTTTATATCATCCCTGACATAGTCAGAATCGGCTAGGCTCTGCTGAGGACTGAGGCAACAAACCAACCTCCAAATCAAAATGTTTATTTCTCACTCTCAAAAGCTCTCGTGCAAGTTGGGTAATTTCAGAGCAATTGTGTGCCATGTGGAGACTCACAGGTCCACATTCAGAGGACACGACCTCCATGACTGCCAAAGCAGGGAAGAGAGCACAGAGAGGAATCAGGTCAGTGTTCCACCTTTCAGCTCAGAGGCTCCTACTTAGAGCTTTTGATCTAGAACTAGTCCTATGGCCCCTACCTAATTCCAAGGAAGACTGGAAATTGTAAAATAGCAGATGAAATTACCTGTCAACATCTCTGTTTCTACAGCTATCCCCTAAAATTTATGTTTTCATCCTTATTGATGTAATTTTATTTTTGAATATTTAAAATATTAATGTGATTCAGAAATCAAAACATGAACAGATACATTCAAGGACGTTCCATCTCTTCCCCATACCTTCAACCTTGTTCTAACTCACTTCAGAAGTAAAATTTTCATTAGTTTCTCGACGACATATCCTGTGCTTATGTTGTCAAAATGAAGCTCATACATAAATCTATTTGCTTTTTGATTACAATGTTATAAAATGCATACAGTAAAATGTACAAATATGCATACAGCGGAGAAAAATTTTTACACACACACACATACACACACACACACACACACACACACACTTACTTGTTTAACCACTGCCCAGATCAAGATAGAAAACATTTTTAGTAGGACATTTGTATTATATTTGATTTGATGCTGTTTAAAATCATGCTGCTATGAAAATTTTTATACTGTACCTATCTTTTGGTTGACATAAGCACTAAATCTTCTGAGTATATACCAAGGATTAGAGTTGCTAGGTCATAGACTTTAGATATGTGTAGCATTCATATACACCAAACAGTACTGCAAAGGGGTTGTATTAATCTACTGCCCATAAGCAATGTATGAAAGTGACAGTTACTCCACGTTTTTTCCAACACTTAGTATTGTCGCTCCTTTAAATTTAGCCAATCTAGTAGAGATGTAGTGGTAACTAATAATACTTTAATTTTCATTTAACCGATTATCAGTGGCATCATGCATGTTTTTATTTGCCTATTGGTCACTTTGGATATTCTTTTTTGTGAAGTGCCTCCTCGAGCTTTGTGCCCTTTCATTGAATTGTTGGTCTTTTTCTTATTGATTTGTAGATTTTTTAATGTATTGTAAATAGTAGTCCTTTATCAATATGTGTTTTGCAATTATTTTATCTCAATTTATGACTTGCCTTTCACTCTTTGAGTACTGTCTTCTGAGGAACAGAAACTCTTAATTTTTAGTCAGTTTTATTGTGATATATTTAAATAATATAAAATTTACCCATCATAATGTATAATTAAATAATTTTTAGTAGATTCAGAGAATTGTGCAACCATCACAACTATTCAATTATAGAACATATCCATCACTCCAGAAATGTTTGTCATGCCCATTTGCAGGCAACCTCGGCTTCCATTCTCAGCCCCACCAATCTGCTTTCTATCTCTAGAGATGTGCCTTTTCTGGACATTTCATACATATGGAACTATACCGTATTATGTCTTGCTTATTTCACCAAGCATGTTTGGGAGGGTCATCTACATACCTTGTAGCATGTGTCAGTAATTCACTCCTTTTTATTATGGGGTATTACCCCATAATACTATTCCACTGCATGGACATACCACATTTTGTTTGTCCATTCACCAGTTGATGTACCTTAAATGGTGTCCAGTTTGGGTCTTCTATGAATAACACTGTAATGAACGTGTTGTTGTTGTTGTTGTTAAATTTTTTAATTTTATCTTTCCATATGTGTTGCGGTACAGGTGGTATTTGGTTACATGAGTAAGTTCTTTAGTGGTGACTTCTGAGATTTTGGTTCACCCATCACCCAAGCAGTGTACACTGCACCACATTTGTAGTCTTTTATCCCTCACCCCCTCCCACTTTTCTCCCCAAGTCCCCGAAGTCCATTGTATTATTCTTATGCCTTTGCATCCTCATAGCTTAGCTCCCACACATCAGCGAGAACATGCAATATTTGGTTTTTCATTCCTGAGTTACTTCACTTAGAATAACAGTCTCCAATCTCATCCAGTTCACTGCAAATGCTATTAATTCATTCCTTTTTATGGCTGAATATTATTCTATCATATATATATATACCACAGTTTCTTTATCCACTCATTGATTGATGGGCATTTGGGTTGCTTCCACGATTTTGCAGTTGTGAATTGTACTGCTATAAATATGCGTGTACAAGTATCTTTTTTGAATAATGACTTTTTTCCTCTGGGTAGGTACCCAGTAGTGGGATTGCTGGATCAAATGGTAGTTCCACTTTTAGTTCTTTAAAGAATCTCCACACTGTTTTCCACAGCGGCTGTGCTAGTTTACATTCCCACCAGCAGTGTAGAAGTGTTCCCTGATCACCGCATGCATGCCAACATCTATTGTTTTTTGATTTTTTGATTCTGGCCATTCTTGCAGGAGTAAGGTGGTATTGAATTGTGGTTTTGATTTGTATTTCCCTGAGCATTAGTGATGTTGAGCATTTTTTCATATGTTTATTGGCCATTTGTGTATCTTCTTCTGAGAATTGTCTATTCATGTCCTTAGCCCACTTTTTGATGGGATTGTTTGAATTTGTTGTAGATTCTTAATATTAGTCCTTTGTCAGACGTATAGATTGTGAAGATTTTCTCCCACTCTGTGGGTTGTCTGTTTATTCTGCTGACTGTTCCTTTTGCCCTGCAAAAGCACGTTAGTTTAATTAGGTCCCAGCTATTTATCTTTGTTTTTATTGCATTTGCTTTTGGGTTCTTGGTCATGAAATCCTTGCCTAAGCCAATGTCTAGAAGGGTTTTTCCAATGTTATCTTCTAGAATTTTTATAGTTTGAGTTCCTAGATTTCAGTCCCTAATCCATCTTGAGTTGATTTTTGTATAAGGTGAGAGATGAGGATCCAGTTTCATTCTCCTACATGTGGCTAGCCAATTATCCCAGCACCATTTGTTGAAAAGGGTATCTTTTCCCCACTTTATGTTTTTGTTTGCTTTGTCAGAGATCAGTTGGCTGTAAGTATTTGGATTTATTTCTGGGTTCCCTATTCTGTTCCATTGGCCTATGTGCCTATTTTTATACCAGTACCACACTGTTTTGGTGACTGTGGCATTACTGTATAGTTTGAAATCAGGTAGTGTAATGCCTCCAGATTTGTTCTTTTTGCTTAGTCTTGCTTTGGCTATGTGGGCTCCTTTTTTGTTTCCATATGAATTTTAGAATTGTTTTTTCTAACTCTTGAAGAATGATTATGGTATTTTAATGGAGATTTCATTGAATTCATAGATTGCTTTTGGCAATGTGGTCATTTTTCACAATATTGATTCTACTCATCTATGAGCATGGGATGTGTTTTCATTTGTAGGTGTCATCTATGATGTCTTTCAGCAGCGTTTTGTAGTTTTCCTTGTAGAGGTCTTTTGACTCCTTTGTTAGGTATATTCCTAAGTATTTTAATTTTTTGCAGCTATTGTAAAAGGGGTTGAGTTCTTGATTTGATTCTCCGCTTGGTCGCTTGGTGTATAAAAGACCTACTGATTTGTGTACATTAATTTTGTATCTGGGAACTTTGCTAAATTCTTTTATCAGTTTTAGAAGCTTTCTGGAAGAGTCCTTAGGGTTTTCAAGGTAAACAGTCATATAATCAGCAAACAGGGACAGTTTGACTTCCTCTTTACCGATTTGGATGCCCTTTATTTCTTTCTCTTGTCTGATTGCTCTTGCCAGGGCTTCTAGTACTATGTTGAAGAGGAATGGTGAGAGTGGGCATCCTTGTCTTGTTCCCATTCTCAGAGGGAATGCTTTCAACTTTTCCCCATTCAGTATTATGTTGGCTGTGGGTTTGTCATAGATGGCTTTTATTACATTAAGGTATGTCCCTTGTATGCCTATTTTGCTGAGGGTTTTAATCATAAAGGGATGCTGGATTTTGTCAAATGCTTTTTCTGCATCTATTAAGATGATCATATGATTTTTGTTTTTAATTCTGTTTATGTGGTGGATCACATTTATTGACTTGCTTATGTTAAACCATCCCCGCATCCCTGGTATGAAACCCTTTTGATCATGGTGGATTACCTTTTTGATATGCTGTTGGATTTTGTAGTTAGCATTTTGTTAAGGATTTTAGCATCTATGTTCATCAAGGGTATCAGTCTGTAGTTTTCTTTTTTGGTTGTGTCCTTTCCTTGTTTTGGTATTAGGGTGATGCTGGCTTCATAGAATGAATTAGGGAGGGTTCTTTCTTTCTCTGTCTTGTGGAATAGTGTCAAAACAATTGGTACCAGTTCTTCTTTGAATGTCTGGTAGAATTCTGCTGTGACTCCATCTGGTCCTGGACTCTTTTTGTTGGTAATTTTTTAATTACCGTTTCAATCTTGCTGCTTGTTATTGGTCTGTTCAGGTTATCTAATTCTTCCTGATTTAAGCTTTGAGAGTTATATTTTTCCAGGAATTTATCCATCTCTTCTAGGTTTTCTACTTTATCTGCATAAAGGTGTTCATAGTAGCCTTAAATGATCTTTTGTATTTCAGTGGTGTCAGTTGTAATATCTCCTGTTTCATTTCTTAGTGAGATTATTTGGATTTTCTCTCTTCTTGTCTTGGTTAATCTTGTTTTGTCTAAGAAAAGAAGAGAGAAAATCCAAATGGTCTATCAATTTTATTTATCTTTTCAAAGATAAATCCAAATGATCTATCAATTTTATTTATCTTTTCAAAGAACCAGCTTTTGTTTCATTTGTCTTTTGTATTTTTTTGTTTGTTTGTTTCAATTTCATTTAGTTCTGCTCTGATCTTGGTTATTTCCTTTCTTCTCCTGGGTTTGGGTTAGGTTTGTTCCTGCTTCTCTAGTTCTTTGAGGTATGACCTTAGATTGTCTGTTTGTGCACTTTCAGACTTTTTGATGTAGGCGTTTAGGGCTATGAACTTTCCTCTTAGCACTGCCTCAGCTGTATCCCAGAGGTTTTGATTGGTTGTGTCATTATTGTCATTCAGTTTGAAGACATTTTTAATTTCCATCTTGATTTTGTTTTTGACCCAATGCTCACTCAGAAGGAGGTTATTTAATTTCCGTGTATTTGCATGGTTCTGAGGGTTCCTTTTGGAGTTGATTTCCAGTTTTATTCCACTGTGGTCTGAGAGAGTGCTTGATATAATTTCAATTTTCTTAAAATTATTGAGGCTCATTTTATGATCTATCATATGGCCTGTCTTGGAGAAAGTCCCATGCACTGTTTAATAGAATGTGTATTCTGCAGTTGCTGGATAAAATATTCTGTATATATCTGTTAAGTCCATTTGTTCCAAGGTATAGTTTAAGTCCATTGTTTCTGCATTGATTTTCTGTCTTGATGACCTGTCTAGTGCTGTCAGTGGAGTATTGAAGTCCCCCACTATTATTGTGTTGCTGTCTGTCTCATTTATTAGGTCTATTAGTAATCATTTTATAAAGTTGGAAGCTCCAGTGTTAGGTGCATATATGTTTAGGACTGTGATATTTTCCTGTTGGACATGGCCTTTTACCATTACATAATGTCCCTCTTTGTCTCTCTTAACTGTTATTGCTTTAAAGTTTGTTTTGTCTGATATAAGAATAGACACCCCTGCTCGCTTTTGGTGTCCATTTGCATGAAATGCCTTTTTCCACCCCTTTACTTTATGTGAGTCTTTATGTGTTAGGTGAGTCTCCTGAAGGCAGCAGATAGTTTGGTTGGTGAGTTCTTATCCATTCTGTGGTTCTGTATCTTTTAAGTGGAGCATTTAGGCCATTTACATTCAAAGTTAGTATTGAAATGTGAGGTACTGTTGCATTCATCATGCTCTTTGTTGCCTTTGTACTTTGCTTTGTTTTTTGTATTTCGTTTTTGCTTTTTAACTTATATTTTGTTTTATAGGTCCTGTGTGATTTATGCTTTAAAGAGGTTATGATTTGATGTGTTTCCAGGATTTGTTTAAAGATTTAGAGCTTGTTTTAGCAGTTCTTGTAGCAGTGGCTTGGTAATGGAGAATTCTCTCAGCAGTTGTTTATCTAAAAATGACTGTATCTTTCCCTCAAATTTGATGTTTAGTTTTGCTGGATACAAAATTCTTGGCTGATAATCGTTTTGTTTGAGGAAGCTGAAAATAGGGCCCCAATTCCTTCTAGCTTGTAGGGTTTCTGCTGAGAAATCTGCTATTAATCTGATAGGTTTTCCTTTATAGGTTGGTGCTTCTGTCTCACAGCTCTTAGGATTCTTTTCTTCATTTTAACTTTGGATAACCTGATGACAATGTGCCTAGGCAAAGATCTTTTTGCAATGAATTTCCCAGGTGTTCTTTGTGCTTCTTTCTTTATTTATTTATTTTTGAGATGGAGTGTCACTCTGTCGCCCAGGATAGAGGGCAGTGGCATGGTCTCAGCTCACTGCAACCACCACCTCCCAGGTTCAAGCAATTCTGCCTCAGCCTCCCAAGTAGTTGGGATTACAGGTGAATGCCCCCCAAGCCCAGCTAATTTATTTATTTGTTTGTTTATTTTTTATTTATTTTATTTTTTGTATTTCTAATAGAGATGGGGTTTCACCATGTTGGCAAGGCTGATCTTGAACTCCTGACCTCATATGATCCACCTGCCTCAGCCTCCCAAAGTGCTGGGATTACAGGTGTGAGCCACCGTCCCTGGCCTCTTTGTGCTTCTTATATTTGCCTGTCTATGTCTCTAGCAAAGCTAGGGAAGTTTTCCTCGATTACTCCCCCAAATATGTTTTCTAAGCTTTTAGAATTGTCTTCTTTCTCAGGTACATTGATTATTCTTAGGTTTGGTCGTTTAACATAAACCCAGGCTTCTTGGGTTTATGTTCATATTTTCTTATTCTTTTTTCTTTGTCTTGGTTGAATTGGGTTAATTTGAAGACCTTGTCTTCCAGCTCTGAATTTCTTTCTGCTACTTGTTCAATTCTATTGCTGAGACTTTCCAGAGCATTTAGCAATTCTAAAAGTATGTCCAAGGTTTCCTGAATTTCTTATTGTTTTTTCTTTAAGCTATCTATTTCCTTGAATATTTCTCCCTTCACTTCTTGGGTTTCCTTGCATTGGGCTTCACCTTTCTCTGTTCCCTCCCTGATTAGCTTAATAACTGACCTCCTGAATTCTTTTTCAGGTAAATCAGGGGTTTCTTCTTGGTTTGGATCCATTACTGGTGAGCTAGTGTGATTTTGGGGGGATGTTGAAGAACCTTGTTTTGTCATATTACCAGGGTTGGTTTTCTGGTTCCTTCTCATTCGGGTAGGCTCTGTCAGAGGGAAGGTCTAGGGCTGAAGGCTGTTGTTCAGATTTTTTCATCCCATGGGGTGTTCCCTTGATGTAGTGCTCTCCCCCTTTTCCCGTGGATGTGGCTTCCTGTGAGCCAAACTGCAGTGATTGTTGTCTGTCTTCTGGGTCTAGCTATCCAGCAAGTCTACCTGGCTCCAGGCTGATACTGGGGGTTGTCTGCACAGAGTCCTGTAATGTGAACCATCTATGGGCCTCTCAGCTGTGGATACCAGCGCCTGTTCCAGTGGAGGTGGCAGAGGGTGCAATGGACTCCGTGAGGGTCCTTAGCTTTGGTGGTTTAATGCTCTGTTTTTGTGCTGCCTGGTCTCCTGCCAGAAGATGCTGCTTTCCAGAATGCATCAGCTGTAGTAGTGTGGAGAGGGACCAACGGTGGGCAGGGCCCTAGAACTCCCAAGATTGTATGCCCTTTGTCTTCCGCTACCAGGGTGCGTAGGGAAGGACCATCAGGTGCGGGCAGGGCTAGGCATGTCTGAGCTCAGACTCTCCTTGGGTGGGTCTTGCTGCGGCTGCTGTGGGGACGGGAGTGAGATTCCCAGGTCACTGGAGTTGTGTACTTAGGAGGATTATGGCTGCCTCTGCTGAGTCATGCAGGTTGTCTGGGAAGTGGGGGAAAGCCAGCAGTCACAGGCGTCACCCAGCTCCCACAGAATCTGAAAGACTAGTCTCATTCACACTGTGCCCTCTGCAAGAGCCCTGAGTCTTTTTCCAGTCAGAGGGCGATACGGCTTGAAAACCTGCCCGGGGCTTTCCGCCTCCCAGCTGTGAAAGAAAAGGGCTTTAGTTATTCCCCACCATGAAGTCTGCAAGCCATATTCCCGCCCTCCTCCGTGTTCTCACCAGGAGGCTTCTCACCCCATTCAAACTGTTACAAAGTTCAGCTAGAGAATTCCTTCTCCCTGTGGAGTTTTACCCCCTGCTCCTCCAGCCACTCTCCTGATGGATCCCTGTGGTGCCAGGCAGGAATGGGCTGCTTGGGGAGCCAGCAAGCTCCCAGGGCCTTCCTGCTGCTTTCTCTACCCCTGTATTTCACTCAGCTGGGCTCTCTAACTTGACTCAGCTCCAGATAAAGTCAGAAACTTCTCCCACAAACAGTCCTTCAGCTTCTCCAGTGGGGGTGTGTGTTCAGGAGAGGAGGGTCTCCCTTTCCCACTTCCACACTCGGGGCACTCACGGTATTTGGGGTGTCTCCTGGGTCCTGCAGGAGAAGTCCACTTGCTTCAGAGGGTCTGTGGGTCCTCTCAGGACTGCTTGTTTGTTCTTGCAGTCAATCTGGAGCTAAAATTCATAATGCAGGCCTCCACATGCCGCTCTGCTGGAACTGCAATCTAGTCCTCCTCCCATGCACCGTAATCTGTGATGAACATCTGAAAAAATATTATGTGGAATGGAAATATATTTTGTTTCTCTTGGGTAAATTCCTAGGACTAGATTGATAACTTTATGCTTAACATGTTTTACTTTTTCTTAACAGCTTTATTGAGACATAATTCATATTCCATAAAATTCACCCATTTAAAATATACAATTCAATAGTTTTTAGTATACTCACTGGATGGATGTACAACCATCACCTCGACCTAATTTTAGAATATTTTTGTCACTCCAAAAATGAAACCCCGTACCCATCAGTAGTCAAACCCTATTTTCCCCCAACCCTCTCTCTCAGCACTAGGCCACCACTAATCTACTTTGTCTCTACAGACTTGCTTATTCTGGACATTTCATATGAATAGAATCATGCAATATCTGGTCTTTTGTGACTGGCTTCTTTAACTGAAGATAATGTTTTTGAGGGTCATCCACATTATAGCAGATATCAGCAATTCATTCCTTGTTACTGCAGTGTAGTATTCCATTATATGAATGTGTCACATTTTGTTTATCCATTCATCAGCTGATGGACATTTGGATTATCTCTATAAACAGAGGCAATATGAATAATGCTCCTATGAACATTTGTGTACAGGTTTTTGTATGGACATATGTTTTCATTCTCTTGGGTTTACATCTAGCCGTAGAATTCCCAGGTCATATGGTAACCCTATGTTTAACATTTTGAGGTACCGTCAAAATGTTCTTTAAATGTCTGAATCATTTTACTTTCCCATCATCAATGTGTGAGGGTTTTGATCTCTCCACATTCTTGCCAGCATTATTACCTGTCATTTTGATTTTAGCCATCCTAGTGAGTGTGAAGTGGTATCTCACTGTGGTTTTGATTTGTCTCTCTCTAATGATTAATGATGCTGAGTATCTTTTCCTGTGATTATTAGCCATTTGTACCTCTTCTTTGGATAAATATATACTTAAATCCTTTTCCATTTTATAACTGGATTATTTGTCTTTTATTGTAGAGTTGTTAGAATTTTTATGTATCCCTTGTACAAGTGTCTTATCAGATATATGATTACAGATATTTTCTCCCATTCTGTGGGTTGCCTTTTCACTTTCTTAACTGTGTCATTTTAAGCACAGAAATTTTGAATTTTTATGAAGCCCAATTTATCTCTTTTTATTTTGTTTCTTGTACTTTTGGTGTCAAATCTAAGAAACCGTTGCCCAGCCTGTGACCATAAAGATTTAATCCTCTGTTTCTTCGAAGGGTTTAATAGTTGTAGCTCTTGTGTTTATGTCTATGATTCATTTTTAGTTAATTATTATAAATAGTGTGAGGTAGAGGACCCAACTTCATTCTTTTGCATGTAGATATCCAGTTGTCCCCACCCCATTTATTAAAAAGAATATTCTTTTTCCACTGAATTGTCTTGTCATCCTTGTCAAAAATCAAATTATTATAAATGTAAGAGTTTACTTCTGGACTGTCAATTAACCAATGTGTCTATCCTTATGCCAGTACCACACTGTCTTGATTATTGTAGCTTTATAGTATGCTTTAACATACTACAAAGTTTGAGTTCTCCAACTTTGTTCTTTTTCAAGATTGTTTTAGCTATTGTGGGATCCTCAAATTTCCATATGAATTTTAGAATATAAAAAAAGCCTACTGGCATTTTAATAGGGGTTTATTGATCAGTTTGGGGAGTACTGCCCTTTTGACAATATTAAGTCTTCCATCCATAAACATCTATTTCTATTTATTTAGATCCTAAATTTCTTACAACAAAGTTTTGTCATTTTCAGTGTGCAAGTCTTGCACTTCATTTGTTATTATTCTTAGGTATTTATCTTTTTAGTGCTAGGGTAAGTGGAATTTTTTTCTTAATTTCATTTTGGGTTTTTCATTGCTAGTGTATAGAGAAGTATAGTGGATTTTTGAATAATAATCTTGTATCCCACAACTTTGCTGAACTCATTTCTTGTAATAGTTTTTAGTGAATTCCTTAGAATTTTTTATGTACAAGATCAGGTCGTCTGCAAATAGTTTTCCATCTCCCTTTCCAATCTGAATGCCTTTCATTTATTTTTCTTGCCTAATTGTCCTGGCTATACATTATTCAATAGAACTGAAGGAACAAACATCTTTTTCTTGCTCCTGGCTCCTGATTTTAGGAGAAAAGTATAGTCTTTCACCATTAAGGATAGTGTTAGTTGAGAATTTTTTCATAGATGCTTTTTATCAGGTTTATAAAGTTCACTTTTTATTCCTACTTTTTGGAGTGTTTTAATAATCAAAAAGCACTGGATTTTGTCCAATGCTTCTTCTGCATTTATTGAGGTGAACCATGTGGTTGTGGCTTTTACTCTATCAATATTGTGTACTACATTAGTTTTTGATTTTCAAATGTTAAACCAACTCCAGGGATAATCCCACTTGGTAATAAAGTATGATCCTTTTTATATGTGCTGAATTCAGTTTGCTATTATTTGTTGAGAATTTTTACATCTATAAGAGATATTGGGCAATAGTTTATTTTCTTTTGATGTCCTTGTCTGGTTTTGGTAGCAGGGTTTTGTAGCATTCAATTCCTCTTGATTTTTTAAACCTCATAGAATGAGTTGGAATACTTTCTTTTTTCTTCTGTTTTTTGGAAGAGTCTGTAAAAGTATGAATAGTAGTTCCCCTTTAAATATTTGATACACATTTAACTTTTTAAGAAATGTCAAACTTTTTTCTGTAATATTTTACATTTTTATCAGCAAGATATGAAGGCTCAAGTTTCTCCAGATCCTCACAACATTTGTATTATCTCTTTTTATAATAGACATTCTAGTTGGTGTGTAAAGAGGTATATCATCTGCCTTAACTTGCATTTTTCTGATAGCTTATAATATTGATAATCTGTTTATATTACATTAGATAGCTAATAAACTATATATTAGATATCACACCAACATATATATAACATATATATGTTTTATATATATCTAAATCTTTATATATAGATTTTGATATATATGATATATATTATATTAGATAGCTAATAAACTATATATTAGATATATATTAGATATATAGATATTAGATATTATACCAACATATATATAATTTATATATATTTTATATATCTCTAAATCTTTTTATACATATAACATGTATAAAGATTTTTATATATCATTATATATAAAGATTTTGATATATATGATATATATACACACACAAAACTTATATATATGTTATATATATAAAAGTTGATATAATATCCAAATATTTATTTTTTTAAAAAATTAAGTTGTCTTCTTTTTATTGAGTATTGTGTTCTTTACATATCCTGAATGCAAGTCCCTTATCAAATTATGATTTGCAAGTACTTTCTCCCAATCTCTTGCTTGTCTTTCAATTTCCTAATGTTTTCTTTTGAAGGCAAAAAGGTTTTAATTTTAATGAATTCAAATATTTTTTCAAGTATGAAATATGTTTTTGGCATCATATCTAAGAAGTCTGCTCAATCTAAGGTCATGAAGAATATTTTGTTTTCTTCTAAAAGTTTTATCATTTTATAATAGCCTAAATGTAATTTAGGCGTATGATCTATTTGAGTTGTTTTTGTGGATATGCTGTAGGTAAAGATCTGTATATGCTTTTTCTTATAAACATATAATTATACCAGCACCATTTGTAGAAAAGACTGGTTTTTGCCCCCACTGAATTGCCTTGGCACCTTTGTTAAAAATTAAATTGACCTTAAGAGTTTATTCTTTTGTGCATTCTCAGTTTTACTTCATTGGGCTTATCCTTTCACCAGCACCACATCGTCTGATAATTATATCTTGGTAGTAAATTTGAGATCAAGTAGTATAAATCTTTTTTCCCAAAACTTTTCTGGCTATTCTAATTTCTTTGCATTTCCATGGAAATTTTAGGATAATTTTGCTAATTTCTACCAAAAAACGCCTGCTGGAATTTTGATAGGCATTGTTTTGAAGCTATAGCTCAACTCACCTAGACTGTCTAATTTGTTGATTTAAAGTTATTTGCAGCATTTCCACAGAAACTTTTTAATATCTATAGTGTTGGTGGTCACGTCCTGTCTTTCAGTCCTAATTTTAGTAATTTGTTATGTTCTCTAGGTTTCCTTGCTCATCCTGTGTAGAGGTGTGTGAAATTTTAAAAAGTCTTTTCAAAGACCCACCTTTGGTTTACATTGAAATTCCCTATTTGTTTTTCCTCTGTTATTTTTCTGTTTTCTATTTCATTGTTCCTAATTCTTGTTTGTTTTTTCTTTCTTTACTTTTGTTTGTCTTGGGCTTCTTGCTCTTCTTTTTCTAGTTCATTAGGTGGAAGTTTAGATTATTGATTTGAGATCTTCCTTTCTTTCTAATGTAGGTGTTAAATATAAATTTCCCTCTAAACATAGCTTTAGTTGTATTCTGTAAGTTGCATATTCTTGTAAACTCAATCCAAAATACCTTGATTTATTTTACCAAGGGTTATCTAGAAGTACAATATTACACGCTTATCCACAGGGAATATGTTCCAAGACCCCCATGGCTGCCTGAACCCGCAGATAGTACCAAACCCAATTCCTGTCCATCAGTACACGTCCTGTCTTCCACTTACAAACATAATGCCTTTTTCATCTTAACTAAGCACTTAGGCACTGTGGCCATAGCTTCTGCAGTTTGAGATGTGTCAGAAAAACTAGGATGAATTTATTTTTCTTTCATCACAATTTCATGGACAGAAGATTTGTTATTACCATAAATCTCAGCAACCTTAGCATATAGTTTTTTTTTCTTTCCTTATTGAGAACTTTCACCTTTTCACTTAAAGGAAGCACTTTATAGCTTCTCTTAGGTGTATCTGAATTGCCAGCATTACTACTCTTGTGCTTTGGTCCATAAATTAAAATAAGTGTTACTTGAACCCAAGTACGGTGACACTGGGACAGTCAAACTGATAACCGAGAGGGCAGCCAAGCGGGTGGGTAACAGGGGGTAAGGTAGATACCATAGAGACGCTGGACGTAGGAATGATTCATTTCCCAGGAGGGACAGAGCAGGATTTCATCACGCTACTCAAAACTTATGAATTGTCTATTTCTGGAATTTTCCATTTACTATTTCAGACTGCAGGTCTGAAATATTCTTTCATGTATGAAATATGTTTTTGGCATCACATCTAAAAACTCTGCTCAATCTAAGGTCATGAAGAATATTTTGTTTTCTTCTAAAAATTTTATCATTTTATAATAGTTCGTACATTTAGGCGTATGATCTATTTGAGTTGAGTTGTCTGTCAAACCACAGAAAGTGAAAGCAAGGATAAGGAGGGATCCCTGAATGTTGTTTAACTTACAAATATTTGAAGATTTCCCAGATTTCTCCCCACTGTTGATGTCTAGTTTAATCCTTTTGTGTTCAGAGAATATACTTTTTTATTTCATTTCTTTTCAATTTGTTGAGATTTGATAGTATAGCACATGAACTGTCTTAGAGAAGATTTCAAGTATACTCACAAGAATATATATTCTGCTCTCATTGGTTGATTCAAGTGTTCTCTTGCTGTCAGATGAAGCTGGTCAATACTGTTGTTCAAGTCTTCTATTCATTTAATGATTTTCTGTCTACTTTTTCTTTCAGTTATTGAAAGTCAAGTTTTTAGATCTCTAACTTGCTGAATGGTTTATTTTTCCTTCCAATTCAGTCAGTTATTGCTTCAAATATTTGATGGCTCTCTTGTTTCAGGCATAGACATTTACAATTGTTATATTTTCCTTTTGTCATTGTGAAATATCACTTTGTCTCTAGAAATATTTTTGTCTTAAAATATATTCTGCTATTAATATAGCCACTCCAGCTCTCTTACGGTTATTGTTTGTATGGCATATATTTTCCCCGTTTTATTTTTAAATTCTTATGTCTTTGAAGCTAAAATATGCCTCTTATAGACAGCATAGAGTAGGATCTTCTTTTTTCATCCAGTCTAACAATCTCCACCTTTTGATTATTGAGTCCATTCACATATGTTATTATTGACATGGTTAAATTTACATTTGCTGTTTTACTATGTGTTTTCTATATGTCTCATGAGTTTTTTGTTCCTCGTTCTTTATTTATTATATTCTTTTGTATCAAACAGGTACTTTTAGTGTAATATTTAATTCCTCTTGATTTTTTAAACTGTATATTTGTACTTTTGGTAGTGTCAGGCTAAGGGATTACAATATACATCTTAATTAATTACAGACTACATCAAAGTAATTACAGTCTACATCAAAATAACTTAATTCTGGTAAATTATGGAAACCCTGTTCCAGTACACCTTCATCCCCTCAGCTTCCTTTGTACAATTATCATATGTATTAAAGCTATATTATGTTGTAAATCCAATAATACAATGTTATAATAACTGCTTTATGTAATCTTAGAAAAGAAGTTAAGAGAAGTGAATATATATTTATATAGACTTCTTTTTATTATTTTTAACTCTGGTAAAATAAAGTAACATACAATTCCCCATATTAACCATCTCTGAATGTACAGCTCAGCCTTATGAAGGACATTCACATTGGTGTGCAACAACTGCCATCATCCGTTTCCAGGACTTTTTTCATTTCACAAAACTAAAATTCTACCATTAAACAATAACTCCCCATTCTCCCTACCCTCGGCCCCTAGCAACCACAATTTTACATTCTTTCACTATGAGGTTAACTATTCTAGGTAGCCTACGTAAGTAGAATCATGCAGTATTTTTTTGTGGCTGACTTATTTTACTTAGCATAATGTCTTCAAAGTTCATCCATGTGGTAGCATATTTTAGAATTTCCTTTCACTTTTAGGGCTGAATTATATTCCACTGTGTACACCACATGTTTAAAATCCATGTATCCATTGATGAACATGTGGGTCGCTTTCACCTTCTGGCTTTGCAGATAATGCTGCTGTGAACATAGTTGTACGTGTAGCTCCTCAAGATCCTGCTTCCAGTTCTTTCGGGTACAAAACCAGATGTGGAATTTCTGATTCACTTGATAATTTCATTTTTAAAAAAAAATTGTTCAGCGACAGGGTCTCACTCAGTTGCCCAGGCTAGAATGCAGTGGCATGATCATAGCTCACTGCAGCCTCAACCTCCTGGGATCAAGTGATCCTCCCACCTCAGCCTCCTGAGTAGCTGGGACCACAGGCATGCACCACCATGCCCAGCTGGGTTTTTTTATTATTATTATTTTGTAGAGACAGGATCTTGCTATGTCTCCCAAGCTGGTCTTGAACTCCTGGCCTCAAGTGACCCTCCTGCCTTGGCCTCCCAAAGTGCTTGGATTACAGGCATGAGCCACTGCATCCAGACTCCTTTTTCACTGTTTGAGGAACCACCGTACTGTTTTCCACAGCAGCTGCACCATTGTACATTTCTACTAACAGTGTGCAAGGGTTCCAGTTTCTCCACATTCTCACTAACATTTATTGTTTTCTGTTGTTCTGAATATGTATATAGTAGCCATTCTAATGGGTATAAGGTAGTATTTCATTGTGGTTTTGATATGCTTTTCACTAATGACTAGTGATGTTGTGCTTCTTTCCATGTGCTTATTATCCATTTGTGTATCTCCTTGAAAGAACCATCTATTAAGTTCTTTGTACATTTTTTAACCAAGTCATTTGGGTTTGTTGTTGTTGCTGGGTTGTAAGAGTTTTCTGTATATTCTGGGCACGAACCTCTAATCAGATATATGATTTGTAAATCTCTTCTCCCATCCCGTGGATCCCTTTTTCCACCTACTGACAGTGTTCTTCGATGCACAGAAGTTTTGAATTTTGATGTAATCCAATTTATCTGTTTTTTCTTGTAGCCTGTGCTTTTGGGGTTTTACCCTCCCCCCCACACACCAAAAAACATCATTGACAATTTCAATGCCATGCACCTCTCCCCTGTGCTTTCTTCTAAGAGTTTTATAGTTTTAGTGCCTACAGTTAGGTCTTTGAGCCATTTTGAGTTAATTTTTGTATATGGTTTAAGTTAAGGGTCAACTTTATTTCTTTGCGTATAAATATCCAGTTTTTCCAACACCATTTTTTTAAAAGGTTGTTTTTCCCCCATTGAATACTCTTGGAACCACTGTCAAAATTTATTTGACCACATATTTGAGGGATTATTTCTGGGCTGTCTATGCTTTTCCATTGGCTTATATGTCTGTCTTTTTTTTTTTTTCTTACAAACAGGTTTTATTGCTTTTGGTCCACAGTCCTTATTTCTCATTATCTAATGGTGCAGGGACCCTGGGTGGGGGTTCCCGTGTAGTATTTGGTGGAGTGTGTGGGGGGCACGGAGACAGAGCAGTATAGCTGGTCAGGCCTGGAAGGGGAAAAGAACGGCTGAGGCCCCTTAAAACCTACTGAGGAGCCATGTGCGGTGGCTCACGCCTGTCATCCCAGTACTTTGGGAGGCCGAAGCAGGCAGATCACCTGAGGTCAGGAGTTCGAGACCAGCCTGGCCAACATGGTGAAACCCCATCTCTACTAAAAATACAAAAATTAGCCAGACGCGGTGGAGCACCTGCAGTCCCAGCTACTCTACTCAGGAGACTGAAGTAGAAGAATCCCTTGAGCCCAGGAGATAGAGGTGCAGTGAGCCGAGATCACCTGACTGCACTCCAGCCTGGGCAACGACAGTAACAAAAACCTACTGAGGCCACAGTGGCGGGGGAGGGGCGGGGGCGGGGAGATTAGCATGGATGGGGGTCAGGCTTGGCCCCAACAACTCAGAATTCCACTTCCTTGTACGGGCCTCAGTTTCCCCACCAGGCCCTGAGACGGGTCTGAGGGTCTAAGATCTGTGGGTCTGAGGGTCCTAGGGAAATCCAGCCACTCAGGAGCCTGAGCTATTTAGCATGGTGGCCGGGCCCCCTCTCCCAAGGGACTCATTTTCCAGCACCTCTCCACTGTCCCCCACCCCCTATTCCTCTGGAAAAATACATATATATATATATATATTGTTGTTGTTGTTGTTTTGTAAATACTTCCTGAAACGTTTGCGGGTACAGAAACCACAAACTGATCGGCTGACAAAAGGGGAAAGAGGCGAGGCAACTGGAAACCTTCCGGGACCGGTTCCCTCCATGCCCAGGTCTCTTCTCCCCAGCACAGTTCTGCCCACAGCCTGAAGGTGCCAGCAGGGACCCTCACCCTACACGCTTTGGGATAGGGCCTTGACCTCTTCCCCCGCAGCCCGGTGGCTCAGACCTGCGAAGGAACCAAGGCAAGAGGGAGAAAAGCCCTGCCGCCTGATCCCACGCCGCCACTCACAGACCCTTCGTTGACCGGCAGCATTGAACAGGAAAAAAAAAAAAAGATGAAAACACAGAAAACCCCAAAAACCCAGACGGGGAGACGATGTGGGGAAGAGAACGTGCTGGGAGCCTCAGTAGCCAGTCTCCTCCTCGTAGTAAGCGGAATATTCAGGGGCCTCTCCAGGGCCAGGACGGTCGCCTGCACCCGAGGGAGCCCCATCGGCCACTGGGCCTTGCGGGCAGTACTTGGGGTCGTATATCTGCCGGCCCAGGCCAAAGACCTGGCCGCTCTGGTTGGCGCCCTGCGCGTAGCCCATCTGCAGGGACATGAAAGAGTTGTTACACTTGTCGGTTCCCAGCTTGGTGTCATAGATGTACCGCCGGGTCCCGGGAGCCGTCGTGCCCACCTGGCTGGCACACTTGTTTGCACCCATCTGGAGGCTGATGGTCGAGCGGTCCATGGGGGGCAATACGTGGTTCTTGGGGTCATAGAGATGCCTCCTCGTGCTGTACGCGGTCATGCGGGACTGGCTGGTGCATTTGTGGGTGCCCATCTGCAGCCCGATGACGCACTGGCGGGCATTCATGGTGGCGTCCTCAAAGTCCCACTCCTGCTTCTCCGAGTGCGTGTCACCGATGTCCGCCCCTCTCTGCGGCCCCTTAGTCTTGGCCTTCCCTGCCAGGGCGAGAAGAGACACCTGCACCTGCATCGTGTTCCCACTCTCAGACAGGTCGTTGGCCTCAAACAGGTCCACGGGGTTCATGCCGTAGGTTTTCTAGCTGGTGCCAGTTCTGCACGGAGCGGTTGATCTTGGGGTCTGAGCCCGGCTGCAGCTTGTTCATGAGTGTGCGTAAGATAATCCAATCCTTCAGGCCCTAATGGAAGTCGGGACGATGGAGAGGCCAGTGAGTCCCTCCATCCAGCTGTGGAGCTCTGCCTCCTTCTGGAGGTCATATTTGGACAGGAGCCGGTTCTTAACCTCAGCCAAGAGTCCACAGAGGGGCCTTTGTTTAACTGCATGGAGCTCATGGCTGACAGGCGCGGCGGCAGGACGGGACGGGACCGGACGGGCTGTGTACCTGTCTTTATACCAGTACCATACTGTTCTGATTACTCTAGCTTGTAAGATGTTTGAAACCCACAAGTGTGAGACCTCCATCTTTAATTCTTCATTTTCAAGATTGTTTTGGCTATTTCGGGTCTCTTGAGATTCCATATACATTTCAGGATGGATTTTTCTATTTCAGCCAAAAAAAAAAAAAATGGAATTTTGATAGAAATACACTGAAACTGTAGGTCACTGAGGAAAGTATTAATATCTTAATGATATTAAGTATTCTAATCCATGAACACATTTACATGTGTCCTCTTTAGTTTCTTTCACAACATCTTGTAGTTTTCAGTATACAAGGTGTATTAGGCCACTCTTGCATTGCTATAAAGGAATACTTGAGATTGGGTAATTTATAAACAAAAGAGATTTAATTGGTTCATGGTTCTGTAGGCTGTACAAGCATGGCTCTGGCAACTGCCCGGCTTCTGGGGAGGCCTCATGAGCTTCTACTCATGGTAAAAGGCCAAGCGGGAGCAAGCATGTCACATGGCGAGAGCAGGAGCAAGAGAGTGCGGGAGGGTGCCATGCAGTTCTTAAACAACCAGATCTCACAAACGATCATCTGCTATCACGAGAACAGCACCAAGAGGATGGTGCTAAACCATTCATGAGAAATGCACCCGCATGATCCAATCACCTCCCACCAGGCCCCACCTCCAGCACTGGGCATTACATTTCAACATGAGATTTGGCAGGGACGACTATCCAAACTGTATCACAAGGCCTTTGCCTCTTTGGGTATGTTTATTCTTAAGTATTTTTGGTGCTATTTTAGGTGGAATTATATTATTAATTTCCTTTTCTGATTATTCATTTTTAGGATATAGAAGGCAACTGATTTTACATGTTGTTTTTGTGTCCTACAACTTTGCTGAATTTGTTTACTAATTCTAACGGGTACTTTTTGTATGTGAAACCATTAGGTTTTCTACATGTGAGATCATGCCATCTGTAATCACAGATGATTTTACTTCTTTTCCAATTTGAATGCCCTTTTTCCTTGCCTACTTGCAATGGCTAGAACTTCCAGTATTACACTGGGTCTTAGTGGGAGCGGGGGTTGGTTTGTTCTGTTGTCGTTGTTGTTGTTGTTGTTGTTGTTGTTGTTTGAGACAGATTCTTGCTCTGTTGCCCAGGCTGGAGGGCAGTGGTGTGATCTCAGCTCACTGCAGCCTCCACCTCCTGAGTTCAAACCATTCTCCTGCCTCAGCCTCCTGAGTAGCTGGGATTACAGCAGTCTGCCACCACACCCAGATACTTTTTGTATATTTTGTAGAGATGGGGTTTCGCCATGTTGGCCAGGCTGGTCTAGAACTCCTGACCTCAAGTTATCTGCCTGCAGCAGCCTCCCAAAGTGCTGGGATGACAGGCATAAGCCACCGCACCAGGCCTCTAGTTTTGTATTGAATGGAAGTGACAAAAGCAAGACATCCTTGTCTTGTTCCTAACCTTAGAGGAAAAGCTTTCAGTCTTTCACCATAGAGCATGATGCTTGCTATAAGCTTTTATATATGGTCTTTATTATGTTGAGGTAGTTTTCTTCTATTACTAGTTTACTGAGTTTTTTTAATCATCAGAAGTGTTTAATTTTGTCAGATGTTTTTTCCACATCAATTGAGATGATCACGTGTTTTTATTTCCTTTATTCTACTAATGTCATGTACTACATTGATTGATTTGTGTATGTTGAAACATCTTTGCATTCTAGGAATAAATTCTACATGGTCATGGTGTATAATCTTTTTAGTATGCTGTTGAATTTGGTTTGCTATATTTTGTTGAGGATTTTTGTATCAATATTTATCAGGGACACTGGTCTCTAGATTTCTTTTCTTGTGATGTATTTGGCTGGCTTCAGTATGTTATTTTAGGGCAATGCTCATCTAAAAGAATGAGTTTGGAAGTATTCCCTCCTCTTCAACTTTTTGGAAGAGATTGAGGAGGATTGGTGTTAATTTTTTAAATGTGTGGTAGAATTCACCAGTGAAGCCATCTGGTCCTGAGATTTCCTTTGTTGGGAAGTTTTTTATTATTGACTCATTCTATTTAGTAGTTATAAGTCTGGTCAGATTTTCTATTTCTTCATGATTCAGTCTTTGTAGGTTGTATATTTCTAGGGTCCATTTCATCTAGATTATCCAATTTGTTGATATACAATTGTTCATACTATTCTCTTATAATCCTCTTTATTTTTATAAAATTGGTTATAATGTCCTCTCTTTTATTTCCAATTTTAGTTGTGTCCCCTTTCTATTTTTTCATAGTCATTCTAGCTAAAGGTTTGTCAATTTTGTCAGTCTTTTCTAAGAACTTATTATTGGTTTTGTTGATTATTATTTTCCTATTCTCTATTTTGTTTATCTCTGCCCTAATCTTTATTTATTATTTCCTTTCTTCTGCTAGCTTTATGTTTAGTTTGTTCTTCTTTTTCCAGTTCCTTAAAGTATAAATTTAGTTTGTTGATTTGGGATCTTTGTTCTTTTTAATGTAGCATTTCTAGCCATAAATTTTCCACTTAGCACTGTTTTCACTGCATCTCATAAGTTTGGGGATATGGTGTTTTCATTTTTATATGTCTCAATTATTTTCTAATTTTCCATGTGATTTCTTGTTAGCCTATTGGTGTTCAAGAATGCATTATTTAATTTCCACATATTTGTGGATTTTCCAGTTTTCCTTCTGCTATTGATTTCTTGTTTTATTTCATTGTGATCGGAGAAGATATTTTGTATGATTTCAATCTTTCTAAATGTATTAAGATTTGCTTTGTGGCCTAACATATGGTCTACCCTGGAGAGTGCTCCATGTGCACTTGGGAAAAATGTGCTTCAGCTGTTGTTCAATGGAATGTTCTTCATATGTCGAGTAGGTCCAACTGGTGTGCAGTGTTGTTCAGGACCTCTATTTCCTTATTAATCTCCTGTCAGTGTTTATGTAGATTTTTCTATTTGCTCACATATTTACTTTACCAGTACTCTTCATTTCTCTATGTGGATTTGAGTTACTATAAAGTTTCATTCCCTTCAGTCTAAAGAAATCTCTTTAATATTTTTTGTAACACAAGCATGATAGCAATACATTTTTTTCAATTGTTATTAATTTAGCAATATCTTTATGTCAACTTTTGTTTAAAGAATAGGTTTGCTGAATATAAAATTCTTGATTGACTGTTGTTGTTTTTATTGCTTTAATGGCATCAGTGTCACTTCACCACTTTCTGGCCTTCATTGTTTCTGATGGAAAGTTATTAATTGTATTATTGTTCCCTGTATGTGATAAGTCATTTTTCTCTTGTTCTTTGTGATCATTAATCTTGGCTATGCTATGGTTGCCAGTTGTTTGGTCAACTGCTAGTCTAGATGTCACTGTGAAGGTATTCTTGGATGTAATTCACATTTCCGATCAACTGACTTTAGGAAGATTACCCTCCATAATGTGGGTGGGCTTTATCCAATCAGTTAATGGTTTAACAAGAAAAAACTAAGGTTCTCCAAAGAATAATGAATTCTGTCTCAAGAATGCAACATAGAAGTTCTGCCTAGGTTTCCAACTTGATGTCCTGCTCTGCAGATTTGGACTTGCCAACCCTCATAATCACATGATCTAATTCCCTAAAATAAATATTTTACTCTCTGTATACACATGGGTAAGTTTAAGGTTGAACTTAAGTTCTGTCTTGGACAACCAGGCTCAGTAGGCTTTTCACCTCTATTGGGATAGATAGATAAGTTAATATAGATATAGGTGTAGATAAAGATGCCAACATAGATATAGATGATATAGATCACCTATTGTTTCTATTTCTCCAGAAAAGCCTCCATAATACAGATGTTTGGTGCTAAGATTGGTTCTTGAAGAACAGAATCTTAAGGGTGAGTTATCAGAGTTGGTTCTGAGGTTTCTGGAATCCGTCTTCCAGTAGTAAAAAGAGCATTGATAGTTCATGTCATGAGGTGGCAATAGAGACAGGCACAATATAAGCATTGGCTCCTCCTAACCAAACATGTATAAGCGGCAAGGTTCTGGTAACCTTGTGCAGTCATGCACTGCCTAACATTTCAGTCAGTGATGGACTGCACATACAATGATGTTCCCATAAAGTTTTTTTCTTTTCTTTTTGAGACAGGGTCTTTCTCTGTCACCCAGGCTAAAGTGCAGTGACACAATTACAGCTCACTGCAGCTTTGACCTTCTGGGCTCAAGCAATCCTCCCACCTCAGCCTGCTGGGTTGCTGAGACCACAGGCACATGCCACATGCCTGGCTAATTTTTGTTGTTGTTGGTGTTGTTGTTGAGGCAAGGTCTTGTATATTGCCCAGGCTTGTCTCAAACTCCTGGGTTTAAGTAATCCTCCTGCCTTGGCCTCCCAAAGTTCTGGGATTATAGGTGTGAACCACTGTGCTTGGCTCCCATAAGATCAAAACACTGTATCTTTACTGTACTTTGTCTATCAGACATGTTGAGATACACAAATACTTACCATTGTGTTACAGTTGCCCACAGTATTCAGTAGTCACGTGTTGTACAAGTTTGTGGCCTAGGAGCAATAAGCTGTACCATATAGCCTAGGTGTGTAATAGGCTATGCCATCTAGGTGTGTGTAAGCATGTTCTGATAATCACACAATGAAACCATCTAATGACACATTTCTCAGGACATATCCCCATCTTTAAGCAACACATGACTGTATTTGATACAATAGAACATTTTTGTCAAACTAAGGAGTATAATGACTTTGACCAGTATCTCCTAATCACACTGGACAATGTGGGGAGGAAGAAAAGATGTGCTCAAGGACTCAGATTTCCAGCTTAAGCACTGCATAAATGACCTGAAAGTTTCTATATCTGTCCTGAAAGAATCTCATATCTCCTCTAGCCACAGAGCTGAGATTGCTGAAAACCAAGCCCAGAGTCTCATCCTATGAATAGCTGAACTACAACACAAGTTGAATTCCCAACTCTGTTCATCTGATTGAGCTGCTATAACAAAATACTTTCGATTGGGAAATTTATAAGCAATAGACATGTATTTCTCACAGTTCTGGAGGCTGGCAAGTCCAAGATCAAGACACTTGTAGATTCGGTATCTAGTGAGGACTCACTCTCTGCACCACAGACCGTGCCTTGTTGCTGCATCCTCACACAATGGAAGGGCAAGTCAGCCCACTTCAACCTCTTTTATAAGGACATGCATTCCATTCATGAGGGCAGAACCCTCCTGACTTAATCGCTACCCAAAGGCCCCACCTCTTATACTATCATACTGGGGATTAAGTTCCAACATATGAATTTGGGGAAAGGAGACATCAGCATTTAGACCACAGCACCAACCTAGCAAGATGTCTGCTGTTAAAGTGAAGGCCTTGATTGGGAAGTAGTGGGATCTGAAAATTGGAATAAGACATATGGAAAGATCCTCATGAAGGTGGGAATGTTGAAACTCAAATTCTTCTGAGTCTTTCTTGCCAGTAGAAGTTCTTTCATCCTCATTGGAGGAGATTAACCCTGCTCTGCCTGAGGAACCTGTAATGGGCCTTCTGAGTCATCTACTGCCAAGTCTCCTTGGAACCCATCCCCACCACCCCTTTTTTCTTCTAGACCTATAAGTACATTCAAGTCCAGCATTCCCTAAAAGGTGAAGCACAAAGTGTGACCAACAAGGAGGTGAGCTACATTCCAAAAGAATGACATGTTTTTCAAATTTATACAGACAGAAATGTAGGGAATGTGTGGAAAGAGATATTAAGGATGAGGGAGAATGGTGGAAGGAACATAAAGTTGGGTCATGACAATTTTATGGATATGGGCCTATGAAGCAAAGGTTCTAGACATAATGCTATAGCTCAGAGATCATGAAAGAGCTCTAAACCATGTGTTTTGTTGGTTGGCTGCAACATGGAACAAAGTGTGGGGTACACTAAATGAAGCTGAAATGCCAGAGCTGCTCTTCTGTACTGTAGAACAGGAGTCCCCAACCCCTGGACTGGTCTATGGCCTGTTAGGAACCGGGTTGCACAGCAGGAGGTGAGCAGGGTGGAGGCAAGAAAGTGAGCTTTACTGCCTGAACTCCACCTCCTGTCAGATCAACAGTTACATTACATTCTCATAGGAGCATGAACCTTATTGTGAACTGTGCATGCGAGGGATCTTGGTCGCTTGCTCCTTATGAGAATCTAATGCCTGATTATCTGAGATGGGACAGTTTCATCCGGAAACCACCCCACTAACCCCCATCCATGGAAAAATTGTCTTCCATGAAACCAGACCCTGGCACCAAAAAGTTGGGGACCACTGCTGTAGAGGAAAGGGTCCAAAGGCTCAGGGATGTTAGAATGTTAATATGGGCTCATCATGTAAGACCTGCTCAGCCAGCGCTGGGTCCAGAGGACAAACCTGTCACCACACTGTGAGAAATAAATTTGCAAGAGGAGCCCCAGGATTTTTGAAGAGCTCTGTAGTCACTCTTCTCTGCAGGTCATAAATTGCAGAGAGAGCTCCTGCCACTGAATTGGGAAACCTAAATGAAATGAAGATAATTGGATCCTGGGATGGCAGGGCCAAGTGGTGACATAATCACCAAAGGCAAGGTGAGTGTGGTTAGTGGAATACAGAGCAGAGTCAAAGCAGTGATAAAAACAGTCTGGCTCACAGAGACTGTGACATTGTCTGGTTGTTCACGATGTCCCTAGTCTGCTGAACTTGCATTTGATTTGTATAAGTGGAAGACTTCTAGGCCAAGTAGACAGAAGTCTAACTTGAATCATAAAAACAGAGAGTCACAACCCCTTTGTCAATTCCCAGACTTGAACCAGTGTACAAAACAAGAACCCCTTGAATGAAGGACAGGCCAGATTCTCCTGAGGAAGGATCCCACTCCATAGCCAAAAATGCATACTGTTAATTTTTCTCCCCTGCCAACTATAGCCCTTTACTGGAGTAACAGTGCATTAGGGGAAAGAAAATAGACTTTTCAGGGATTATTGAACACTGGTGCTGAGCTGATACTAATTCTAAGAGACTCAGAAAGTCATTGTGGTAGATGAGTTAACATAGGGGTTTACAGAGGTCAGGTGATTAATGGAGTTTTACTTCAGATCTATCTCACAACAGATAAGATGGGCCCTTGAACCTATTCTATGATTATTTTTCCAGTTCCACTATGTATAATTGGAAGAGAGATACTTAGTAACTGGCAGAGTCCCCATATTGGCTTCCTGACCAGTGGAGTGAGGGCTATTATGGTAGGAAACGTCAAGTAGAAGCCCCTAGAACAGCCTCTACCTAGGAAAATAGTAAGCAAAAAACAACACTATTTAATACATTCCTGGAGGGATTGCAGAGATTAGTGCCACCACCAAGATCTTGAAGAGGAATGCAAAGGTGGCAATTCCCACCCCATCCTCATTCAACTTGCCAGGTTAGCCTATGCAGAAGGAAGGTGGGTTTTGGAGAATGACAGTAGATTCTCATAAGCTTAACCAGGTGGCGACTCCAATTACAGCTGCTGCCCCAGATGTGGTTTCATCGCTTGAGCAAATTAACACATTCCCTTGTATCTGATATGAAGAAATTGATCTGGCAAGTAATTTTTTCCTCAAAACCTGTTAGTAAAAACCATCAGAAGCAGTTCTGCCACATGGGTCATATGATCCAGCAGATTCAATGGCGCTCGAAGTGTCAGTGGCAGATAGGGATGCTGTTTGGAGCCTTTCACAGGCCTCTATGGGGGAATCACAGTGTGAATCATCAGGATTTGGGAGCAAGATTTGCCATTATCTGTAGACAACTTGTCTCCTTTTGAGAAACAGCTTTTGGCGTACTACTGGACCTTATTAAAGACTGAGTGCTTAACCATGAACTAACAATTTACCATGCAACCTAATCTGCCCATCATGACCTGGGTGTTGTCTGGCTTACCAAGCCCTTAAATTGGGTGTGCACAGCAGCACTCCATCATCAGTGAAAGTGGTATAGTTGAGATCAGGCTCAAACAGGCCTTGAAGGCCCAAAAAAGCACATGAGGAAGTGGTTCAAATGCCCATGTTCTCCACTCCAGCTCCACTGCCTTCTCTCTCCCAGTCCACATGTATTTCCTTATGGGGAGTTCCCTGTGATCAGTTGGCAGAGGAAGAGAAAACTCAGGACTGGTTTACAGATCATTCTGTACAAGTATGCAGGCCTCACCCAAAAGTGGACGCTGTGGCACCACAGCTCTTCTGTGGCACATCCCTGAAGGACAATGGTGAAGGGAAATCCTTCAAGTGGGCAGAATTTTGACCTGTGCAGCTGGTTTTTCACTTTGCTTGGGAGGAAAAATGGCCAGACATGTGATTATATACCAGTCGATGGGCGGTGGCCAATAGTGTGGTTAGATGGTCAGGGTCTTGGAAGAAATATGATTGAAAAATTGGTGACAAGGAGGTCTAGAGAAGAGGTATACAGATAGACCTCTCTGAGTGGGCAAAAGCCGTGAAGATACTTATGTCTCATGTGAATGCTCACTAAACGATGAGCTGAGCAGAGGAAGATTTTAATAATCAAATGGATAGGATGATCCACTGTATGGATTCCAGGCAATTTGTTTCCCCAGTCACCCCTATCATCATCAAATGAGCTCATGGACAAGTGGCCGGGGTGGTAGGGATTAAGGTTTTTATGCATGGGATCAGCAAAATGGACTTCCACTCACCAAGACCAACCTGGCTACAGACACAGTTGGTGCCCAATCTGCCAGCAGCCGATTGAGTCCTGATGTGGTGCCAACACTGAGTCCTGATGTGGTGCCATTCTCCTGACCACCCACCTATCTGGCAGGCTGATTACAATGGCCTACTTCCACCATGGAATGGGTAGTGTTTTGTTCTTACTGGACTAGACATTTACTCTGGATACAGATTTGCCTTCCCTGCACTCAATGCTTCTGCCAAAACTGCCATTTATGGACTCATAAAATGTCTTATCCACCATCATGGTATTCCACATAGCATTGTTTCTGATCAAGTAACTCAGTTCCTAACAAAAGAAGTGTGGCCCATTCTCATGGTGTTCACTGATATAACCATGTTCTCCACCATCCTGACACAGCTAGATTTGATAGAAAAGTGGAATGGACTTTTGAAGACTCAGTTACAGTGCCAGCTAGGTGGAAATACCTTGCAGGCATAAGGCAGCGTTCCTCAGGAAGCTGTATATTTTCTAAATCAGCATCCCAAATATGGTGCTATTTCTTTCATAGGCATGGTTCATAGGTCTAGGAATTGAGGTATGGAAATGGGAGTGGCACCATTCACTATCACCCCTAGTGACCTACCAGAAAAATTTTGCTTCCTAGCCCTATGACATTGTGCTCTGCTGGCACAGAGGCCTCTTAATTCTGGAGGGAGGAATGCATCCACCAGGAGTCACAACGATTTCCTTCAACAGAAAGTTCATGGCCACCCAACCACTTTGGGCTTCTCATGCCTCTGCATCAACAGGCAAAGGAGGGAGTTACTATACTGGCTTCAGAGACTGATCTTAATTACCAAGAAAATGCTGGATTCTACTCCACAATTGAGGTAAAGAAGAATATTATGGAATATGGGAGTTCTTTAGGATGTCCCTTAGTAGTCCTATGCCCTGTGATTAAAGCCTATGGAAAATTACAACAACCCAGTTCAGGCAAGTCTACTAATAGCCCAGACCTTTAGAAATGATGCCCAATTTATCCATTTTTCCTTGATATTATGCTTTTTTCTTATGTTGAAAGAAACTCTACCTCAAAGTCATGAAGACATCCTCTTTTTTTTCTATAATATTCATTGTTTTAGAAGCCTTTACATTTAGATCAATGATCCATGTCAAATTAACTTTGTGCATTGTGTGGTAAGGCATCCAGATTCACTGCTTGTTTTCTTTCAGATATTCATACTGACCCAGCACCATTTATTGAAAAGATTTCCTTTATTCTACTGAATTGGAGAGGTACCTTTATCAAAAACAGATGACAATGTATGTATAGTGCCATTTCTGGACTTTCTTTTCTATTCTACTGGTCTATTTTTTGCATCAATGGCAATTTTTCTTAATTTTTTCCTATTATTTGTCTTGATATTTAATAGTCTAAAGCCTCCTGCTTTTTTATTATTCTTCATGATTGTCTTGATTATTCTAGATCTTTTGCATTTATATATATGTTTAAAATCAGGTTGTCAGAAAATATTTCTGGAATTTTTATTAGTATTTTGCTGAATCTATAGCTCAATAAAGTAAAGAGAATTGACTTTTTTTAAAAGTAAATTTTCCATCCTAGAACATACTATGTCTCTCCATTTATTTAAGTCTTCAGCTTTATCAACAATATTTTATAGTTTTCCATATAGATAATTTGCATGTCCTTTATTAAATTTGTTCCTAAGTATTTGGTATTTTAGTGCTACTTTTAAGTGTGTGTGTGTGTGTGTGTGTGTGTGTGTGTTTGTGTTTGAGACAGGATCTTGCTCTGTCATCCAGGTTGGAATGCAGTGGCTAAATCATTGCTCACTGCAGCCTCGACCTCCTAGGCTCAAGCAGTCCTCCCATCTCAGCCTCCTTAGTAGCTGGGACTATAGGCACACACCACCACATCTGGCTTTTTATTGTGTAGAGATGGGTTTTACTATGTTGACCAGGCTGGTTTCTAACTCCTGGCCTCCAGCAGTCCTCTCTCCTCGACCTTCCAAAGTGTTGGGATTACAGGCATGAGCCACCATGACTGGTCATATTTATTTCATTCTGTTCTATTTTAGTTGTTTGTTGGTAGTAAATAGAATTTGTTATATTGTCCCTGTGTTCAGCAACCTTATGAATTTCACTTATAGTAATTTTCTATAGATTATTTGGGATTTTCTACATACATAATCATGTCATGTGTAAATAATGATAATTTTTCTTTCTATTCAATTATTATAGTGTTTCTTTCTTGTTCTTGCCCTATTGCATTGGCTAGTACTATCAGTAAAATGTTGAATAAACGTGATGAAAACAAGTTTTGTCTTATTTCTAATCTTAGAGGAAAAGTGTTCATAATTTCACCATTAAATATGATGCCATTAAACATATTTAATTTCACCATTATATATAGCATTTTGGTAGATTTCCTTCATCGAATTAAATAGGATTCCTTCTATTCTGAGTTTGCTGAGACTTTTTGTCATGAGTGTTAAGATTTATCCATTTTTTCTGCATCTGTTGAGATGATCATACGGTTTTTCTTTTGTTCTATTATTATAGTGCATTATATTCATGGATTTTCAAATGCTAAACCAACGTTACATTTCTGTGACAAATCCCAGTTATTCAGGAGATAAATCCAGTCATCCCTCAGTGGAGGATTAGATTCAGGGATGCCTGTGGATACCAAAATCCACAGACTGAATTCCCTTCTATAAATCGTGTACTACTTGCATATAACCTGTGCACATCCTCCCATATATTGTGTAATCTCTAGATTATTTATAATACCTAATAAAATGTAAATGCTGTGTAATCTTTGTTATACTCTATTGTTTAGGGAATAATGACAAGAAAGGTCTGTGCATGTTCAGCACAGACACAACCATCCATTTTTTTCTGAATATATTTGATCTGCAGTTGGTTGACTTCATGAATGCAGAACCCACAGATACAGAGGGTCGTGTGTGTGTGTGTGTGTGTGTACACAAAGCTATGTAATAAATGACATTGCAGCTTCTATCTTGCTTTTTCAGATTTCTTGATTTTAGGAAACTTGATGACTTTAATCCAAGTAGTCCTGTGGTGAGGTGCACATGGAGAGTAACTGAGGCCTCCCACCTAGAAAGTCAATGGTAGCTTGATGAGAATAGCATTGAATCTACAAATTACTTTGTGCATTATGGCCATTTTAACGATATTGATTCTTCCTACCCATGAGCATGGAATGTTCTTCCATTTGTTTATGTCCTCTCTTATTTCCTTAGCAGTGGTTTGTAGTTCTCCTTGAAGAGGTCCTTCACATCCCTTGTAAGTTGTATTCCTAGGTATTTTTTTCTCTTTGTACCAATTGTGAATGGGAGTTCACTCATGATTTGGCTCTCTGTTTGTCTTTTATTAGTATATAGGAATGCTTGTGATTTTTGCACATTGATTTTGTATCCTGAGACTTTGCTGAAGTTGCTTATCAGCTTAAGGAGTTTTGGGGCTGAGACGATGGGGTTTTCTAAATATACAATCAAGTCATCTGCAAACAGAGACAATTTGACTTCCTGACTTCCTATTTGAATACGCTTTACTTCTTTCTCTTGCCTGATTGCCCTGGCCAGAACCTCCAACACTATGTTGAATAGGAGTGGTGAGAGAGGGCATCCTTGTCTTGGGCTGGTTTTCAAAGGGAATGCTTCCAGCTTTTGCCCATTCAGTATGATATTGGCTGTGGGTTTGTCATAAATAGCTCTTATTATTTTGATATATGTTCCATCAATACCTAGTTTATTAAGTGTTTTTAGCGTGAAGGGGTGTTGAATTTTATTGAAGGCCTTTTCTGCATCTATTGAGATAATCATGTGGTTTTGTCATTGGTTCTGTTTATGTGATGGGTTACGTTTATAGATATGCGTATGTTGAACCAGCCTTGCATCCCAGGGATGAATCCGACTTGATTGTGGTGGATAAGCTTTCTGATGTGTTCCTGGATTCAGTTTGCCAGTATTTTATTGAGGATTTTTGCATCAATGTTCATCAGGAATATTGGCCTGAAATTTTCTTTTCTTGTTGCGTCACTGCCAGGTTTTGGTGTCAGGATGATGCTGGCCTTGTAAAATGAGTTAGGGAGGAGTCCCTCTTTTTCTATTGTTTGGAATAGTTTCAGAAGGAATGGTACCAGCTCATCTTTATGCCTCTGGTAGAATTCGTCTGTGAGTCCACCTGGTCCTGGGCTTTTTTTGGTTGATAGGCTATTAATTACTGTTTCAATTTCAGAACTTGTTATTTGTCTATTCAGGGATTCAACTTCTTCCTGGTTTAGTTTTGGAAGGGTGTATGTATCCAGGAATTTATCCATTTCTTCTAGATTTTCTAACTTACTTGCATATAGGTGTTTATAGTATTCTGTGATGGTAGCTTGTATTTCTATGGGATCAGTGGTGATATTCCCTTTACCATTTTTTGTTGTGTCTCTTTGATTCTTCTCTCTTTTCTTCTTTATTGGTCTAGCTAGACGTCTATTATGTTCATCTTTTCAAATAACCAGATCCTGGGTTCATTGATTTTTTAGGGTTTTTTGTGTCTTTATCTCCTTCAGTTCTGCTCTGATCTTAGTTATTCCTTGTCTTCTGCTAGCTTTTGAATTTGTTTGCTCTTGCTTCTCTAGTTCTTTTATTTTATTTTTATTATTATTATTATTATTATTATTATACTTTAAGTTTTAGGATACATGTGCACAATGTTCAGGTTAGTTACATATGTATACATGTGCCATGCTGTTGTGCTGCACCCATTAACTCATCATTTAGCATTAGGTATATCTCCTAATGCTATCCCTCACCCCTCCAACCACCCTACAACAGTCCCCAGAGTGTGATGTTCCCCTTCCTGTGTCCATGTGTTCTCATTGTTCAATTCCCATCTATGAGTGAGAACATGTGGTGTTTGGGTTTTTTGTCCTTGTGATAGTTTACTGAGAATGATGATTTCCAGTTTCATCCATGTACCTACAAAGGACATGAACTCATCATTTTTTATGGCTGCATAGTATTCCATGGTATATATGTGCCACATTTTCTTAATCCAGTCTATCATCGTTGGACATTTGGGTTGGTTCCAAGTCTTTGCTATTGTGAATAGTGCCACAATAAACATACGTGTACATGTGTCTTTATAGCAGCATGATTTATAGTCCTTTGGGTATATACCCAGTAATGGAATGGCTGGGTCAAATGGTATTTCTAGTTCTAGATCCCTGAGGAATCGCCACACTGACTTCCACAATGGTTGAACTAGTTTACAATCCCACCAACGGTGTAAAAGTGTTCCTATTTCTCCACAGCCTCTCCAGCATCTGTTGTTTCCTGACTTTTTAATGATCGCCATTCTAACTGGTGTGAGATGGTATCTCATTGTTGTTTTGATTTGCATTTCTCTGATGGCCAGTGATGATGCGCATTTTTTCATGTGTTTTTTGGCTGCATAAATGTCTTATTTTGAGAAGTGTCTGTTCATATCCTTTGCCCACTTTTTGATGGGGTTGTTTGTTTTTTTCTTGTAAATTTGTTTGAGTTCATTGTAGATTCTGGATATTAGCCCTTTGTCAGATGAGTAGGTTGCAAAAATTTTCTCCCATTCTGTAGGTTGCCTGTTCACTCTGATGGTAGTTTCTTTTGCTGTGCAGAAGCTCTTTAGTTTAATTAGATCCCATTTGTCAATTTTGGCTTTTGTTGCCATTGCTTTTGGTGTTTTAGACATGAAGTCCTTGCCCATGCCTATGTCCTGAATGGTAATGCCTAGGTTTTCTTCTAGGGTTTTTATGGTTTTAGGTCTAACGTTTAAGTCTTTAATCCATCTTGAATTAATTTTTGTATAAGGTGTAAGGAAGGGATCCAGTTTCAGCTCTCTACATATGGCTAGCCAGTTTTCCCAGCACCATTTCTTAAATAGGGAATCCTTTCCCCATTTCTTGTTTTTCTCAGGTTTGTCAAAGATCAGATAGTTGTAGATATGCGGCATTATTTCTGAGGGCTCTGTTCTGTTCCATTGATCTATATCTCTGTTTCGGTACCAGTACCATGCTGTTTTGGTTACTGCAGCCTTGTAGTATAGTTTGAAGTCAGGTAGCATGATGCCTCCAGTTTTGTTCTTTTGGCTTAGGATTGACTTGGCGATGAGGGCTCTTTTTTGGTTCCATATGAACTTTAAAGTAGTTTTTTCCAATTCTGTGAAGAAAGTCATTGGTAGCTTGATGGGGATGGCATTGAATCTATAAATTACCTTGGGCAGTATGGCCATTTTCACGATATTGATTATTCCTACCCATGAGCATGGAATGTTCTTCCATTTGTTTGTATCCTCTTTTATTTCATTCAGCAGTGGTTTGTAGTTCTCCTTGAAGAGGTCCTTCACGTCCCTTGTAAGTTGGATTCCTACGTATTTTATTCCCTTTGAAGCAATTGTGAATGGGAGTTCACTCATGATTTGGCTCTCTGTTTGTCTGTTATTGGTGTATAAGAATGCTTGTGATTTCTGTACATTGATTTTGTATCCTGAGACTTTGCTGAAGTTGCTTATCAGCTTTAGGAGATTTTGGGCTGAGACAATGGGGTTTTCTAGATATACAATCATGTCGTCTGCAAACAGGGACTATTTGACTTCCTCTTTTCCTGATTGAATACCCTTTATTTCCTTCTCCTGCCTAATTGCCCTGGCCAGAACTTCCAACACTCTGTTGAATAGGAGTGGTGAGAGAGGGCATCCCTGTCTTGTGCCAGTTTTCAAAGGGAATGCTTCCAGTTTTTGCCCATTCAGTATGATATTGGCTGTGGGTTTGTCATAGATAGCTCTTATTATTTTGAGATACATCCCATCAATACCTAATTTGTTGAGAGTTTCTAGCATGAAGGGTTGTTGAATTTTGTCAAAGGCCTTTTCTGCATCTATTGAGATAATCATGTGATTTTTGTCTTTGGTTCTGTTTATATGCTGGATTACATTTATTGATTTGCGTGTATTGAACCAGCCTTGCATCCCAGGGATGAAGCCCACTTGATCATGGTGGATAAGCTTTTTGATGTGCTGCTGGATTCGGTTTGCCAGTATTTTATTGACGATTTTTGCATCAATGTTCATCAAGGATATTGGTCTAAAATTCTCTTTTTTGGTTGTGGCTCTGCCCGGCTTTGGTATCAGGATGATGCTGGCCTCATAAAATGAGTTAGGGAGGATTCCCTCTTTTTCTATTGATTAGAATAGTTTCAGAAGGAATGGTACCAGTTCCTCCTTGTACCTCTGGTAGAATTCGGCTGTGAATCCATCTGGTCCTGGACTCCTTTTGGTTGGTAAGCTATTGATTATTGCCACAATTTCAGATCCTGTTATTGGTCTATTCAGAGATTCAACTTCTTCCTGGTTTAGTCTTGGGAGAGTGTATGTGTCGAGGTATTTATCCATTTCTTCTAGATTTTCTAGTTTATTTGCGTAGAGGTGTTCGTAGTATTCTCTGATGGTAGTTTGTATTTCTGTGAAATCGGTGGTGATATCCCCTTTATCATTTTTTATTGCGTCTATTTGATTCTTCTCTCTTTTTTTCTTTATTAGTCTTGCTAGCAGTCTATCCATTTTGTTGATCCTTTCAAAAAACCAGCTCCTGGATTCATTAATTTTTTGAAGGGTTTTTTTGGTCTCTATTTCCTTCAGTTCTGCTCTGATTTTAGTTATTTCTTGCCTTCTGCTAGCTTTTGAATGTGTTTGCTCTTGCTTTTCTAGTTCTTTTAATTGTGATGTTAGGGTGTCAATTTTGGATCTTTCCTGCTTTCTCTTGTGGGCATTTAGTGCTATAAATTTCCCTCTACACACTGCTTTGAATGTGTCCCAGAGATTCTGGTATGTTGTGTCTTTGTTCTCGTTGGTTTCAAAGAACATAAGTTCTTTTAATTGAGCTGTTAGGGTGTTGATTTCAGATCTTTCCCACTTTCTGATGTGGGCATTTAATGCTATAAATTTCCCTCTAAACACTGCTTTAGCTGTGTCCCAGAGATTCTGGTACATTCTATCTTTGTTCTCATTGGTTTCAAAGAACTTATTTATTTCTGCCTTAATTTTGTTATTTACCCAGTAGACATTCAGAAGCAGGTTGTTCAGTTTCCATGTAGTTATACAGTTTTGAGTGAGTTTCTTAATCCTGAGTTCTAATTTGATTGCACTGTGGTCTGAGAGACTGTTTGTTAAGATTTCCGTTCTTTTGCATTTGCTGAGGAGTGCTTTATTTCCAATTTTGTGGTCAATTTTAGAATAAGTACAATGTGGTGCTGAGAAGAATGTATATTCTGTTGATTTGGGTTGGAGAGTTCTGTAGATGTCTATTAGGTCTGCTTGGTCCAGAGCTGAGTTCAAGTCTTGAATATCCTTGTTAATTTTCTGTCTCATTGATCTGTCTAATATTGACAGTGGGGTGTTAAAGTCTCCAACTATTATTGTGTAGGAGTCTAAGTCTCTTTGTAGGTCTCTAAGAACTTGCTTTATGAATCTGGGTGCTCCTGTATTGGGTGCATATATATTTAGGATAGTTAGCTCTTCTTGTTGTATTGATCCCTTTACCATTATATAATGCCCTTATTTGTCTTTTTTTATCTTTGTTGGTTTAAAGTCTTTTATCAGAGACTAGGGTTGCAACCCCTGCTTTCTTTGCTTTCCATTTGCTTGGTAAATATTCCTCCATCCCTTTATTTTAAGCCTGTGTGTCTTTGCACATGAGATGGGCCTCCTGAATACAGCACACTGATGGGTCTTGACTCTTTATCCAATTTGCCAGTCTGTGTCTTTTAATTGAGGCATTTAGCCCATTTACATTTAAAGTTAATATTGTTACGTGTGAATTTGATCCTATCATCATGACGCTAGCTGGTTATTTTGCACATTAGTTGATGCAGTTTCTTCATAGCATTGGTCTTTATATTTTGGTATGTTTTTGCAGTGGTTGGTACCAGTTTTTCCTTTCCATATTTAGTGTTTCCTTCAGGAGCTCTTGTAAGGCAGGCCTGGTGGTGACAAAATCCCTCAGCATTTGTTTGTCAGTAAAGGATTTTATTTCCCCTTCGTTTATGAAGCTTAGTTTGGCTGGATACAAAATTCTGAGTTGAAAATTCTTTTCTTTAAGAATGTTGAATATTGGCCCCTACTCTCTTCTGGCTTGTAAGGTTTCTGCAGAGAGATCCACTGCTAGTCTGATGGGCTTCCCTTTGTAGATAACCTGATCTTTCCCTCTGGCTGCCCTTAACATTTTTTCCTTCATCTCAACCTTGGTGAATCTGACAATTGTGTGGCTTGGGGTTGCTCTTCTCAAGGAGTATCTTAGTGGTGTTCTCTGTATTTCCTGAATTTGAATGTTGGCCTGTCTCTAGGTTGAGGAAGTTCTCCTGGGTAATATCCTGAAGTGTGTTTTCCAACTTGGTTCCATTCTCCCCCTTACTTTCAGGTATACCAATCAATCGTAGGTTTGGTTTTTTCACATAGTTCCATATTTCTTGGAGGCTTTGTTCATTCCTTTTCATTCTTTTTTCTCTAATCTTGTCTTCACACTTTATTTCATTAAGTTGATCTTCAATCTCTGATATTCTTTCTTCCACTTGGTTGATTTGGCTATTGATTCTTGTATATGCTTCACAAAGTTCTTATGCTGTGTTTTTCAGCTCCATCAGGTCATTTATGTTCTGCTCTAAACTGGTTATTCTAGTTAGCAGCTCCTGTAACCTTTTTTCAAGGTTCTTAGCTTCCTTACATTGGGTTAGAACATGCTCCTTTAGCTCAGAGGAGTTTGTTATTACTCACCTTCTGAAGCCTACTTCTGTCAATTCATCAAACTCATTCTCCATCCAGTTTTGTTCCCTTGCTGGTGAGGAGTTGTGATCCTTTGGAGAAGAAGAGGAATTCTGGTTTTGGGGGTTTTTCAGCATTTTTGTGCTGGTTTTTCCACATCTTTGTGGATTTATCTACCTTTGGTTTTTGATGTTGGTGACCTTTGGATGGGGTTTTTGCATGGGTGTCCTTTTTGTTGATACTGATGTTATTGCTTTCTGTTTGTTAGTTCTCCTTCTAACAGGCCTCTCTTCTGCAGGTCTGCTGGAGTTTGCCGGAGGTCCACTTCAGACCCTGTTTGCCTAGATATCACCAGCGGAGGCTACAGAACAGCAAAGATTGCTGCCTGCTCCTTCCTCTGGAAGCTTCGTCCAGAGAGACACCCACCAGATGCCAGCTGGAGCTCTCCTGTATGAGGTGTCTGTTGACCCCTGCTGGGAGGTGTCTCCCAGTCAGGAAGCATGGGGAGGCAGTCTGTCCCTTAGCAGAGCTGGAGTGCTGTGCTGGGAGATCTGCTGGTCTGTTCAGAGCTGGCAGGCAGGAATCTTTAAGTGTGCTGAAGCTGCGCCCACAGGCTTACCTTCCCACAAGTGCTCTGTTCTAGGGAGATAGGAGTTTTATCTATAAGCCCCTGCTGGGGTGGCTGCATTTCTTTCAGAGATGCCCTGCCCAGAGAGGAGGAATCTAGAGAGGCAGTCTGGCTACAGTGGCTTTGTCACACTGTGGTGGGTTCTACCCAGTTCATATTTCCCAGTGGCTTTGTTTACACTGTGAGGGGAAAACCACCTACTCACGCCTCAGTAATGGTGGAGGCTTCTCCCCCCACCAAGCTGGAGTGTCCCAGGTCAACTTCAGACTGCTGTACTGGCAGCGAGAATTTCAAGCCAGTGGATCTTAGCTTTCTGGCCTCCATGGGGGTGGGACCTACTGAGCAAGACCACTTGGTTCCCTGGCTTCAGCCCCCTTTCCAGGGGAGTGAATGGTTCTGTATCACTGGGGGTTCCAGGCACCACTGTGATACAAAAAAAAAAAAAAATCCTCCTGCAGCTAGCTCAGTGTCTGCCCAAACGGCCACCCAGTTTTGTGCTTGAAACCCAGGGCCCTGGTGGTGTAGGCACCCGAGGGAATCTCCTGGTCTTCAGGTTGCAAAAACCATGGGAAAAGCATAGTATCTGGGCCAGATACCACTGTCCCTCACTGCACAGTCCCTCATGGCTTCCCTTGGCTAGAGGAGGGAGTTCCCCAGCCCCTTGTGTTTCCCAGGTGAGGCAATGCCCCACCCTGCTTCTGCTTGCCCTCTGTGGGCTACAACCACTGTCTAATCAGTCCTAATGAGATGAACCAGGTACCTCAGTTGGAAATGCAGAAATCACCTGCCTTCTGCATTGGTCTCACTAGGAGCTGCAGACCAGAACTGTTCCTAATTGGCCATCTTGCCCCCTCTCAAATTTTACTGATTTTATGAAGTCAAATTTATTAATTTTTTTTACTTTGCATCTGGATTTTAAGTCATTGTGAAAAAATTTTTTTCCCACACCCCAAATTATGTAAGAATTTATTCATGCTTTCTTCTAGTACTTACATGGGTACAATTTTTACACTTAAGTCTTCAATCATTTGAGAATTTAATAAAAATATCAGTTTACCCTGTACATCAGTTATTGATTGCCTCAATAATGTTGTATTAAAAATTAACTATAAAATGCCAGTGGCATGTAACAATAAGTGTTTAGTACTCATAAAAGCTTGATATCATAAACACTTGGAAACATGGGATTCCACCTCAGGCATCAGCTGGGTGTCAGCTAGATGTCTCTCCTGATCTTGACAGGGCTCGCCCACAAATCTGAGGATCAGCTGACCAACACTGGCTTCTCATATAGGCTGGTTCCAATTGGAGCAATTAGAGCAATATGGCTCTGCTCTCCCAGCAGGCTACCATGGGCATGTTCTCATGGCAATGGCACAAGCGCAACAGGGCAAGCTCCAAAGCATGGCCTTATTTCAAGCCTTTGCTTGTATAACATCTGCTGACACCCCACTGATCAAGCCTGATCAAGCCCAGAGTAGAGAGGGGGGACACTAGAAAGCTGTATGGCAAGGACTTTGAATACGGGAAGGGGTAAAGAACTGAGGGCATCTTTGCAATATGCTACATCCTGCAGTCTCCTAGATCTAGCTCATCCTAGATTTCTCCCTATCATCTCAGGCTTCTTGAGAGGGTCTTTATCATTCACTGTCTTCCTTGTGAGTCAGTCCATTGCAATTTGGCTTCCTCTCCTGATTATTCTACTACACTTGTTTTCAAAAAGTTGCCAGTGGGCTCTAAACTGCCAGTCCAACATGCATTTTTTGGGTTCTTATATTATGTGACAGAACATGTTATTTGAGCATCAACCTGTCATACATTCTGTAAGCAGATCACACTTGTGCCAGGTATCCTCAGTCTCTCAATATCCACTCTCTAGCCCTCCCTCCCTGTTCTCTTCCACTATCTGGACCACATCAGTGCACTCCTGTGCCTTCTGGCTGCTGGTTGGCTTCAGCCTATGGAAATCCTTGGCAGGAGATTGAAGGGCAAAAGGAAAATAAGATCTAAGTATCTGCTTCCTTGGCTCCACACTGGTGAGGTTATCTGGGGCTGTCTGTAGCCTTGGTCACTGCTCTTCTCAAGGTGACCTACTCCATGTGACTTCTTCTCTTCCCCAATTATGGCCGCCTCTCCTTCCCTTCTTGTCTCCAGGCCTAAGGGGGGTGACAGCGAGCCACTAACTGCCCTGGGTTCCTGCACCACTCACATGGTCTTCCTACACCCTCCCACACCTATGAAAACATCCCTTTATAAACACATCTTCCTCCCATTATGTGTCTCCTACTGAAACCCCAATTGATCCAATGTGGTGTCATTCATTGCTCCCCTCTCCCTCCCAGGAACATCCATTTGCATTTAGGACTTGAATGTTATTCCCTCTACTCAGCTAATCAAATCCAAAAAATTATATGGAGGCAGACGGGAAGAAAATGGAGAGACCCTCCCTTCCCTTTGAGATTCTAGGAACCGGGTGTCCTGAAAGGAAACAAAAACAAGCACACAGACAAAGCTAGGACTTTACGTAAGCCATGTGTGGTTCTCCCCGTGGCCTACAGAGCACAGCACTGGCACTTACATCCTTCCACCTCTGGACACGTGGCCTCTACCCACGCAGGCACTAGCAGCAGCAGGAGCAGCAGACATCCTGAGACGCAAGGTCCACAACCCCAGACTCCTTTGGGCTGAATACAGGCTCTTGAGTTTCCATTCCTACCAGCAAGCAGTGAAGATATCCAGGATCGATTCTGGAATTCATGTAAACACTCCAAGGAGTCTGAGAAATGTAAGAATAAGGAACCCTGGGAAAATTGGCCTTCCTGTTTATTTGGTAAATGAGACAGAGTCGTTGAAATGTATGGTTCCTATGAAAAGTTAACTCAATTTTCATCCCAGCCTGTGAAGACATTTAGGCGATATTTACATGACCTTTCTCTTGTACTTGACCCTACTGACCACTTCCTCCTTCTTGGGCCCCCTTTTCTCTGCCTGCCCCTTAAACATTGGTGAACCCAGGATTCTCTTCTCGGCCACTGCCCATTCCCCTGCTCTGTGTCCTCATAGTAATCTCTACTACTTTCATGATTTAACCTGAGGCTCCATTTTTTTCTCACAACACATTGTCTCAGGGACACGTGTTGGAAAAGTCCCAGGGCCAGACAAGGAACTTGGTGGCTCCTGGAGAAAGTTTAGTGTGCAGAGATAGGAAAACCCCAGGGGAAGACAATAATAGCCCACAGGACTGTGCCTGTTCTCTCTGACCTCCAGGGAGCTGAAGAAGCGCTGAGCAAGTCAGCTGAGACTCCTCTCACCTTAATGCCTTGAAAGAGGGTTAAAAACCACCTGCTGCTGCCATGCTGCTGACACCAGAAGCCAGAAATGATACTTGTAGAAATGCATGGTCCAGAGATTATAGCACCTATGAACCTATCTAAGAAATACTTTACTCTCAAAAAAAATCCAAACACAAATAAAAGATGACGGAGAAAAGGAAGTGGTGAGCAACAAATATACACAAATCCAAATACGTATGTACCTATATGCATTCAGAGATATTTTATATATGCCTGTAAGTACGTATATATTGAAAATCAGCACCTGAAAACAAGTAATCCAAGAAATAAGGATCTTAAATAAAAGACACCTACGTACTGAAAGATAAATTCTAATAATAGCTTAGAATAAATGTACCAAACTCTCTCAGGAAAACCTGGGTGTTAAGATGGAGGGACATCAGTAAAAATGTTCAAAGGCATCATTCAAGTTGGGGAAGAGAAAAGTCAGGAAGTAAAAATGTCCTAATGTTTCACCACACGCAAGGTGGAGAGAACGGTCAGATAACTGAGTGTCTTGACAGAGGAAAAGTTGGCATTTGCTATCATTTAATAGTGATGAAGAAAATACGGATTTGGGTACTTAGAAATGGAACATTATCATTAATGGAATGGAAAATGATAGTTGAACTCCCAAATTTAATAAGGGGGTTAAAGAGCAGTAAATAACAACTGAAAAATAAACAGCAACCAGCAAAAATAAGGAAAACGATGATTGGGAAACCACAAAATAAAATGAATAAAAAATACAAAATAAGGTAGAATGCTGTATAAAGTATAACAGTCATTACTCAGTGTGAATGAACTGAATGATCCTCTGAAAAACAGACACCATCGGATTGAAAAATATTTTTACAAATATGCGATCTAGAAAAGTCAAACAGCATACTTTGAACAGAGACAAAGAAAGGATGGAGGTGTTCAGTGTTGGTAACAAGGCCAACCAGATAGCCTAAAAATCCTCTGCCCCTAAAATCTAGAATGCTGTATAGGATGTAGCAAGCATGCCTCTGAATGCATAGCTGAGTTGATAACTTCTTTAGCCAAAAGTGAAGAGAGAATTGGAAACCAGAGTGCTAAGTATAGGCCGATGCTCCAGTTGATCTGACAGAGAGAGAGGTAGGCGAGAGGGGAAGGGTCCAACCTCTAAGAAAAGCACAGGGACTGGCCCCTGGGGAGAGGTATCAAACACACAGGCCCTTGCAAGGCAAACTGTCAGTCCTGACAGAAAGCCAGGCCCTTCAAGGGACCACATCCTCGGGGAAAGGACCAACACATGGAGACGGGGATGCTCATTTGTCTTAATCTGATGTCCACGTGATTTTAGACCTTCTCTTGTCTCTCAATGAAGTCTTGCCATTTAACTCATAAAGGTCTTGCCCATTGTTTTCTCTTGTTTCGTTGTTGTCGTCACTATTATAAAGATGCCTTTTAAAACACGTTGTTTTGTTGCTGGTATAAAGAACTCCATCCACCTTGGGTTCAGCAATCTTGCTTGGTTCTCTTACTGTTTCCAATGGTTTGTCCATAGATTCTCACAGATTTTATATATAGATATTCATATCACTTGAAAATAATCAATGTTTTATTTTACTTTCTTTTAACCTTTTCTTGATTTACTTTTTAACCACATCAGTTGGATTTTCAGCCCAATATTTCATGGTGGCACTGATGCCATTTCTTTTCTTATTCTAGGCTTCAGAAGGACTGTTGCTCATGATTCCCCACAAATCATAACAGCTTCTGTAGGCTTCAGTAGACACTCAGTTCTGCATCAGCACCTTCAAGCTCAGCCCTGGCCTCCCGAGGACAGCTGTGCTGAGCTGCTCATCCATGCTGGAACCCTCTCACCAACCCATCCTTTATCTCCCTGGTGAATGGAGAGTCCTCCAGCCCAATCAAAAAGCACAGGCAGCCAGTGGGTCTTCTGGTATTCTAGAGTAGATCCATTCTAGCACGCCCATTTCCCTAAGCCTTTGGATCCCTTCAGCCATGATCTGCAAGGGAGTTCTGACACATCTATTTCATTTCATGTGGGCCGTCATTCTCAACAAGCCTCTAGGAACCACTCAGCAGCCATAAGAATTGCCTTATGGGGCCCTGGCAAGATTATTAAAACCTGTATCACTGGTGGGTGCCCCCATAACAACAAACTCTCCCCTGAAGAGCTTTCTAGTCTGGCCCCCTTGGCCCAGGACCCTCAGGATTCACCCCCAAGCACACTCCCTGGTCTGTGCCCAACACACACTAGCCAGATCCTTCAGCTCCTTGAAGAAATCCCTCTCCTCTCTTAGCAGAACCAATGCTTGCCTAGGGGGATATGCTGAGCTTTGATTCTCTTATTGGTCTAAGTGATAAGAAGGGACAAATGGGGCATCTGTGGATGGGAAAGCTGCTGAGGAAGTCAAGAACTTCTTGTAGAATACCTGCTTCATTTGAAGCATCTGCCTGTTCTTCAAGCAAGGAGGGGTTTCTGTCTTCCAGAAACGGGGAAAGGCCATTTTGGCAGGACCAGAAGTTTTGGGGAATCTGGAGACTCAAAGCCTTCCAACACATTTCTCTCTCTTTTCCCATCCCAGATGGTGGGTCTCAGTCTTTTCCTATTAGACCCTGACTTTGGCATATGAGACTCATCTGGTCTGAGATTCAGCCTGCTCCAGAATTCTTCTTCTCTAACAGTTAAGTCCTGGGTCTGGTCTTCAGCTTGTTCTGCCCTCCTGCTGCATATGGGAGTCTCTTTAAGGCCACCAAGGAGGCATGCTGACTCTCCTTTGCTTTAAATTGGAGATTGGCTGCCCTGGTCCTGCCTTTCCTCTCTTCAAAGCCTCAAGGGCATTCGGCCACTCCATCCCACAGTTCCTATCAGTGGTCTTTCTTCAGAACCTCTCAAATATAAGATGTTCTATGAACCAGTATATCCCTTTTCCTTGTACCTTCCCTGAGTTCTACATGGGTGGCCATCTTAGCAACTGCACTGCTAACACATACCAGCAACTGCTAATACTGTACCTGCCGCTATGATGGGGTCCTTTTGCCAGCCAGTGGTGAGTGACCTAATTCCTGAGTTCCAACCTTAGAGTCCCCTGGCATCCAGTCTTAGACTGGGTTCTCTAGGTGCAAAGCCTAAGCCAGGCAATGGGGTGGGGGGTGTTTTATTGTGGAAACTTCCAAGAAAAAAACTAAAGAAGTAAGGAAAGCTAGACAGGATTGGGGAAAGAAGTGATGAAGGATGTCATCTCAGGTGAATTCTAGCTGTGGCCTGATCCTGGAAAGCATCATAGAGACACCCTCTCTTTAAGGCAAGCAGGTGGCCTTTTGTATCCCTGTGCCAGCCATTAGCTGAGGGTCACTCCTGGCAGAGGAGCTTGTCATTTCTTGGGCAAGGGGGCTCACGTCAGTGAAGGGCACCTCTCCAGTGATGAGCAGGGTGGGAGGCACCTGTGAACCATGGGCCACCAACATGCAAAGAAGCCAGGGGATGGGCACACCCATCTACTAGAGGGGAACTGGATAGGACACTTTGGCACCCACAGTGCTCCTGAGCCCTAGAGCTATGATGTCCTGGGAAACTTCCACTCAGCAATCAGCTGTGCCATCAGAACTTCCCCTCTGCCTCCTAGCCCAAGATTTGTCAATAGTCACTGTCTCCACTTTCTCATCAACCCACTCCCACGGGGCTTCTGTCCCCACCGTGCCACTGAGGCCGCCTTGTCAACATCATTAATTACCTACCTCTACACGACACTCAGCTGCTTGTGTGCACCCCTTCTCTTCTCTGTCTACCCTCCCCTTCTAGGATTTAAATACCATCTCTCTGAGGACAATTCCCTAACCTGTATCTACACTGATAGGGTCCCTCTGGAATCCCAGGCCCACACATCTAGTGGCATCTGACCTGACATCTCCAATGGGAAGTTTAAGGACCGTTTCAGACCTTACAACTCTTGATGTCTGTCCCCTTTCATACCTCCTCCTCCCCCAGTCCTCTTTCTCAGTTGCTCAGGTCAAAAGCCAGAGTCATTCTTGATTCCTCTCTTTTCTTCACTCTCACGGCAAGCTTTTCAGCAAGTCTGTCGCCCCTCCCACACAGATCCAAACTGGTCGTCTCCTCTCCGCCTCTGCTGTGGCTGTCCTGGTCTAAACGCTTCTCAGCTGGGACTGTGGATGGCATTGTCATCTCTCTGTTCCCTCTGCTCTCACCCTCCTATAGTCCGCTCTCCACCAGCAGTCAGAGGGGTATTTCTAATACATAAATCAGATCAAGGCTTTGCCCAGCTTAAAACTCTCCGGTGACTTCCCAGCACCCCGAGAATACAATCTAACCCTCCTTCCCTTTACAGAGCCCTAGTGTGTCATTCATCCTCTTCCGCTGCTCTCTCCTTCCCTTCCCACTCATGGCTCACTCTATTCCTCAAACAGACCAAATCCACTCCTACCTTCAGGTCTGCAGAAACAGCACCTCTGCTTGGGAGGCTCTTCTCTGCTGAGCTGTACCTGACTGGCCCCTTCTCAACAATGTGAGGAGGCTTAAATGTGACTTCGAAGCCATCTTCCCTAGCCACCCAACCGAAAGCAAACCGCCCGTCACTCCACACCATCCTACTCAGTTCTACAACCCGCCTGTCACTCCACACCATCCTACTTGGTTCTCTGCATAATGCCCATGACACTTTCACAGGACTGGGTTGTTGATTGACTGGGTGACTGGCTGGATCCCTACATTAGAATGTAGGCTGTGGGAAAGCCAGGCCTCTCTGCTGGTTCCAGGCCATTTCTCCCTCCTCACACTGCTCCTCTGAGACGTGTGCCTTTTGGGTTGGCCACCAACAGGACTGATGGGGGCTCCACTGCCAAGGGGCTTCCACACTAGTGAGGCGGACGCACAAGGAGCCGGTGAAACGAAGCGCAGTGGAAGGCTGTACTGAGGTCAAGGAGCTGCCGCTGTGAAGGCCCACACCCACGAGAGGATGAAGGGGCCTCAGGTGTGAAGGGACACTTCCTGTTGCCCTTTGATGATTAAGGCCCCAAACTGAGGACACACAGGAGCTGAGCATCCCGCCCTGTCACGGAGCGCTGGTTACCTCCAGCACAGCTGAACAAGAGGCGGCACAGCTGGCCGTAGCAGCACACCAGGATGGCAGCAGGAAGGAGACGAAACAGAAGGTTGAAGTCCAGTCACTGGCCTTCTGAGGAGTGCCTGGAAGTGCTAAGAGGCGTTTCCCTCACCCTCCTTATGTGGGTGGAAAGGGCGTGCTTCTCCCTCAAAGCCAAGCGAGATAATGCTTCATAATGATCTGGCATAGAGAGGGGGACTGCCCGCAAGAAGGAGAAGGTGGCATTTCTCCTCGGAGGATGCCACTGAGCTGCAGACACCTGCACTCAGCCTGTGCTGCCAAGGCAGTCCCCGAAGACTTAGACGGGAGCCCTGTGCGTCTGCACAGACGTGTGTCTCCTGCCAAGAAAGGCTGCCTCCCTCCCTGCGGGCAGCTGCCTCAGAAAGGCCAAGGGATTTCCCCAAGGTCCCACTTTTTTTTTTTTTTTTTTTTTGAGACGGAGTCTGGCTCTGTCGCCCAGGCTGGAGTGCGGTGGCGCCTCTCTGCTCACTGCAAGCTCCGCCTCCCGGGTTCACGCCATTCTCCTGCCTCAGCCTCCCGAGTAGCTGGGACTACAGGCGCCCGCCACCACGCCCGGCTAATTTTTTGTATTTTTTTTTTTTAGTAGAGACGAGGTTTCACTGTGTTAGCCAGGATGGTCTCGATCTCCTGACCTCGTGATCCGCCCGCCTCGGCCTCCGGAAGTGCTGGGATTACAGGCATGAGCCACCACGCCCAGCCGGTCACCTCTTTCTTAACGGCACAGGCAGCACAAGGACTTTTTCCAGGGGTGGGGGGCGAAGGCAAGCCACTGTGAATGCAGATGACTTCACCAAGGCTGAGAAGCACAGGCAAAAGCAGCTTCGCAAAAGCAGTGATGAATCTAGGACGGGAATTGCAGGGTGCTGCCCACCTCTCTAGGCTGATGAACCAGGGCATCATGCAGTTCTTCTTCAACACTAGGTTTGTAGACAGATGGCTCCTAGGCCCCGACCGCAGAGGAAAGGGTTCCATGGAAATGGGGAAAACAGCCCAAAAAGGGAGGCTGGGGGCACAGGAGACTGGCTAGTTTACCTACAGCACACCATCTGCGTGATGATGCAGACCGCTGAGTACCCCAGGACTAGCCCGGTCTCTCCCCAAAACCTCACAGCAGAGCTTGGGTCCTGAAATCAGCACAATCTCAAGGTGTAGAAAGCCCAGAAAGTTTGCTGTCACCTGGTGTCCCCTCTTTCTCTGGCACCATAATTCACCCAAACTTCCACTAATAAAAGTCCTGGCATTGCTCAGCAGGGTTCACAAGTGCCATTTCCTAGACCCAAGGGGCTGCATGACCTCACTTGGGGAACACGGGTGTCCTGGGACTGTGTCATGTGGACCTGAAAGGAGGCCTAAGGGAAAAAGTACTGGGCCTCATTTTTATTTTCTAGGCAACTTCCTGCTGCCTTAAAGCCTTTGAGCAGCAATGAGGGGAGGAAAGGATGAAGGGAGAGAGGGAGGCAGAGAGAAGAAGCGAAGAAGTGAAGGGCCATCGATTGGCTCATTCATTGGTTCTGACCAAAAGAGAGATAAATCAGACCTATTTTACTTAATCTGTGAGGTTATCTTGAGCATCAGATGAAATAAAAATGAAAGCATTTCTTCAAGTATGGAGCACCTGAATTTAGGCCCAATCTTAAAAAGAGGCAAAAGTCTCTTAAATCTAACAGAGACGGTCCTCCTGACCAAAATTATTTTTTTCTCACTACTTTTTTAAAATTTAGCTTTGCCAGAGAGCCTGTGAATGTTACAGGATTGTGAGGTCAGCCAGCTGCTCCTGTAGAATGCCGACGGCATGCTGGGAATGCAGTACCGCACTGCCCACAGCCTCGGGGATGAGCTGAGAGCTGGCTCTCACAGGGTGGGGTTGGCAACTTTGGCCACATTCACCTATGCATAAGAAAGAGACTGCGAGACACTCCATGCATCTGCTTTTACAAATTAAGATCAAATGTAGAAGAGACATCAAAAAGATTTTCATCATGGCCTGCTAAGAGCAGGGGAGGGCAGAGGAAAGAGCGAATGCAAACTAGGGAGGAAAGAGAATCGTGGCAGATCACTGAAGCAGAGGAAAGCTGTGCGGACCCAGGGCCCGCCAGGCGGAACAGCCCATCTCACAGCTGTTAGGGAATTTCCCATGGCAGAGGTTTTTTCATGTATAGATGGGCCTATTTTTCTGTCCGTTTGCTGGTTTTATCATTTGGCTGTTTTCTCCTCTTGGTACGCATAAACAGGAATATCGTATTTTGGCATCTGATCTCCACCTAAATCCCAAATAAAATGAGAAGGCAGCCTAGTAGGTATTGCTAGGGAACCAGGGGAGCATTGCCTACATCCAGCATGAGAAGGGGAGGACGAGGACGGGCCAGGGCAGGAAGTCAAGTCCCCAAACTCAACCCTGGAGGAGACAGAGTGAGATGCCGAAGCCTGACCATCCCTCCCTCTCGGGAAAAAGAAAGGCTGAGACAGAGGGGCCATCACACCCGACTCTTGCATGAGATTTTGCCGAGGGCCAGCAGGACTTGCTGGCAGGAGACTCGTTTAGACAAAGATAGAGTCCAACCAAAAAATTACCATCATTGCATAATTGAAGAGCCACTGCAAAGAGCCTACAAAGTAAAAGAGAAGTGTGTGCATTCACCAGACAAGCCACCCCCTTTCTGCTTTTGCTCCAGTGCTGCCTCCCGCTGAGACCCTCTCTGAGCACTCTAAAATAGCGCTCTAAACCGCAGCCCCCTCCTTCCTTCTGTACGTCAGCTGCCCCTTACCCTGCTCCTTTTTTTTGCCTTATGCCATTCGATGTCATTTTCTTAGTGCAATAATGACTCATTCTCTGTCCCTATCACTAGAATGAAAGCCCTCCAGGAGCAGGAGCCTTGTCTGGCCTATTCACTTGTGCACCCCAAGTGAACTAAACAGTGACTCACACACAGTATACCCTCAGTACATGTGTGTTCAATGAACGAAAGGCAACCTCTTCATCTCCCAGCCGCAAACCATTTCAGAATCATGTTGAGTCGTGAGTTTAAAGTGGGTTGATTAGGGAGACCTAGGGCCAGGGGTGAGACAACATCAGGAAGCACTCCCTAGGTACACAAAAAAATTAGAAAATGAACTTTTTTAGCAAATGTTTATTTATATCAAAATACAAAACATTTCTGAAGCAGAGTAATGTTACATGAGGAGCAATTAAATACTAAACGTCTTTTCATCAGTTTAACTTGCAACACTCCCGGGGTACCTGCACTGGCTGCACATCTCATCATTTGATGTGTGCCTTCTTTTTTCTCATTTGCTTATGCACGTGTTTGCTCATTTTGATTTGTAATTCAGGATATGAACATGCAGTGTTACTGGGGATGAGTTGGTTAGTACTTAGCAAGCCTGGAAATACCAGCGAGTGGAGCCTGGCGTGGTAGCCTGAGCTGAGGCAGGCTGCAGGTTCTCTTCCTGACTGAGTCTGGGGTGTCACTCCATTTTTGACTGCCAAGTCAAAGGACAAAGGGATCACCATCATCAGCAGCCAGGGCAGGCGTCTATTGCTTAGGGCCGTAGAGCAGGCGTGGCTTTGGGGTCATCTCCAGCGGGGTCTTCTCAGTGTTTGGGAAGAAGGGGCAGGGCAGTCTATAGGCCCAGGCCCAGCAGCAGGATGCCCAGGGTCCCTGCAGGAAGAACCCTCTTCCCCAGGAAAGCAAGGAAGGGTTCGGGAGGAGACAGTTCCTCCTACTCTTGGAAGTCTGTGATTTGGTGGCTGGGGGTGCCTGCCCATTGGAAGGGCCCCTTATAAATGCTTTGAGTTTGGAGATTTTGAGGGAAAAAAAGCACCTGATTGAGAGTGTAGCTGTTTCCAATACACCTCCCTTCCCTGACGGAGAAGGGAAGGAGGCAGAAAACAGGGGAGAGAGCATCCCCCCTTCATTCCCACACCGCCCCACTCCCAGAGCCAACCTGGGCCTCCCTTCAAGCTCGTACTTAGTACATTCACCATGACACTGTGCACCTGTGAGCTCTCTCCCGCTCTCACTCTCTTGCGTGCACACACGCACACGCACACACACGCACAGGTATGCACACATATATATGCAGGTGCGCGCACACACACACATCTGGTTTCCTTGCAGTCTGCTCAGGCAGCAGAAGGGTGTCCCATCCTCACCGTCATCTTTTACTTCCCAGGGTGCCCTTGGCCCACAGGTCCCCAAGACCCAGCCCCAGGCTTGGCACGCGCTGGCATTCCCAGGCTTTTGAGAAGAGGGTGATAGAGCAGGGAGCTCCTCACAGACAGGTTATACAGAGTGTAGAATATGTTCATATAAGGCTTTGGTACAGCACCGATTTCATGTTCTTATAGTTTGATTTCTAAGTCATCTTTTAGAAGAAAAAAAAGCTTACTGAAAAAATAGTGGTTTTATTTACTTTTGAGTTACATACCTGAAGTTCAAAAAGTAAGCCTCTAGTTGCCATTCAAGTTCACACTCAAAGGTGTTCTGTGTGCAGCTGTACAATTTGTTGGTTTGTCTTTAATGTTGAACAAAAGTCAGCCAACCCATACCATAAAGTCAGCTGCCCAAACTCACTTTAACCAGTCCATACATACATACAGAAAAGAAAGAGAGAGAGAGGGAGAACACAAAAGCCGCCCCTAAGTCACCCACCCCAAACCCCTAGGGAAAAATCAGAAAGAAGACAAAATACAGCAAGATATCAGGAGCCAGTGGGAGGAAGGAGATTCAGCCCAACTGGCCTCTTCGAGAACAGCACCATGAAGCACCCTAGCGCAGTGATGTTGTAATACTCAACATTCAAGAAATGGAAACGAGGTTGGAACGGTCTTCACAGGAAGACCTGGCATGGATCGGGGGTCGCCCCCAAAGAAAGTGGAAGAAAGAAAGAGTTCGAAATGAGAGCAAGAAATCTCATGACGAAACTGACAGTCATATCCAGAAAAGAAGAACTACAGCAAGAGGCTGCCGCGCACCGAGAGGTACAGAGTTTGTAAGGGGTCTGGGGGAGGTAGCCCCTCCCCACCCACACTGCCTGCTCACCCCCACCCTCTGTGTGTCCTCAGACCACCAGGTGAAATGGAGGAAAGAAGCTCATCTAAAACTTGCCCCCAGGTGTGCGATGGGAGAATTCTATCCTGCATGATCAAAGTCCCTCCTGGGGAAGAGAAAAACACTGAAGACCAAGGGGCAGGAGTCACTGACATGAAGCGGGATGTGGTCCCTTCACGTCAGTGACTGCGCCCCCTTCTGGGCCCTCTATCCCCAGCCCCACACCTGGCAGTTAGGAAATTAAATCTGAATGGGAGGTCAAGACCTTCTGACACTGATACAGACGACTTAGCAAGTGGAGCGTTAAACTGCTCTTCTCCCCTAGCCAACAATTCCCCTTTCTAACACCTCAGTCTAAAGTTCCAGAATCAAGACCATCCCATCAAGTACCTTCCTCCCAGTCCCTGGACTCTGAGACTCCACCCTCCAATGCCACAGGCAACCCCCTGTGGACAGGAAGTGTGTGTGCAGGCTTGCCTCTTCCCCCACCTCCTACTTTCAGACCGCCCAAAGTGGATCACCATGAACATCTACCGCCAAGAAGAGTGGAAGCGGGAAGCAGGCAGCAAAAATCCACGACAGAGCCTTTTCCCCAAGCTGCTGGTTGGTGACAGTGGGGAAGAGGGACAGGGCCCACACTGATCCATGGGAGAGTGATTCTCACACATCTCCCTATTCCCGACTCTTGCTCTATATAGTAGACAGAGGTAGCAAGACAGAAACAACTCCTCAGATACCTCCACCTTCTACCAAAGGGAAAAGCACCAAAATTCAATGTCCATTCTGCTGTGGGGACCAAGGAACGTGTCCCAAGCATGGGGAAGAGCTCAGGCTCCTGGCAGTGGCTGTGGGCCGTAAAAGCTCCATCAGAGCACACTCATCCACCTGTCGCCCCAACTGATGCCACAAGCGGTTCCCAGGCCTCCTCCTTACTCCACATAAAGCTGATCTCAATGACCTTTGCTCCAAGTGCCTTAAGGGCTGGCTCTTCAGAGAAGCTGGAGGTCCCCTCTGACACCCAACCTTACCTCATCTTGCTGAGCAGTGGAGCAGAAAGGTCACAGGTAGGCACTAACATCCCCTCCACACTGTACAATTTCAAGGTAGGGGCTATGGCCCCATCTTCCCTTTCCCTCCCCAAAATGAAGAGTCCTGTTGGAGGCTGAGGAATAGAATGGTGACATGTGGGCCAGTGGCTCTCCCAGACCTTGATGCTGCTGAGGACCTAATCTTGGGCTGGCCCTGGTGGGAGGGCAAGCCCTAGGACATGCCCGAGGTGTTGGAGCAGTTTACTCTGCTGGTTGCATGTGGCCAGAAGTCGGGCAGAGTCCACAGAAAGAGAGGGGATGGTGGGTCTAGAAGCCAACAGAACAGTAATGGGAGCCTCCCTTGTGCAGAGACCGTGGTGGTCTGGGAAGGCTTCAAGGTAGGAAGGGAACAGAATTTGCACCTCTTCTTCTTGCCCAATCCCCCTGAAAAATCTTACAAGAAACACTCAGCTGCAGGAGCCTGCAAGAAAGATCATTCAAGGCAAGGATGGTGCCACTGACAGTGGCACCAGCACTGGATCCTTCCAGCTGCATGGACAGAGCCCATTTCCCATCAGCGTCCTCGGAAAGTGGGGAGTGTTCTCAGCAGTTAATTTGAGGACCCAAGGACAGTGCCTGACTGAATGGCAGGGCCTCATAGGTCCATGTAAGGATCAAGAGTTAGACTCAAGCTTTACCCCAACCTACTCTTCCCATAATACCCCAAAACTGTCAACCAAGCCCTTCTCACGCTGAAGGTATCTGCTTTCCTCTAAGGACCAAACTCTATAGACAAGAGCTCTTAGGGAGTGCCATGTCTTGGTTAGGAAAGGGGTTAGTACTGCCCTTTTCTGAGTGATGAGCAGGAATAAGGAGCCGAAAGGTTGCAGTCCTGAGTCTCTCCTCACTGCCTGCACCATCTGGCCCAGCACCAGCTTCAAATACATCACTCCGAGCTCCGGGCAAGTCAGGAAGGAGCTAGCACCAGGAGACGCTTGCTGAGGCTGCAAGGCAGAGCCCTTGCATATGTGTGAGGTCTGGAATTTGCTCAGAGAGGTATTCTTCAGGGCACACTGCTTCCTGCTCAGATACAAGTGAACTCCTGCTCCCCAGAATCTCCCATTGTGGGTCCAGTTCTGCCAATACATTGTTCAGTTTTGTAAGTCCCCGGCTGGAGGCCAGAAGGAAGGTTCCACTAAGACCCCCTCTCCCAGGCCGGCCCACAGTTCATCTCTCCCTCCTCATCCTCCACTCAGTGTCCCAGGATTGGAGCATCCTATTTGCAATGGCACTTTATTTCCAATTAAAAATAACTGAAAAAAACATAGATGACATATTTATACTACATACCACATTCACACTGGCTCTAAGAATCTGCAGCAACACTAAACAGGCCATGTGTTCTCCAAGACCAAGCCCAGGCAGCCAGCCTCACAAACTCTCCCATTGCCATGCCCTCTATGAGCGGTCTGAGCTGTCTGAGCTACAGTGCTACAAACCAAGACAGGTGTCACCGTAGGTCCCTAGGTAGTCTCAACCACCCCCTTTCTAATGCTGTGAAGCCAGGTTTTCTCTGAGGAACTGGTTACCTTTCCACAGCCACGTGGGGATGGAGTCACAGTTTTCATCTCCTCAGCCTTGCCCTGTTAAGCCCCTCTGCAAAGAAGTTCAAGTCAACATCCCTCCCAAGTGGCAAGAGACACATTGGTCCTGGTTCTTTAGGGCTATCAGATCCTGCAGCTCCACACAACCTTCAGCTCACTTGTCCTTCCTGCAGGTGGGTTATTTGTTTTGTTATTTTACAAACTTTTCATATATACACATTTCCATCAGAAAGACCCAAGCAACTCTGAACAGAGAGAATACCAAAGGAAGAGCAGGGAAGGAGGTGGCGTCAAGGCATGAGCTAGTATCCCAGACTGCCTGGGAAGGTAGCACTGCTCAAAACATCTCTAAGCACAGGTACAAAAATAAAGCAAACTATGACTTCATATAGATATAGAGATATATAGACTTTATCTAGGTGTTCTTTATATTTATATATGTGTGCAGAGGGCACGGGCCCCTGCCCATCTTGCCCGGCACTCATCTCTTGCCCTCCCGCTCCCCACACCCGAGTGCCACTCGCCCGAAGCTCCCAGTCTCCACGATTGCATCTGATCCTTGCCTCCCACATACATTCCCCTCTCTCCTTAAAATAGAACCAATTCTGTAGATTTATATAATTTTATGTACAGTCTCCATAAAAAATACATTAAAGATGGTGCATTACTAATTTGACCCTCCTACCCAAACAGAAGTTGTCTAGCAAAAGAGCCAAACAAAGGAGGGTCTCCTGGGCCTGACACTACGCAGGCAAATCAGCATGTCTGTACAAATCTCTCTCACACACACCACACACAACAGACACACCACACCACACACACAAACACACACACACCACACACGCACCACACACGCACCACACACGCACCACACACACACACAACACACACACAACACACCACACACAACACACACCAAACCACACAACACACACACACATCACACACATGCACACCGCATCACACACATGCACACCAGACACATCACACACACACACACACCAGACATACACACACCATACCACACACCACACCCACACACAATACACACATACCACACACAATAACACACCACATACAATACACAAAACACATAGCACACACACACACCACACACAGTCCATGTACCACACCAAACACACCAGACACACCACACACACCAAACACACACACACCAAACACACCAGACACACCACAAGCATACACCACACGCAACATACACACACCAAACCACACTCAACACACCACACACACTGCATCACACACACACACACCAGACACATCACACATACACGCACACCACAGATACACACACACCATACCACACACACCCCACACACATACACAACCACACAATAGACACACCACACACAACACACCACACAATACGCACAACACATACCACACACAATACACACACCACACCACACACACCACCCAGACACACCACACACAGATACACACACCACACACAACACACACACACACCAGACATGCACACCACACACAGACATGCACACCACACACATATACCACACACACCACATACACACACACACCCCACACACACACACACACACCCCACTTACTTCCTGAATCCAGAAAAGAAACACTGGACTAGACAGCTGGCTGGGGGTTAGAGACCAGGGGGACAACCTGGTGCCTGCAGAAGGACACATGAGACAATCCCTTCTCCAGCCCTGCCAGGACACCGTCGGCCATGGCACACCTCTCGTTGTTCATGGGAGGCCATATAAAACCTCATTGATAGAGTGGCTGACAACTACCCTTTCAAGAACTGCAAGATGACCGTGAGGAGGCTCATCCCTCCACCAGAAATACAGCTTCATAGACCACTATGCCAAAAGGAGGCCAAAGCCCTGGGTTCTACCACCAGCGTGAGGAGGGCTGGGCACTCGCCCCTCCCATGGCTTATATGAAAACCCCACACGTGCATGCCCGCAGCATTTCTAAGGCCGAAAATGCAAGTCACCTCCCCAGCCCAACCCCCTGCCCTCCGAGATTCCCTGCCCCTCCCACCACCTCCCCATCGTAAACCACGCACATGTTCACGATCCCTGGAGCCATACAGAAGTGGGGAAAGGAAAAGGGAAGGGAAGCTAACTGGTGTGTATACGGGGTGGCGAGGGAGAACCTGCCCTAGTTCGCAAAATAAATCCAGGAAATCCAGTGCCACAGAGAGGTAGGATTGGTGGAGCACACTTCTTCAAGACCCGAAAGAAAGGCAGGCCCAGGCAGCCATTCACGTCCCCATCTAGTGTGATGGGAATGGTGACAACCAAGGACCAGTGACAGGAGCTGAGCATTTGAGCCACGGGGTTAAAACTGTCCAATCTAGCTCTCCCAGCCAGGGCTCCAAAGCCGGTAGCTTTTCACCAGCTCTCGTCCGAAACCCTAACTACTACTACTGTCTTCTACACCGCAGAAGACAACACCCATGTGATTTTAATGACTGGCCACTGTTCCACCAGAGTATATGGCAACCAAGATACCCAGACTCTTCCTTCTCTAAGATGTGAGCAGCCATTAATGACCCCTGTATGGATGCTTCATTTATCCTTATCCTACATGGGATCCCTCAGGGGATGGTGGTGTCTTTGGACCAAATTCAATCTACTGAGTGTTTTTCTAACAGCTTAAAATGAGGTTGAAAAAAACTTCCACCTTCTCGGCAACCCAACACACAGAACATCTGGTGGGGTTATTATACTTGCTCCTGAAAGAAGGTTTTGAGAGTACAGACAGGAACCCAGAAATAAGGCTCTGAACCAGTGTGGATTCACTCGCAGTCAGAGGGAAGGGTGGTGATTGGTACCCCTAGCCAAACAGCAAGCTGGTAAGAGTGCGAAAGTCCAATCTGGGCTTTGATCCTTGGTTTACTGACTTCTTCTAAAGAAGAGATTTTTCATTCTGCCTCTTAATCTAAAAAGAAGCAGAGCTGGAGACATTAAAGAGAGAAGAATGGCTGGTCAAGCCAAGAGTTTCAGGTGAAACTCTTTTGCCCTCCCACCTCCACCACAGACTAGTGACTTTAGCCTATCAAAAGAAGAGAAAGTAAAGAGAAGGCCTCACGAAGCCACTGTGCAACTTCATGGCCGGAAGGAAGCCTCTCTACCTCAAGAGGAAAGGGGGATGAAGGCACGTCAGGCTCCAGCTCCCCCTCTCTATCACCATCACCATCACCAAGGCCCATGAACATTTTCAGATTGTGGACGGAGAGGCAACCCACCGCTGCAGCTTAGGAAAATGAGAATGGCACTTCCTTCTCCACTGATGAAGAGCTGGTGATAGGATGGGCATCTCAAGACAAGTTTCTCAGCTTTGGGCCTGAGGAGCCCCCAAAACAAATGAAGTTGAAATACAATATAAAGAAGATGTCCATGTTTGGTTTGGGCACTTAGTGTTAGAGGCTAATTCTAGAAGAAGCAAGGAAGATCTAGCTAAGAAGCAAGACCTCTCCCAAGATCCAGTCTGCGTTCACATGCAGGACCCCACCCCACAATCCGTCCCTGATGCCCAGATCCCCCTCCCACATGCCCTGCATGGCTACCACTCCCCAGCCAGATGCCCACCAGGCAATCATTCTTCGTCATCTTGGGATGATCCCCCAGTGTGTACCCTGCACCCTTACAAGTAACTAAGTTATCACATGACTCAAAGAGATGCTGAGGCTTGGTGTCCCCTGGGGTGGTCTCACCATCCTAACCCATGCCTGACCTCACCCTCTGTGCCCCTTCCAGCCTCACCAACACCTGGCAAAGCACACAGGCCTCCCCTCCACCCTCCAGTTCTCCAACTCCCCCTCCTGAAACACCAGTGCCCCATCCATTACCCTAGTCAATCTAGAGCTGGCCAATAAGGCACCTCTTTGGCCCTCTCCCTAAAGCAACACACACAGCCACATGGGGCTCTACACACTGCCTACTAGATCCACTTTATATGAAGAAGATACCCAGGCAGGGCTGGGTTAGAAGCCCCGGTGGGAATGTGCACAGCTCCTAGAGTACCACAGAGGCTGGACTCAACAGAGCCTTCCATGACCCGCTCAGCTCCACCCTCTGCCCCTTCCTGCAGCTCCCCAGCCATCCCTGCAGTGCCCCCAAAGCTCCTTTACATGCAAGCAAAGCAAGCCCAAGATTAACCATTAGCTTTTCTTTTCCTAGGTTTCTCTACAGATTAATAAAATGTACTTTATGTACAATTCTTCCCCCACCCCACCCCCAAGCCTGGAAAAGGCTTTTGCTAACAAAATAGGAAGAAACAGATTCCAGCCACGCAGTCTTCAGCCCTGGAGATTCAGATCGTGGGCAGTGCCAAAGATGCTGGAGGCTCCGTGAAATCTGTTTCTCCCTAGAAGCTACTGTTTCGTCAACCTTGTCCCCCACCCCAAATAAAATCAGAAAATTTCACATTTGAACCTTACCCCAGTTTCCTCAGCACAAAAAGGGCAGAGGAATAAATTAAATCAGTTCAACCCCAAATATTTTAGATCACAAATCAAAAATAAAGACAGAGAGCATGGAAAAATAACAAGAAATACTCGGCTCAATCCACCCGGCTTCAGTCTTCCCCCAAGCGCATGGTTGTGGGACTAAGCACCTCAAAGGAGGGCACAGACCCCGCCAGCCTGCTGGGAAAAAGGCGTCCTTCCTGCTAAGAAAGTAGGATCTCAAAAGGCCTGTCCTACCCCCAGTCTCTCCAGGGAAGCTGCTTAGAGGCAGACTGGCAGCAGGCAGGGCCACTCCCAGATGCTGGGCCCAGAGCCACCCCAACAATCCAGCACAGGACCCCGCTCAGCACCAGGGAGCCCACGGCAGCCCACCAGCAAATCAAGACAGGCTTCGCCTCTCTGCCTCGTCGTACATCTTCTCTCCCCACGCAAATGCAGTTGTCCAGGCCCCGCTAAGAACCGTTTTCCCCTCTTCCTGGTCTGTGGGTCACCTGACACTACAACAGCCACAGTTCTCAGCCATGATGCTGAAGAGGCAGACAGACATCTGAGACACAGAAGCAGGTTTACATCTGAGTCGTGTCTACTGCAAGGCCGCCAGACCGTAAAAGGGGAAGTTTGGAAGGCGTGATCTCCTACAGAGTGAGTGCCGAAGTCCTAAGAAGCTGATCAGTAGTCACTGCCATTGTTCAAAGGCAGACTATGAAGGACACTGGTCCCTAGAGGTGGTTACACCCCCATCACCCACATGCTCACAACCACGCTGTCACACATGCCCACACCCAGCACCTAAACTTGTGCCTGTGACATCTTCACCCTCTATCCACGGAGGGAACTGCGTTCCACCAATCCCATCGCCGTCCACGGGCTGCAGGAGGGCTGCTGGCCTCCGAGGACACTGTCACAGGAGGAAGCCCTCAGGGGAGCTGAATGAGTGGCAGGCCACTGAGAGATGGGCAGACCTGACGTCCTTGCCCTAGCCAGGGAAGCCACAGCACAGCAGCCACTCGGTGACCAGCGAAAAGCACGGCTCCCCGCGTTGGGTCTACGTGCTGAGGTCATGGGCACTGCCAGAGGAAGCGGAGGAGGAGTCAGCACCTGGGTTAGCACGGGGGTGCCCTGGAAGGCACAGCCATGGCCTGAGCATCTCAGCCTCTCATGACATCCGAAAGAAGCAAAGCCTTCTACCTCATCATCTCCTCTTCTTTTCTAACCTGAGGGCTGGAATTCCCAGGAGGGTGCTCAGAAAAGTAGGCCAAATTCATCCTGAAGGCTGACAGCCTGATGCCCACATCCCAGTGCATCCCAGGGCCTGGCTGAGCCCCGTGAGCTCCTCTGGGGTAGAAATCTCACACTGCCAGTGCATAAAGGCTGCACGTCAGCTTGCGGTAAGCCCCCACCTCCCACCCCAACACCTCAGGTAAGCCGGCTCCCGTCATCCCCCAGGAGAGACGCCCAAGTGAGCAGCACATCACGACGCGGGGGCAGAGGGTGTGCTACCTGGAAAAAAGAACACAAAGAGTTGTGTGCTCTTCCATCTCGCAGAGCTGGTGCCCAGTGGTCAAGTGGATTCCAACGCCCCAGAGAAGCACATCAACTGGAAGGCCCAGGTTCCACCCCAAGGGTGCACGGCCCAGTCTCAGAAGCCCCTGCGTGCCTCTCTCACCATGACCCCTTCAGATGTGTTCAGAAAGGAACTGCGGTGGTGTTACTTGCACGGTAAACCTCAAGGGTGGAGCTGGTCCTCAGCTCCCTGGGTGAAAGGAAGGACCAGGGCCGGTGTGGCACAGAAGAAGTCCATCCCCTAAGATGGAAACGCCAAGAAGAGACAGCAGCCATCCAAGGCCTCATCCTGCGAGGTCACTGGGCCAAGCCCATGGCAGCTGCATGAGACCAGCAGAAGCCATCCAATGCTGCCGTGGCTCACGTCCAAGCAGGGAACTCGGGAGAGGTGGGTGCCCCCAAACCCACCAAGACAGCAGCACCAAGAAGGAAATACTTCAAGGAACCTTCATTCTAAGCCAAGCCAGAAGGGGGGCTCCTACACAAGAGTGGGGGAGGGGCAGATCTCCCCTCCACCCCGCCCTCGGGGCCTTCTGCCCTGCCCTTGGGCAGCACCATATCTTACCGGCAGAGAGACATCTTAGTGGGAAGATGATCTCAGGAAGCTTCTGGATGCTACGAGTTTGAACCAGGACCAGACTTTGGCAGAGGAAGAGTCAGTGCCCAGACCCTACTCACCACCCCTCCCGCCTTCATTCCTACGCCTCAGCCACAGAATAGAACTGGGCAAAGAGGGCAGGATCCAGAGCGTCCCAGGCCCCAGCAGCCAGAGGCGCCCTAGCTTCACCTGAGCTCATCCCCCTGCAGCTCAGGTCCACCGGAGGACGAAGGCCCCGGGGCAGAGAAGAGTCGGCAGGCAGCACGTGGTGAGTGCGGGAAAGCCACAGGCGGCTCCGCACAAGTGGTAATTAATCAATCTGGAGAATTAGCTCCCACAAAAGCAAAGGAGGATCCAATCAGCCGCTGTGGAACAGCACTGCACAGAGTGCTGAGCCGGGGACGGTATAAATAGAGCCGGCAGCTTGGCGCTAGCACAGGTGGCTCCGCAGTGGGGAGACTTTGGCCACAGAGCTCACGGCCTGGCTGGGCGGAAGGGCGCCGACGGATGCGCTGGACATGTGCACCAGAGGCTTGCTTTAGCCCCGCGGCTGAGTTAGCCTCTACTCCTGCAGCGTGAGCCACGCTGGAAGGAAGAAAGATGCAGGTCTAGGAGCCTGGCCACCCCTTCTTCACCCAGGAACCAAGAAACAAAGGCTTGAATTTAGTTCTGCAGTAACTCATTACTGAACCCCCATAGAAGGCAGCCGGTAATCACAGCAAGGCCCCATTTCTGCTCTGGGTGGGAGAAGGTAGGAGACACACGGAGAATTCAGCTGAGAGACACGGATCTTGTTTTGGGAGAAAGAATCCCCCAAGACAGATGTCAGGCACCTGGCCAACGTGCAGCCAGCCCTGCTCGCAAACCCCAGCTGGCCACTGCCCTCCTCCTCCTGCCTCCACTGACCACAGAGAGCAACAGCACTTTGCCTCAATGTACATATATATATATATATATACACACATAGAGAAACCCACACACTACAGACATATGCATCTGTATCTATATCTATATATATGTGGGGTGTGGAAGATGGACATTAAGTCCAGCCTTCTTCCAGGACTTGAAAAACTGAAACAGAAGCAGAGAGCAGTAAAAGCCATTGCTTTCCTCTTCACTTCCAAAGACATTGGAAGAGATGAGAAAAATCAACCTAGTGAAGCAGGGGGCGGAGGGGAGGAGACAGGTGTTGCCCAGTCTCCAATCCACTTCCTGACCTCGACCCACAGGTGGAAGGTGTGCCCACCCTCCGTCCTGAAGACAGGCGGCCAGGATCTGGAGGGAGACACCCGCTCTGGCAAAAGAGGGGGCATGCAGGACAAAGGTCTGGGCCGCCCTTGGCAGACGGAGGAGGACACACCCCCACACAGTGGCCCTCCCTGCCTGAGCCCAGCAACCTCGCCCCGGGGACACCTAGAGTGGGGTGGAGTCACAGCAAAGTGGCATGTCCTGGGTCATCGTGGTCCACACTGTTGAGAATCGCTGTCTGGTCTTCCGGAAGCTGGCGGTGGCACAAGTCTGAGAGCCGGGCAAAGGGGTCAGGACGAGAATGTCTCTTCTTCTTTCGGAGGCAGACAGCTTCATCGGGCCACAGAACCTGAGAGTTGGGAAGCTGCTGAGTCTGGGAGGCAGAATCGTCTAGGAAGAAAGGAAGAGGGACGCAAAAGAGAAGCAAGCGGATGAAAAGGAAGCACGCAGCCTGCTCACCTTTTCCACCTGCATTTGTTCCGGGTTTCTAATGTTGAAACAAAGGAATCACCTGAGTCTAGAGAGACCAGACCGAATTGCTGCAGAGAAACCACCTTCTTTTCCGCCAAGACAACCAGCAACCTGACCCTGCTCCTTTCACTTGAATAAGAGTTAAGAAAGTGGAATGGAGAGGATTTTCCTTCTCATTCATTTCTTTCTCGATCAGTCTACAAATATTTCTTTTAGTGCCTCTTGAGTACTAGGCATCATTCTAGGGACTGGGGATCAGGAAGGAACAGGCTGGGACTCAGGACATCTTTCTCATCTGCCCCAAGCAATGACCGACTTTATACAAGATTTTAATCGCATGCAACGGTCAGGCCTTGACCCTTCCTGGACTGCCTGGGCCTCTCCTCTGCCTCATGGCCCTTCTGGAGATTAATCAGGAATGCCTTTGCTAGCTTCAAAGACTATGCATCCATGTGAGGGTGCAGAGGAAGAGACAAACTGTCAAGACTTTAAAAACACAGAAATAAAATTTGCAGTTACTGAAAATACTACAAAGATAAAATAGGGTCAACTGAGGCACTACTCCGCTCCTTAAAGGGTTAACACTTGAATTGCATCTTAAATTATGAGCCTTCCACAGATCTGAAGAAAAATTATTCCCAACAGAAGAAATGGCATGTGTGCAAGCCCCAAGTTAAGGGTAAATGTGGTGTGTCCCCGATACAGAAGGGAGGTCATCTCAGTTGGAAAAGAGTGAGGCAAGAAAGACAGGCAGGGCATCTAGGAGCTTGAAATCTGTTCTGGTTACGATGGGAATCTGGTTACGATGGGGAGGTTTTAATCAGAAGTGTGTGTGTGTTTGTGTATGTGCACACACGCCTGCACGTGTGTGTTCGTAACTGAAAGAGAGGATGCCGCTACGTGTCCTGCAGTTCGCCGTGGTGGCTGTGTGTGGAGTCCACGGTGCAAGGTACAAGGATAGGGCTGGAACACCAGCCACGAGGTACTGCAATAGTCAAGGTGGGACAGACAGTGACTCAGAACACAGAGTTAGCAATAGAGACAACAGAAAGTGGCCAGATTCAGGATATGTTGCAAAGGCTGAGCTAACAGGCATTACCTAGCGGGCTCGACGTAAGATGTGAAGGCAAGGGAAGAATCTGGGAATTAAGGGGCCTGACACCCCAGTGGGTACCAGTGCTAGTGATTAAACCGAGGAAGAGCTGAGGAGAAGCAGACCTGGAGAGGCTGATCAATAACTCTGCTTTAGACATCGTAAAGGCGTATGAAACACCCAAGTGCACGTTCAGCTGGCAACTGGAAATATCAGCCATGACCTCAGGGAAGGGACCTGGGCTAAAGACAGACATTTGGAAGATGCCACCACAGAACTGGTAACAGGACCACTGCCATCAGAACAAGAGACAATGCAGGTCTCTGATGTGACTTTTTTTTGCAATAAAGAAATATATGTTATACATATATAAAAACTATATATTGATGGGTCTTAAATGGGTTAACAATGGGCTTAATTGGCTGAAAATGCAGCTTTGAGCTCCAGTTTCTAACCCAAGCCCTAAAAACATCATTTTCTTTTTCTCTGCCTCAGTATTTCCATCTGTAAACTGAAAGTATACTAGTACCAGCCAAAGGCTAAGTGATCATAAGTGATCACCGTCTCCCAGAGATTCATGGGGCTTTGAATTTCTATATAACACTCTCCCATAATCCTGTCTATAAAGAGAGTTACTCTACAACAGTTATCAAAGCTCTGCAAAGCAACTGTTCAGCATTCTTCCTTGACAGACTGCCACAACACTCCTAAAACCATTCATGAAAAGAGGGTTTTTAACAAATATTAAAGAATTTTCTAGTCCTTAAGAGGGCTAAATTCGTTTTGCACTCAGAAGCTACCTATCCCTGCTAGATACACATCGGACATACTTCGATAGAGGCATCCTCTCTGTGGGGTAAGGAGGCTTCACTCCATCTCACTGAGAAGGGTGTAGCCAACCTGCAGAGGCTGGGCCCAGGCTGCAGTGTACCCTGAGGTCCACATGGGGTCCTGTCATGCCTTTGTTCACTAGAAGGCCTGAAATGATAGAGGGGAAGTAAGGAAGGAGATAGAGTTATGTGCAAGGTGAAATGCAGAGTGGAAAAATAGATCTGTACTATTTGTGTTGTTTGAAAACACACTAAAATAATAGGATACATTTTCTGAAGCTGTAGGCACAGAAAAGTTTCCAAAGGCACACATGCTGAAAACGACAGTTCTCCAGGTGAGTGGAAACAAATTGGAAGGGCAATCAGATAGATTTCCCTTATCTTTCTCGTTTTGTATATGAAAATTATGTTTGTGTATTGCTTGAAAAATAGTGTTAAAAAAAAGAAACAAAGGACAAGAGAAGCTTGTGGATTCAATTCTAGAGAAAGCCCAAGGTTGGGGCCCTGAGCCCAATAACCCTCCTGACAACGGCAGCCCAATAACCCTCCTGACAACGGCAAGGCAAGGTGGGAGGAGCGGGGCGGGCCACTGCCCATCATTTACCGGATCGTTTCTTTGACTTCGAAGAGCCCTTGGATGACTTTTTGGGCTTCTTTATCCGTTGGTATTTCAGAGCCTCCAGCCTCTCAGGCGCAGCAGCGTTCCCGGGTGCAGGTGGAAGTGTTCTGGAAAGGACAACCAGAGAGCCACAATTCAGCTCCCGGATGTGTGAGGCTTTGGAAGAGGGGCTGGAAGAAAGCCAAGTAGCTGACCCACAGAAGGACAGAGTTCAGTCCTACAGAGCCCAAGGTGCCCACGATGGCTCCATGACACCCGCCTTTCTATTGCTCCTGGAAAGAAGAAAACCCAGTAGAAAGCTCCAGGAGCATGGCCCACCTCGGATGGAAACCAACCTGCAGAGCAATCAGAAGACCCTAGCAAAGGCAGACAGAGAGATTTTAATAGTAAGCACCTTCCCATGTAACGCAAGCTGGGATGCATTTAGTGTCAGAGACAGAAGTAGGCTGAACGTCTGGAGTTCCTAGAAATCACCACAATCAAGACCTTTGAATGGAAAGTAAAAGGGCATATTAGAGCAGGGGGCAAGCAGCTCCCATCCCAGTGAATCATCCTCCATCTCCAGAAAAGGGGGTGCTAAGTGAGAAACCCGACCCCCAGTAAGACAGGCTGCACAAAACCCAGCCTTGCCAGCTTCTTCTGCAGCTGCAAGATTCCCGCAGAACAGCAGCAGCTAACAACAACAAATACTTGTCATATACCAACATTTTCAGGGCAGTGTCTCCTCGACCCTGCAGACGAGGCTCAGCTCTCCTCGGCCATGTAAGAGAACAGGAGAAAGTGGCAGGAGATAACAGCAGAACAACCAAATCTGGTAGCCTCCCAGAGCCCTTGCTGTCTGTAACAAGAACGTGGTGAACCTCTGTATTTTAGGATTCGACAGAGAAACGAGGCTATTGGAACAGACCATGTGTACTGGCCTCTCTTCCTGCATCCTGATTGTCACTTGCCTGGTGGATCAACTGCCCGGTTAGGACAGGGTCCACAGTCTGGCCACACCCGTGAGGCAGCCCAGGTACACAAGGGAGCCAAGAGAGCTGAGAGGAGGGGCAGTCTGTGACACTCGGTGCATATTGGAGAGAATCTTTCAAGAGTCATAAAAGAGGAAAACCTAGAAGACATGTTCTCAATGCCATTTCTTCTCAAAGTAACCCAACTCGGAGCCTGAGGAATGAAGGGGAAAGAGAAAAAGACAGGTCACTCTGTCTTCCCACCAGCGCTGGCATTAGCACGTGATCAGAGAAGCAGGGACGCTCTGGGGCCACGGCGGACAGGCGTGCCTCGCTCTTCTTCTCCTGGACCCCCCAACTCCCTCCCCTATCTCCATTGCAAACAGTTTTTGGAAAGTCCTGATTAAAAGAGGTAGGACAGACAATGCTGTGAGGGCAAAAGAAGACCCCAAAGGTCAGCAAGCGGTCTGAGGTTAAAAAAAAAAATGTTAAGAGGGATAGGAAGCCTGCAGTCTCTTCTCCCCAGCATCAAATATGTTGGCAGCAAGGCGGGAAGAGGAGACTTACACACTAATTGCAGATAAGCCTCTGGTCTCTGGGGTTTCCTGCATGCACTGGCAATGCAGTGACCTCCATCTTCCTGGGGGATGTCATCATTCTCTAGTCCTTTAGTCCATAAAGTTTCAAAAGGCTCCCTCAAAGTTCAGGTCACGGTCAACCTCTTGACTTTCCATAGCCCTGACAGCAGAGCTAAGAAGGCTACACAGGGTCCCTCAGGTGCACACACAGGCACACACAGCCCTCTTGTGAAGAAGTGGCCAAACATGCCAGTCTACCCAGAGAGATCCTACAGCGCAGCAGCAGCTGGGAAGGAAGCGGGAAGGCAGACAAAGGGTGCAGGTGCCCGGGCGGGAGGCAGCACACCTTCCCAGTGTGGATAGCACATCCTCACCCCTTCTCATCCTCAACTGAGGCTTCTTCATGCTGCCTAGAAGGAAAGTTAATGTGAATCCACCTGTTCAGTCGATCTCTGTCTCCTGGCCGGCCTCTTCAGGAGGACCACACAGGGTGAGCGACGTGTGGTCAGGGAGGCGCATGACCGGCAAGAAGAGTGCTCTCCAATGTCATCCAGGGCGACCGCTGGGGCACGAGAGAAACCGGTACAGGGTGCCCTGAAAACTGTTAGGGATTCTTCAAGCCAGGTGAAACTTCCAGGGGTGATATGATGGTTAGAATCAACATCTTATCACTGTTGTCATTTTTATCATCTAGCATTGATTTACCACTTACCACAGCAGGCACTGCTGTACAATAATTGCCTGTAATCTCTACAGCAAACCTAAGAGGTAGATACTACAATGCCCCCATTTTTCAGATGGAGACACTGAAGTTTAGAGAGGTGAGCAACCTGTCGAATCATCCAGTCATCGTGGGAAAGAGCCAAGACTCTTAACATTAGGCTCACCTCTCCACTGCCCTTCCAGCGTCTTCCCAATCCACAAAGGTATAGCAGCTACAAAGAAGAAAAGCATGGCATCCCCGCCACACCTGAGAAATAGATCTGCCTTGCAACGTACTTGAGGCGAGCACTGACATTCTGTGCTTTGGTGGAACAGCCCCGGTGAGACAGACCAGGGCTGGAGAGGAGCCTGCTTAAGTTGTATCGTCAAAGCAAAAATTCCCAGACAGTAATGATCCAGTGACCAGAAGCAGCCGATTTTCCCTTGAGAAACAGCCAAGCTCCAGCCCTTCCGGGACACCTGCTGTCCACCTGTTTAGCTCTGGGCTCAGCACCGAAGCATAGCCACAGGACAAAAGAAGGCTCTGGACACACCAAGACCCTCACCCAATGTGGGAGGAAAAAACAAAAGCTGGTGTCTGGCAGAACAGGAGGGAGGAAGCAGGGCAGGCAAAATGAGTCTATTTTTGGCACATGGTACAGAAAAGACACATAGAATGTGACCTAACAGACTTTACCAACAGCACGTAAAGCCCTGTGCAATCGAATTGCCTCCCTGTTTTAGGAAGGTGACCATGTTTGTTGCCAACGCCAGCCCCACCTGGGGCCCTTTGGTCATGGAGCTCTTGGTGCCAATGTCTCAGGTGGGAAGCTTCAGTGAAGCAACTCCATCCTATCCCTGGAATTCAGCTGTCAGGTAAATCTAAGCTTGATCCATAGATGATGCCATTACCCCAGAAGCCAGTCCTGGGCTCTCCAAGAATTTAAGGTCACAGTTCTCTTCCCAACCAGCCTACACTGTTCTAAAGCATGCAGGAATGCTACGAACCCTGGGGCTCCCCTTCTCCCAGGAAGTCAGGGGATTACTCCAAGATGAGGGCCTCAAAGCCTTGGCACAGAGGTGTTTTTTGCAGTACAGAACTACCAACAATTGCCTGGAACTTACTTCTCTCTCTCTCTTTTTTTTTTTTTTTTTTTTTTGAGACAGGGTCTCTGTCACCCAGGCTGGAGTGAAGTGGCGCAATCTCGGCTCACTGCTGCCTCGACCTCCCCAGCTCAGATGATCTTCCCACCTCAGCCCCCCAAGGAGCTGGGACTATAGGCATGTGCCACCATGCCCAGCTATTTTTTTGTATTTTTTTGCAGAGATGGGGCTTCACTATGTTGCCCAGGCTGGCCTTGAACTCCTGGACTCAAGAGATCTGCCCTCTGGGCCACGGCACCCAGCCCACACTCTTTTTCTCTCTTTTCAAAAAATCCATACAAAACCCAAATCATGACCAGGTAGCCCAGGAGGTCTTATTTGCTTAGCTCTCAGCTTACCCAGAAGAGCTGAGGAAAGATGCAGCCAGGTCAAAGTGGAGGCAAGCCTCAGGACAGGGAAAGTCAAAACCCCCTGCATATTTCCTTAGCTCAGCGCCCAGGAGCTGACCATTTTGACCCTGTTCAGGTGTTCCCTGGCCAACAGGCTGAAGCAGTGGCTTGATGGGCATTTTCCTCCTCTTCTAATCACCTAAGAGCAAACACCACCTGCCTGATTATACACCGATGGAGGCAGGGGAAAGCCACTCATAGACGGGCCATAGCAAGGGAAAGGGTGGGCCCACTGCGGGAGTCTGCAGGTCTGAGCCCACCCCGCTGACCACAAGATGGAACCCTTCTGTGGGGCCGGACTCAGACCAGTGCTCTGCCTCAGAACCTGGCAGAAGCTTGTTTACAAAGGGGCCCCTTCCTACAGCTGACCCAGGACAGGGGCCACTCCATGCTCCAGACCCACCTGCCTCCCTGCGGTGACAGTCAGCCTGAATGGGAAAGGGAGTGGAAGCAGAGGTGAGGACAGGGCATCACTAGGCTCAGACAGGAGCTAAGAATTGGCTCGGCCTCCCCACAGTCCACAGAAAGGACAGGTCCACGCAATACAACTCCCCATGTTGAGAAGGGAGTTGGGAAGAGGAGAAAAAAAGGGAGAGAGAAAGGAGGAGAGGCAGGGGCAACAACTACATATGGACCAAAGGAACAGGAGAGGAACTGAAGGGAAAAGAAACAGTGAGAACGCACGTGGACAAGAGCTGTCACAACTTCTCCAAGCAAGACCAAGAGGGCACACATGCAAAGGTGCAGCATGGAGACAGCATCTGAACAGAGCCTGCATCTCCCCAGGACCCAGCAGCCGTACCGGGGAGGCTCCCAGCAGGCAGGAGAGGCCAGCACCGAGGGGCTGACTCAGGATGGGGAGGGTCTCCTTCTCCTAGGCTGGGGATGCTGGCCAGGCCCGGGAGAGAAACGATGGTCCCTCATCGCTGCCCCTGGTTTCTGGGTTTGCCACAGCAGTGAAAGGAGAGCGGGCTTCTCTTGGATCTGGCACAGTGGGGACACTGGGAAAGGAGAGGGTCAATGGAGTTGAGTGAAGGGGTGAGGAATAACACATGAGAGCAGAGTCTAGGAATTTCCAGGAGCTGGGGTGAGAGCTAGTCTAGGGCTCCCACACCTCCGGGGGCTGTGGAGGAGTCACAGCTGGGACAGGGAGGGAGCTGGGGAAGGTGGAAGACCAGTGGGTCTCTGGGCGCAGGAGGGCCCCAGAGCAGGTGAGCTCATAAACGCTGCCTGACAGCCCTCACACTCACCCTATGCCAGACAGCCTCACCCACAATTCCAGGGCCTCTGGGCTGCTGACAATTTTATAGCTACAGATGGTAAAGAAATGTCAGGGCAGTCCTCTTTATGGAGGCCACTCTTAGGAATGAATGAGATTTATAGCCCTGGTTAGGAAAGTGAACCTCCCTTGACATCTCTAGGGGGGGAAGGCACCTGTCTCCTTCTCGCCTGGAAAGCCAGAAGCACCTGGACGGGAGGCTCGCCGTCTCCCATGCAGGTGCCCGATGCCTGTGTGTGCCCAGGCACAGGGCAGAGGGTCCGTGGCGAGCGGCAGCACCTTGTCAGGCTACTGTGAGAGGGAGCGAGCTTCGGGTGGCCCTGAGTCTCTGTGAGGGACTCAGAGGCTCCCTGAATGCCCAAGTTCCTTTAGCTTCCACCTGGAAGGACACTCAAGGAGAGGCTGACTGCGGGGGCAGGGGGAGGGACACAGTGCTGGTCCCTGGGGGTTTCACTTCCTGCCAGCTCAATGCCTGTCTGCCCAGGGGAAGCCTGCCCCCTCCCCTCGGGGAGGTCCTCCTAAGACCCTTTCCCTACAGCATGACCCAGGGAGGACGACAAGGCTACAACAGGGACCTTGAAAGCAATGTGGACCCAAGGGCTAGGTCACATTTCAGTCCTGTGACTACCAAGGTCAGGCTGCAGAAGGCAAGGAGCACAGGGGAGTGATGACATTTCGCTACAAAGCCCCATAGGACTGCAGGGACCTGACCCTGCAGAGGACCCCACTGTCAAGGAAGAAGTGGGGCTCATCCCAACCTTGTACTCCTCGAGAGAGCCTAATACCACGAAGATCTCAAGAAGCTGGTGAGGGGCCAGCCACCCCAGGAGAAGGGATGCTATGCCTGGGGCTGCTGGGAGAATAGGGTGCGGGGGGGCTCTTCCTGGATACCAGAGGGGCCCCAGAGAGGTCCCCAAGGGTGCAGAGATGCAAAGCAGATCTCGGGTGTTCTGGGCCCCTTCGGGGTGCATGCAGGGCCCCAGGGCTTCTGTGGGAGGCCCTGGGTGTACTGGCAGCAGGCTGGCGAGGCTGGCGAGGAGTGAGGAGAGCCGCAGGGGGCTCTAGAGGGGCCGGACATGGGGACGGGGGGTGGGGGGCAGAAGCTGCAGCTAGGCGGTGCCGAGCGTGGCTCGATGTGGGGAACCCAGAAGCCGTGGGGATCGAGGAGCGGCAGCGGCCACCCCACGGGGCGGTGAGGGGACATGGTTTGGATCCCCTGTCCAGGAAGCAATGGCCCGGCCGAAGCCCCGTCCGCCTGCCCGCCCCCGCCCGCCCAGCCGAGGAGCTCCCTTACCTATTGAGCTGAGGAGAGGCTTGTCTCGACAACACTGCCCAGATAGCTGAGATCAATCAGAAACAAAGCAGTTACCAACACCGGCCGGGGGGCACCGCCCACGCACACCCAGAGGGAAGCAGGGAGGGGCACAGCGAGCACCGGACAGGCGAGGCCGGAGCGTGGGGGAGGGAGGAGGAGAGAGACGGAGACCCAGACACGATGGAAGGAAGCAGATGAGCTGAGCGCGCACAAAGCACAGAGACAGGGCGGCCGCGGCACCTCCGCGCACAGGCGGCGGCTGCGGCTCCTCCACCTCCCTGCGCCCTAAGCCCCGCACCCCCTTCCTCGGCCGGCCCCGGAGCAGCCCGCGGTGGGGCTGCGGGTGGGAGGTGACCTTGGACTTCCAGGTACCAGGGAGGGTGGGGGACGGGGCAGGGGGAGGGCGCTGGGCTCCCTCCTCCTCGACCACCTCCCATCCTGCCTTCCACCAGGCCAGCCTCCTCTGGAACTCTCTGCTCCCTCCACAGGCGGCTACATCGAGAAGAGAGACCAAAGGACGGAGCCAGAGAGAGAGAGAGAGAGAAGAGGGCGGGGGACGGGGTATCCGGGGGCACTACAGAGGCGTGGCCGGCTCTTCCGAACCCAAAGGCGATGGTGAGGAAGGAAGATAGGAGAGAGAAAGACTGACTGGAGAAGGAAGGAGGGGCAGGGGGAGGAGGAGCGGGGACGGCAGGGAAGAAGGATGAGAGAAGAAGAGGCACAGGCAGGCGTCCAGGCCCTGGTACCTGGAATACCAGCTGCTACAGTTTAGAGAGTGCTCTCTCAGGCGGGCTGGTCGCGGGAGCTGGTCTGTCTCTCTGCAGCTTCCTGCGAGGTATACGGGGGGGGGGTGGGGGACGTGTCCTGCACATGGTCACAAGGCCTGACCCTTTTCTCTGGGCCTCCAGGAGAGGCTGAGGAGGGGGCTGGAGTCCGGCGCTCACTAGGGCTGCTAAGGGCCAGGAGTTCGGGAACAGGAGGCCCCTGGCCTGGTGGTCTGGAGAAGTCAGGCTCCGGGGTCCTGCTTAGCAAGCAGCAGGGGCCGGGGAAGAAAAGGAGGCTAGACACGAGGTGTGTGGGCAACCCCCAGGACCCCTGCCCGATGCCAGGACCGCAGGGACTCGGAGAGCCGTCAACTCCAAGAGGGACGGGGTCCACCCCCGCAAGGGCACGCGCTGTGATCCGCCGCTCCCTGGTAGGTGGTGCGCCCGCCGAGAGCTCAGGGCTTGCCGGAGAAGACGCCTCATGCTCCCGGCAGGGCACCTGGGCAGGTGGGCCCGCTGCGCCCCAGCGACTGCACCCCGCCCAAACCGCGGCGGCCAGAACTCCTCTCCGAGGGACGCCGGTGCGGCATGTCCGCACGAGCCCTGTCGCCGGGCGGATGGACGGGGTGGAGGGCAGGGCGAGGCGGGTGGGGGAAGGAAGTTGCCCAGGTGCGGGTGGCGGAAGAGGCGGCGCACTCACCCTGAAGTAGGTAACGTGGGTGGTGGGGTCTCCGGTCGGAGCAATTCCTCCCCCGTCCTTCGAGGGGAAGGCGTCTGTCCAAACACGTCCAAGCTGTCCCCAGGCCCAGCAGGGGCGGGGCCGGGTGGAGGGGAAGGGTAGCCGGTGGCCAGAGTGGTGAAGCCCATGGCGGGCCGGTAGCTGGGACTCCCACTGCGGCTGCTCTGGGAGGGGGAGCCTGTGGACGGCGTAGACTTTCGAGAAAAGCTGACTGCAGCCGGCGGCTGCAGGGTGATCTCTGACATCTCTGCCTGCTGCAGGAGGCCCGGGCGAGGCCGGGCACGGGCGGCGAGCTCAGGGGAGCCGGTGCGGGAGCTGAGGGGGCTTTGGGTCAGAGGTGAGAGCCGGGAGGGCTGTAGCACCACTTGATGTAAACTGGGCTCGGCGCGCCTGGCCTGCCGAGGGCTAGGCCGGGGCCGGGGCTGGGGCTCATACCACCGGGTGTCCAGGCCAAATGTGCTGGGGCCGCCGTGCGCCCCCGGCTCAGCCGGCTCGGGGTAAGGCAGCACAGGTATGCCCATGCCTTGGCTTGTATGTCGCAGCTGCCCTTGGCTTACCAGAGGTTGCATAGGTCTGTCCTGCCACTTGGCGGCGGGGGGCGCTGGGACAGGGCCCCTGCCGGGCGACTTGCCTGCCCAACCCTTCGGTGCCTCCAGAGACAGGATGCCCGGGTAGGCCGCGGGCACCTGCAGGGAGGTGGGGGGCAGTCCTCGGGGGAGGCCGGCCTTGGGCTGCAGACTCTCGGGCACATCACAGGGTGGCAGCTGGTGGGGGAACATCATCGCTGGGGTCTCCAGCCCCCCGAAGGGGAATTCTGGCCGGCCCCAGGGCTCAGGGGAGCGCCCTCCTGTAGGTGTCTGAGTCAAGGGCAGCGTGCTGTTGGATGCATTCTCTCCATTCTCCTCGGGGATGGTGGGGTGGCCAAAGGGCCCCTCGGTGGGCAGGGGCGGGGACGACATGACGGAGCTCAGGGGGCTGCCCACTTCTGGCACGTAGAACGGGGGCGGCTCCACCTCCCCAGGGCTGCTGCTGCTGAGGTACCCATAATACTGGCCATGGTGGAAGGGCCGGGGGGCAGGGGGCCGGGCCTGGCCTGTGGCCTGAAGCCGACCTTCCAGGCCACCGGGGCCCTCCAGCCCGCGGGGCTGGAACCGAGGGCTGTATGCTGGTGGTGGCAGGTAGGACTCCTGGCTGGATGACAGAGGGGTGAGCTGGGACTTCAGGGCGGCCACAGATGTGGGCACCAGTGGGTCCTCGTTCTCCTCGTCCGACTGGCGGAACTCGGGGTACATGTCCGTCTCCTCGGCGAAGGGGAAGCCCTCGATGCGCCTGCTCTTCAGCGAGGGCTCCATCTCGGCAGGGTCCATCACGAAGCGGCCGTCAGGGCCTCTGCTGATGAGCTCGATGGGCGTGGTGGCCTCTGCCTCGGCCTCTGCCTTGGCCACGCTGTACTTCTTGCTGCTGATGGCCCGCTTGGTCTTCTTGTACAGCGACAGCTCCTTCTCACGGGTGGGGCTCAGCATCCTCTTGGCCGCGGGCTGGCCCTGGTCGTCGGAGGATTCTGACGGCGCTCGGAGCGTGCGGATGCTCTCGGGGCTCACCTTGCCAGAGGACAAGCTGCAAGGAGGAGCAAGAGCCGGGAGGGGATGAGGTGGGGCAGTGTGCTGGCCAGGACTTCCTTTCCCTCTCTCGGCAACCACCCAGCACCCAGGATCCTCACGCTCAAGAAAACTGGCTGTGTATCGTGGTGTGAAATGCTTTGGCCAACTCTCCACCGTCTGGACGTGAATCCTCCTTTTTTTTTTAAAGACGGGGTCTTGCTATGTTGCCCAGACTGGTCTTGAACTCCTGGCCTCAAGCAATCCTCCTGCCTCAGCCTCCCAAAGTGCCAGGATTACAGGTGTGAGCCGCCGCGCCCGGCCCCCCCCATCATCCGTCTTTCCAGTGAACACCCGCCTCTTCACTTTTGTGCTGGCCTGCCCCCTCTCTGCTGTGCTCTAAGCACACCTCCAGCTTCATTCCCCTCTTTTCAAGACAAGCAAGCTCACTTTAATATCAACTTAAGCAACACATATTAAGGAGGCAAATCTGCTAGGGTGGGAAAACACTAAAGAAATACATTCCAAGGCTGAAGAGAAACTGATTACTGGCTAATTTGGATCATCTGCACTGCCACTCCCTCTACCAGCGTGGACAACTTACAATTAACACACAGGTCAATCAAGAAGAAATGGCTTAGAAACACTGAGATGGGGCTGGGCAAGTACAATTAACACACAGGTCAATCAAGAAGAAATGGCTTAGAAACACTAACATGGGGCTGGGTAAGGCGAGCGGTCTACCTATGCGCCCCCTGCCATGAACAGCACAATTCTCCCAGGATCTGAGACACTTACGGAGACTCCAGGCTCTTCCTGCAGTGGGTGATGGAGAGTGGAGGGTCTGGAAGGAAAGAGAAGGGGAGAGGCTGCTGAGGCCAAGCCAGCAACCACGCAGCACGCGCATCTGCAGAGGCTGACAGAGCCGGAGCACCACCGCACAGGGAAGGAGCTGCTCACAGTGGGCATCTTTGGCCCCTGCCTTCATGCTAGCTTGGGCCCCAGCAGCCTCTCCCCACCACCCCTGCTTCTTACCCCCACTTTCAAATCAAGTCTCACTGGCAGCTCTACCCACAAGATCTCAATGTCCCTATTTCCAAGGGGGGCCATGCTAAAAATGGTCCACCTCTCTTGATGGGGGGCATTTGAAACCGGGCCAGGGAGAGCAAGGGAAGGGGACAGACACCCACCTTTTTTGCGCTTGAGCTTACGCTTGCGCTGCTTGTTGACAAAGCAGGCAGCCAGGGTGCTGAACAGGATGGCAGCTGCCAAGAAGCAGATGGTAGCTACGATTCCCGCCAGCACAGGCCGCGCCAGCCCATCCTCGGTCAGGTCCGGCTGCGGGAAGATGTCTGCAGGGAGGGTGGGGAGCACTCATGAGCCCATCCTTCCCCGGGACCTCACCTGCTCCGACCTTCAGTCCCCAAGTGTTTCACCCTGCCTTTGTAGAACAGACAGTGTCAAGGCTCGGGCTCCAAGCTGAACTCTAGCACTGAAGAGGTTTGGATGGCGTCACGAAGAGGAAGAAGAGAGGAGAGTCTACAGAAGTCAATCTCTCCAAAGGGTGTAAAGAAGAAAACATCTATGCCTGTCCCCATGGGGATAATGACTTCAAGAGTAATCTATACTTATCTAGGGTTTTGCCTTCTGCAAAGCACCTTCATGCACGTTATCAGCTCTTCTCATGTTAACCCCATGAGCTACACAGAGCACACATACTGTTCTCATTCTCTAAATGAAAGAGCTCTGATCCACTGGGTTAGAGAGACCCGCTTACGTGGATATTGCCATCAGTGCCCAAACCAGAACGCAGCTGCCTGCTCCCAGTCTGGGATTTCCTGCCTCACACCAGTGTCTCTACAAAAGGAGAGCCCAGGTGTGAAGGCAACTTGAGGATAAAATACGACTGCAGGAAGAGGGATTATTACTACAAAATTCAGATCCTCTCCCCTTCTAGTACAGGCATGCAACGTCCTGAAGATTCGCATCCTGGTCATCTCAGGTACGGAAGTACCCTAGAGCTGGCAGGGACAGCAGAGATGGAGCCAAATCTCTCGTTTCACCATAAGGAGCTGAACGTCCTCCTTTCCTGCCCAAGTCTACAGAGCTCGTTATGACCGAGCCAAGACTAGACACCAGCCTACCATCTTATACTCATAGGAAAGTTGTGTCGGTAAGTGCCACTGCTTAGGTTCAGCAAAGGCAGAATCGATAGATTGTAACGTATTTGGCCAGAATTCATTGCTGCATCGATAATAATAATGGATAAAAATAATCCAGATGATGCTGATTGTCTGAGGGGAAAATGAAAGCTACAGCCTTTGGAAATGGGGGACCTAATACAGGGAATGCTGAGGCTGCTGCCTCCTCCTTCCCCTGTGTGGAAGTGTCTGACGAGGCACATTTCCTGCCAGGAGCTGGCATAGAGCTACTGAGCACAGAATGGTCAGGGGTGGGCCCACACAACACCCCTTCTTCAGCTCCAGCCTTGGATGCAAGCTCTCATCCCTGTTCCTCCAACTCTGAGTCTATTCCCCACAGAGAAGTCAAGAAAGACTGTGGGTTCTGCTACCTGTAGGACACAACCTTTTTTTTTTAAAGCCCATTGATGCCTAATGTATAAAGCAGAAATTGCACTCCACACCTGCCCCTGCTCTCGTGCTCCCTGCAGTGTGCCCACACCAGCACTTCCCCAACTCTACAAGTCCTGCTGCATGAGCTCCTCAGACGAGGTCACTGTCACCTGGTCCCAGGGGACTCTGGGTGAGCGGTGCCCAAGGAAATGATGCCATCACTTGCTTATAAGCAAGAGCCTTTTCCCATACCAAGGACACCCCTTCACTGGCGGAGGAACCTGCTATGTCTCAGGAACTATAGCTGGAGAGAAGATGTGTAGAAATGGGACCAGGGCCAAGAGAAAGAAAGATAAATGGAGAAAATGCTAGGGAATTGGCTTTATTTAGCCTTAAAAATCTAGAGAGAGGAAGGAAGGGAGGAAAACACCAAACAACAATTTTCCAAATAAAACCCACATAATTATAAAGAAGTCTATCACAAGCATTTGATAAACATGGTTGACCTGTTGTTTCCTCCGATTCACAGCCCCTCCCCGACAAGAGGAAACTGAAAATGTACAGCAAATAGCACTTCAATCAAGTCCTTTTTGACTACTATAATGAGAAGATTAGTTGAATTTCTTTCTGTGGCTGTCTTATACAAGTGTCAGAAACTCAGCTTCTGAGCTTCACGAAATAGCATGCATCATGGAAATATGGGTCTGGTGGGCTTAAGAAAGGCTATGACTCACGCAGCTGCAACCAGGCACTGCCTTAGTTTCCAATCCAGCTTCTCCTCGTGGAGTAGCCATTTCACAAAATGACCCCCATGCAGCTCTGGGGCTTATGTCCCTATAGTTGCAAGAGCACCCTCAACCCAAAATACCTGTGCTGGAGACGCCGGCGATGTTGCTGGGCTCGCTGATCAGATCCTGCATGACGGCCAGAACCCGGAACTCATACCACGTGTCCTGCAGCCCCAGGGACAATACCCAGTCAGCCGAGGGACCTGAGATGACCACTGTCCCCTCACACACTCATCCTGCACACAGCCTTGCAAAGGGCAGGGCACCCAAAGCACAGGAGGACTGCTAAGTGTCTAATGCTAAGCGATGGTAGCACTGGCCAATTGCTGTGGTGTAAACACTCTTACAATGGCTGACTTCAAGCTACGAACGTGAGGTCACCGAAAGCGTTGGGAAGAGATATGTACAACAGGCTCTCCAGGGCCACTGGGAGCCGACTCCAGCAACCACTATTGATAAATAAGTGTCCAGGAAGGAAGACAGAAAGATAGATGAGACTGTATCTTAGGAAACCAGCTGCTTCCTCTCCCCAGCTAGATATCCAAGTTTAACGGAGCTACTGGAAAAAGAGATAATGCACTTTCTTCCAGGAGCTCTAAATTACTGGAGAAGGGGTTCTTCCCTGGACACACCTAGAAGAGAATTCTTCTTGGAACTTCTCTGCCCACCCCAGGTTAGGCTCAGCAAGGGCTGGGGTCAGTGCTCTGATTACGCCTGCTGGCCTCTCAGCCTGCCCTGCCCAGCTTGTAGCGGTGCCGGGACCCTCAGTAGAACACAGGTCCCCGCTGCCCCAGAGCTGGCCCCGAGCCTGTGGGCCATGATCTGAGGAGTCCAGGCCTTGGTAGCGAGTCTGGGAGAATCCAGGACCAGTGGTGAGGAGGTACAGGATGTGGCTGGCCTCACACACCCAAAGTTGGTCACTCAAAGCTTCCAGTGCCTCTAGAGTCTTGTCGCTTCCCGGATTTGGGAAGCAGCAGCAAGGAAGAGCAAAGCCCTCACCTGTGACAGATCCTTGGCAAAGAACTCTCCTTCGGTGCCGGGGATGCCATCGTCGAGCAACTCCCAGCGCTCTGCGACACGGAACTCCATGATGTAGCGGTCGATGGGAAAGCTGTGGTTGGCAGGCGGAAGCCAGGACAGGAGCACACCCTGCTGAGTCCGATTGGCTATGAGGCACCTCGGTGGGGTGACCAGCACCAGGGGTTCTGGAGTTGTAATAGGGAATGCTGCGGCGGGGGAAGGAGAAGAACCACAGCGCATCAGCGAGGCCCAGGGCAGCCACCGCACCCCCCACACTCCTGTGCACATGTCAGGGCCCAGAGGGAAGCAGAGTCAGGGCCCGGGGCCCAGGGCTTCAGGGTTCTGCCTTCAGAGTACGTCTAAACATACATGAGGGAATCGTGTACTGCAAAAGGGAAGAGAAATGGGAACTATGGGGAAGGAGGAATAATTAAATGTCATCAAAGTATCTCCTGTGCTCTTCCAGGGAGCTAGGGATATCTTCTTTCTCACAGCACAGCAGTCACTCTTTCCATTCCCTTCTTGGCCGGGGTTTGGGGGTCAACACAAGGCCCCACAGAGGTGCCAAGGACTGGGGGTGAGCATCCCAGACTGCTGTCCACCTTGGCGGCCGCTCAGGAGCGGATTCTGGGAAAGGGGCTGGAGTCGCGCCACCTACACCACCTAGGAAAAGCCTGTTCACAGTGGCCCTTTCTCTGGCTCCAGAGCAGAGCAAACACAACTGTGGCCAGGCAGGGAGGAGTATGAGGCTGCCTCCAGGAAGGTGGCCTGGAAGACTCTGCAGCGGGAGGCAGCCACATGCCTACCGCCCAGTGACGCTGGGGCCAGAGGCCAGAACCGGCAGGCGCTGCCAAGGAGGGAGGATGCCCAATCTCCCCTGAAAGCAAACATGTGGCCTGACAAGGAAAGAGAAAATTCTAAGTGTCTTTCTTCCACCTGAAAAAGCAACAGGAATTCGGCCAATGGCACTCTGATGCAGGACCAGCAAACCCCACAGAGACCACAACAAATCCTCACGGGGAGATCAGATGGCACGGCTCTGTGGAGCACTCAGCAAGGTACCGGCACACAGGAGGCCGACTGCTATAGCTGCCTGGGCCACCGCCCCCACCACCTCTACAACCCCCGCTCCCAACATCCCACCCCGGGCCCTCACCTAAAGTGTTCACAGTGACCACCTCACTGAAGGCGCTGGTTCCCAGCTTGTTCTGGGCCAGGACGCTGAACTGGTACGCTGTCTCAGGCTCCAGGGTGTCCACCAGCAGCCAGCTGGGTCCTGGCGGCACTGGCAAGGACAGCCAGTCATGGGGCCCAAACTGTGCCCGCTTCATCCTGGCCAAAAGAGAGAGACAGGATAGGGGACGAGGGGCGGGGTGGGTCACACTGGAGAGAAGAGGGTGCATGCAGGGTGCTCAGGGAGAAGGCACTGGTGGGCCTGGCGTTCCTAGGTTCAAGGGCAAGAAGAGGGCATGGCCCAGAGTGGATGCCCTGCCCAGCTTTGGCTGTGCCAATCCTCCTGATGCTGGGTCACCAACCACAGCTGGCATCTTTTCTACCAAAGGGGCCTTTAGGTGCAAGTCGTGCTCAGGACACTGGTCAGATGGATTACCAGCTGCATTGTGGGAGAATCCCACCCTGGTCACAACCCTAAGAACAAGCTCTGCCTTGGGAGAGTAAGGCTCTGGGGTATGGGGATAAGCGGCTCAACAGTGGCAGGATGAGGGAAGGAGCCCAGGACCTGGCTGCACACACCCCCAGGGACAGCTGAAGTAGGGCCTCGGGTAACCCACAGGGCTCATTCATCCAATCAGACTGGAGTCACCTGAGATGTCCAGGGTATAAGACCATAATGACCAGGGGTTTCCCCACAGTGGGGCCAGGATCCCTAAGGCCGTAAGGGTTGGAAGAAGGTCACGCTATGCATGGAGAGTAGGAAGACGGGCCGAGGGTGTTCCCTTGTTCCACAGGCTCCCAACTCCCAGCAAAGCCGGAGGGCTATGGGTGCAGTGCTGCCACGTCACCACAGGGAGGAGACATGGTCCTGTGGGACTGGCCCTCTCCTTGCAGCCCTGAGCTGTAACCTGGTGGGTGCCCTCCAGGATCCACTCCCGGGTCCCGGCTCACTACCGTGCACGCCCAGGAGGGTGAGATGAGGCAGCGGAAAGCAGTACAAAAAGAAGCCGGCGCCAAACGTCGGAGTCAGTGCACAGAGTTAGAGGCAGGCAGAAAGAAAGGAGACCTCCCCAACCTCGGCCCCGCCCTTCCCTGGCCCAGGCAACAAAGCAGCGAGGAGCCACGTGTGGAAAAGCAGTGCAGATGAGCAGCAGCGTGGAGCAGCAGCGTGAAGCAGCACCGCAAGCAGCAGGGGAGCCCCAATCTACACCTGAGCCCCCCATCGTATGCCCAGACCTCCCACCCAGGCATCTCCAAAGACAGCTTGACCACACCAAATGTCCCACCCTGGACACCTAGGCGCTGAGCAGCACCGGTCTCCCAGCAGCCACCGGGCAGGCTGGTTAGGGCCCCCACGCTGCTGCGGGAGGAACAGAGTAAGGGGACGGGAGGTGAGCTGCGGCAACTCCCATCATCCAGGTGCAGTTCTCCAATCAGAATCAAGACACCCAGGACACTCCGCCCGGGAAGCAGCCACCGAACCACCATGATGGGAGACAGAGCGGGTGCCCCTCTCAACTTCCCTCGCTGCTGAGAAGTGGATAAAGGGGTCTCCCTGAACCCCCTGAGCTGCCCCAGGTGCCTGCCTTTTCCCCCTCCCCTCGAGCTCCCCCTCCTCGAGTTGAGCCTGGCTAGAGAGACACCTGCAGGTGAGACAGGTCTAAAAGAAGGCACTGAGGGGCTCGCCCTCCCAGCTCAAGGTTGTCACCCCCGGGGCAGGGCAGGTGGCTGCCACTCTTACTCAAACAGGAGTGTAGGGAGGGGCAGCCCTTGGGGGTGGGAGGAGTCAGCTAGGCTTCCTTCTCCTCCCTTCCTGTGCCTCCTGCCCTCACCCCGCTTGGCACATTTTTGAGATCTGTATCTACCCTAAGGTTTGCGCAAAGACCTCATATGACTGCATCTGGCTAAACTGACAACAGAGGAATGAAAACAATCGAGAAACACATGGTCCTAGAGAGAAAATGCAGGGGCTGACCCCAAGGCTGGGAAGTGAGCATCACCTCTCCACACCAGTTTCTGTGGCCTCTGGGGAAAAGACAGAATAAAAACTAGACTACAGGAGGTGGGGAGGGTGAACACGTACAAATCATAGTGAGAAAGAACCAGTAAGACCTGGTGTTTGCCAGCACAACAGGATTACAAGCAACAATAATGTATCATACATTCTTAAACCACTATGAGTATAATTGGATTGTTGGAACACAAAGGACAAATGTTTGAGGGGTGGATACCCCTTTACCCTGATGCGATTATTACACACTGCATGCCTATATCAAAATATCTCACGTACCCCATACCTACAAACGTATGTACCATGTACCCACAAAAATTACAAATACAAAAATACAAAAAAAATTAGTCTAAAAACTAGACTCTACACTTAAGGCTGGGCAATTTCACAAAGCCCTTGAAGGGCAGGAGTCTCTTCCAGGCTCCAGAGGAATCCAGAGGATGAAGCAGGACGCAAAACGAGGCAGCACGTGAGCAGGGAGAGGGCACAGAGAGGCCCAGACCCCTCAGGCCACAGGGACACAGCCATGCCCAGAGTCCCTTCAGACCCCTCCCGTCACCCACAAGGACCTCATCACTGTCTCAACCCACCTCAGTCTGTGCAGGGCTGGCAGGCCAGGAACTGCAGCCTCCTCCTACCTCCCCCCACCCGGGGTAGCCTGCAGGAAGACCGGGGAGGGGAGAAGCAGAGAGCAAAGCATGCCGGGGTGACTCACAGAGGTCCGTACCAAACTGAGAATGTCTGCTCGTAGCCTCCATCATAGCCTGGTTCCCAGGACACGTTGGCAGTTGTCATGGAGACCTGGACCCGGACACTGCCCGGGGCATGGGGGCTGGTGCCTGGAGATCAAGTGGAGACCTCTCAGACTGAAAAGAACTCAGCCACGTGGCTGGGTGCCCACCGTCTGGCTGTGGGGAACCTGAGAGGCTGAAGCGCATGGCAGCGGAGCACAATACTGCAAGTGAAGGGATGGGGGCGACGGGGATGCTCTCAGGCGCCGACTCCCCTGACCCTGCTTGTTAGTGGGGTTGGAGCAGGAAGCCTGTCCCACTGTGCGGTCTAGTCCAACTAGGAGATCACATAGCATCAGGAATGGGTCCAACAGAAACCAGAGCCCTCCTCGTCCTGGCCCAAATCCTGTGCTTCTCTGGTGAGCACAGAAACACTCTCTCCTAAGGCGGCAGGCACAGCCACAGAGCCCCTCCCGTAAGGTTCTCTGGCCTCAGAAGACAACTCCGTCCCACCCCAATGCTGGCATGTGGGCAGCACAGCACAGCAGTTAGGAGCCCCATCCTGGCTTCGATTCCCGGACCCACTACTTCTTAGCGATGTGACGCCGGAGAAAGCATTCGGGCCACGGCAACCTCTGCTTCGAGGAACCTACACTAGAGAAACCCCAGCTCGCACCTCCCGAGTTGTGAAGGACGAGCTGTGCAGACCACTTGGAACAGAACCTAAAACTGGTGGTAAAGGCTCCAAAAGCATTGGCTGTGACTGTGATTATAGCCGTCAGGACCCAGAAGGACAGGCTGAGAGGGCCCAGGCGAAGGTCCTGGGACACGCGCTTCGGGCAATCGGAAACGGGAACGCCCAGACACAGAACCCCAGAAACTTCCTCCTGCCCAGCCTCCGCACGCCAGGCCTGGCCTGCAGGTCTCAGCTCTGCCCTCATCTGAGATGCTGCACAGTCCCCGTCTCCCTCATTCCAGCCCTCCAGCTCTCCCTAAGGCCCTTAAACTCAAGGCTCTGCAGTCCCTGCCAGCCACACAGCCGCCTCTTTCCCTCAGGTGGGCTGCTGTGGACATCAGGCCTGTCCCCAGAAAGACCTCCCTGAGGACAGGAGCCACGCTGCCCTTCCCCGACAGAGCCCACGGGGGCAAAGGCTGCCGGTGCTGGACGCGGAGTTCAGGGCTGCACTGACTTAGGAAGGGAGCCCGCAGAGTGCAGCGGCCACCAGGGGACGCTCCCAGCGTCCAGCACCCCGCCCCCAGCCAGCCTGCTCTGTCCCCGCCGCCCGGCCCAGCCTTGCCGGCCACGTACCGATGACGGTGAGGTGGGTGCTGGCAGTGATGCTCGTGACCACGTTGGTGGCGACACATTCCCACTCCCCGTGGTCCTCCTTACTCAGGGCACGGAACTGCAGGCTCCCACTGGGCAGGGCACTGTGCTTGCTTCTGCTGGGCTTCCCTACCTTGGTGAACAAGGGGCAGGGAAGAGGGTGGGAACAGAAATGGGGGTTAGGAGAGAAGCCCGAAGCAGATGGGGAGGACGCGCCTGAGACCCCGGCCCGCCCACGCTGCCCTCCTCCCGAGTGCCTGCCGCTCTTCAGGGTCAGCTCACTGCTCGGCATCTAGCCTGGTCAGGGCAGGTCCAGAATAGAACTGCTCGCTGGGCCCTCACACCTCCCCTCAGCCCCGGGGCTCGCTGGGCCCTCAAACCTCCCCGCAGCCCCAGGGCTCCCTGGGCCCTCACACCTCCCTGCAGACCCAGGGCTCCAGGGCCCAGGTACCTTTCTCCAAGTGATGACAGGAAAGGGGTCCCCTGCGGCAGCACAGGGGATAAGTAGCTCCCGGCCGGCCTCCTGCCTGTACTCCCAGCCTGGTAGCACCGTGAAATAGGGGGGGTCCTGGGGAGGAAAGCACAGGCACCCTCGTGAGGCCGGGGATCCAGGTGCCCAGCTCATGGAGGCCGTCACAGCCCTGGGACCTCACCTTCAGGACAAGCCTCGCAGGGGCAGACTGGCCCATGGTCCCCAGAGTGTTGTAAGGCACACAGGTATAAGTGCCAAGAGCCTCCTCTGTGGCCTCCTCAATTCGAATGGAGCCATCCTCCATCAGGGTCCAACCGAGGTTCTGCCAGACACAGACGATAGGGCAGGGAACGCTGGTCAGAGACTCCGCGCTCCATCCCAGGCTGGGTCCCAGCTGGGCCAGGCAGCACGCAGGATAGTACAGGAGCTCCAGCCCGGGGCGGGCGGCACCCGCAGACCCCTACAGAAGCAGCTCTCTGTTTGCCCAGGGCTTTTGGAAGGGGCCAGGAGTCCTGGCAGAAATCCAGAGCCCAGAGGTGGCATCACAGTACTGGGGGGAGCCCTCACTCCAACCCTCAACATGCATCTCTCTAGCACCTTCTCAACCTGCAGGGGACGGCCGTCCTTGTTCCACTTGACCACGGTGGCCGGTGGTTCTGCGTCCACAGGGCAGCGGATGTAGCCATGGATCCCCACGGGCACGTAAATCACAGGGGGCATGTTGAGGACACGCGCTGGGTCTGCATAGAGGAAGCGCAGGTGAGAGAGCAGACAGACAGACACAGGGACAGACAGACAGACACAGGGACAGACAGACAGACACAGGGACAGACAGACACAGGGAAGCCAGGTGGGAGAGCAGACAGACAGACAGACAGACACAGGGACAGACAGACAGACACGGGGACAGACAGACAGACACAGGGAAGCCAGGTGGGAGAGCAGACAGACAGACAGATACAGGGACAGACAGACAGACACAGGGACAGACAGACAGACACAGGGAAGCCAGGTGAGAGAGCAGACAGACAGACACAGGGAAGCCAGGTGGGAGAGCAGACAGACAGACAGACACAGGGAAGCCAGGTGGGAGAGCAGACAGAGACAGACACAGGGAAGCCAGGTGGGAGAGCAGACAGACAGACAGACACAGGGAAGCCAGGTGGGAGAGCAGACAGACAGACAGACACAGGGAAGCCAGGTGGGAGAGCAGACAGACAGACACAGGGAAGCCAGGTGGGAGAGCAGACAGACAGACAGACACAGGGAAGCCAGGTGGGAGAGCAGACAGACAGACAGACACAGGGAAGCCAGGTGGGAGAGCAGACAGAGACAGACACAGGGAAGCCAGGTGGGAGAGCAGACAGACAGACAGACACAGGGAAGCCAGGTGGGAGAGCAGACAGACAGACAGACACAGGGAAGCCAGGTGGGAGAGCAGACAGACAGACAGACACAGGGAAGCCAGGTGGGAGAGCAGACAGACAGACAGACACAGGGAAGCCAGGTGGGAGAGCAGACAGACAGACACAGGGAAGCCAGGTGGGAGAGCAGACAGACAGACACAGGGAAGCCAGGTGAGAATCCAGGCCGGAGGCAGCCCATGCACCAGCCCAGGTGCTCAGAACTTCTGTTCTGAGTGTCTGGAGGCACTCAGATGCACGTCCGAGCCTGCTCCAATCCTCAGTGCCCCTGTCATGCTTCTACCATGGACCTCACCCGTTGAACGAGGTCCTCTCAATGTCCATTTCTCTCTGTTCCTAGACCCCTAGCGTCAAAGCCAGCATTTGCCCACACCCTTCCCCAACAGCTCCTTATCCCAAAGTCTCCTGAGCAACAAGCAGTCCCCGCCTCTACATCCGAAGCCAAAAGAAGAACACTATCATAGGCTTAACCACAAAGGGGGTATTTTTCCTCCCCATTCTGCTGGTTGACCAGCCTTCCTTGGATTCATTTCCCCATCTGATTCTGCAGCTGAAATGCTGAATCAGGCCAGGTGCAGTGGCTCACACCTGTAATCTCAACACTTTGGGAGGCTGGGGTGGGAGGACTGCATGAGGCTAGGAGTTTAAGACCAGCCTGGGCAATTTAGCGAGACTCCAACTCTACCAAAAACATCTTTGAATGATCTGGGCATGGTGGCACACACCTGTAGTCCCAGCTACTCTGGAAGTTGAAGCGGGAGGATCACTTGAGCCCAAGAGTTTGAGTCTGCAGTAAGCCATGATGGCACCACTGCACTCCAACCTTGGTGACACAGCAGGACCCTGGCTCTCGGAGGAGCAACGAGAACCCCACACCTCTTGCAATGCGGGCTGAGTCACCTCCTCTCAGTACTCCCCTATTTCTCCTGAGGGCTACGGAGGAGAAGGATCCAGAACTAGGAAGGCAGTGAGGATGAATGAGCTGGTATCTTTTAAGCATTTTGAGCTCTTCAGAGAACAGTGTTACATAAATACCAGGCCGAGTTATATATTTAGACATAGCTTCCTACTTTTGTATGGTAGAGTTTTTTTTTTTTTTCCTCCAAGGTTTTCAAAGCGTTTATGAATGGGAAATACTCTGAACACTGCTTTTTAGCAGAAATAAAAATCCTTGTCTCACCCACCTGTAAATCTCAACCCCCTGGATTTTCTTTGAAGACAGGAAGGAGGTAAAAAAGGACAAGGGGGAGTGGGTGGTGACGCTGGCGCTGGGGAGAGACAGGGAAAACCAAAACATGTCTCCAGAAAGACAGATGGCCTATGGCTTCGAGGAGGGGCCTTCATCCTGGCCAGCTCGTCTTCCAAAGGCCACCTCCTGTTGGCTCCTCCTGCCCCACCATGGCCAACTCCGTGCCAGGTGGCACAGCCTGCGTCCAGCACAGAGGGACGGGGCGCACCTTTGTGGTGGACGGGTCTCTCCTTCCTGCAGCTCTTCCCCACCCCAGCACAGCTTGGGCACATCCTAAGTCATGTATGAATAACTTCTCAACTCGCTTTTTCCCGCTGCAGGTCTGGGGAGTGAGATCTGTTGTCCTGGACCTCACGGCTCTCTAAAGCTTGGGCCTGGGAATACAGCACATCAAAAGTCCTTTAAGTGGCTGACGGCAGACGCAGAGAGGCGATGCACTCCATAGAGAGGAAAGAGTGAGACTGCGAGGTTAGGGGTCCGATGGCGCTCAGCAGGCGCAGCGTGCTCCACCACCGCGACCAGTGGTGGAATGTCCACATCCAGCTCTGGGCAGCAGTCGGACCAGCTCCACCTCCAGGGCCACCAGCCATCCTCCACTTGTCCTCAGCTCGTACACTGACCCCGGTCTTGTCTCCAGACTGTTCCACTTCTCACCCCTGCCACTCCCTGTCGCTGGGTGTGAGCAATCCGCCCACACCAGCCGGGAAATGAGGGAGAGTCTGTTATCTACAGCAACAATGCCAGCCTTTGTTGCCTGAGTGACAGGGCCATCCACAAATCAAAAGGAAGATATTACTCCTCATTACTCATCCTTCTCTGTCTCAGGGCTCAGCTTGCCAGGGGGCGGGAAAGCAACTGGCGGCTCAGTATTAAAGATCAGCAAGCTGAATGGTGGTGCTTGCACAAAAGCCCTCGAACGTCTGGGTGAGGAGCAGCTCATTCATCTGGATCTCCAGCCACCCAAGGGGAGAGGCCGCGGACGCCAGAGGGAGCAGGCGCAGGAGCTGGAGCACATCGCCCCCGACACAGACGCGGTGTGGAAAGGCAGGGAGTAAGGCTGGGAGAAACCTAACCCTGCATGGGCCTGGGCTATGCTCCATAAGACACCTGAGAAAAGAGCACCAGAGAGCAACTGATTCTGGGCACAGAGGTGCAGGCCAGCCTTCAGCCCGAGGACCACCGTTCAGAAGGAACTGCTCAAAGGTGTCTTCCTGAGTGCAGCCTGCACGGAGCTGATGAGATGTACTGGCTGAACAGCGACGCCTGGCCAGCGAAGTAGGAGCTGCTCCACCCCAACTGTCCAGGGCCTCGGCCTCCTCTCCAGCCATCCCTCCTTCTTCTCTTATTCGCTCCTCCACCTACATGCCCCCAAATGATGCTTGGTCTTTGCTACCCTCCAGCCTACAGTCTGGCTAACACCAAAACCTTCTGGGAGCCCCACCACCCAGGCTCCCCTGCACCCCTACTCACACTGCACGGTCAGGTACGCCGAGGCGGAGGGGGAGCGCCCCAGGCTGTTGCTGGGCACACAGGTGTACTTCCCCGAGTCCTCCGGCTTCACCCGGAAGATGATCAGGGTCCCATCGATTAGGATGCGCACCCTCAGCTTCAGGTCGCTGCAAAGCGGCATGGGGACAGGGGGTTGGGCGAGCAGAAGGGGATCTTGCCGCAGACACACAGTCACCGTCACTGCCCCAGATGTGGCATGGAGAGCCCATGCCCCTGGCATCCCCAGGGCCCCTCCATGCAGACCCTGGCCTTGGCATGTGAGACACACGGACCAGACTGCCCACCTCCCCCAGCTCCAAGAGCCACGGGCAGCCTGCCCGTGCAATTTCTGCTCAGGGGCCCTGCCCGTGGGGGCTGGGGTGGCAACCTCATTGAAAAGTCAGAGCAGGGTGCTCACTTCTGAAAGTAGACGTTCTCGTCCTGCCAGTACCAGGTGTAGGTGAGGTTGCCCGGATACGCCTCTGCCCGGCAGGTGAGCAGAGCATCCTGGGAGATGTTGACGGTGATGTTCTCAGGAGGGGAGACGATGAAAGGGGGCCCTGGGGAGAGCAGGGAACAAACCCCACCTCGCCTGATCAGGGACGGCAGCAGCACCCAGGCCTCCTGGGAGCCCTCAGTGCCTCAGGAAGCGGTGCCCTGAACACTGCGATGGGGGCGGCTGTCATGGAGACACTTCCAGATGCTATCTGTGCTCAGGCATCCTGTCCACCACCCCTGCCCCCGCACCAGGCTCCCCAGACCAGCCGCCACGCACACCCCCTTCCTGCCTGCCTTCTCCCAGCAGAGCCCGAGCCAGACATGCAGCAGGGAGAAAGGCAACTCTTTTCAAATCTAGAGCGAGGAATAGTCCAGTCTCAAGGAGTCAGGGCCGTGGGCTGCTCCCCAGCCAGAAATCAAGAGGGCAGCTGGGGGTGCAGGGGCCGAGGAGTAAGCAGAGGGTGAAAGTCCAGCAGTCCTGGTGCTGGCTGCACAGACAAAGGGGGCAGCTGCGGCCAAGTCTCCCCTGAGAGGGAACAGCTTCCATCCAGGCTGCTGAGGGACCTCTGGCCCAGGCTGCTGCTCGGCACTCAGAGGCAGGAGGAGCATGCAGCCGCCACCAACCCCCACAACCCCCGAGTTCCTCCAGGAGGCAGGGCTGGGGAGGCTAAGCCGGGGGCCGAGTTCAGCACAGGGTAGAGACCCCCCGACCGGGACGCTGCCCCATCCTGCACAGTTCCTGGCCCCTCTCTGGGGACTCTGGGGCTCCAGGCAGGGCAGTCTGGCATCTCCCTGTGCTGACCATACAGACCCCAGCTCTGCCAAATGCCCACTGTGTTATTTAAATGTCTGGGGCTTGGATTGAGTTTCTATCTTTATTTATTGATGCCGTCACTAATGGATAGATGACCCCAGGGAGGTCTCCTCTCCCAGGGAGGCGGAGACATGGGAGAGATGCTATCTGAACAGAAGGAGAAACCAGAAACCCACACAGCAGGGGCCTCTCTGCCACGCCATGTGGTGCCTGGCCACGGCCTGTGGGCCTGGCCCTCTCCCAGGCAGCCGGTGCAGGAGCTCTGACCAGGGCAGCAGGCAGCACACAGGAGCCCCGCACAGGTCCTCATGGCCGCCTGCACCTCCACTAGCCCCAGCTGAGCCCTGGGAAAACGCCCTCCGTAGCTCAGCCGGGCTGGACATCCCCGCGGGAGCCCAGGGTTAAAGAGGCTGAGGAAATGGCTCCTACCTTGGACAAGCAGGTGAGTCGTGTGGACAGCCTCCCCCTGAATGCTGTACGCTCGGCAGGTGTAGGCACCTCTGTCCTCCCGACTGACCGATGTCACTGTCAGGCTGCCGTCACTCACCTGGGAGCCCAAAACAGAGGGAGCTCAGCACCCACGCTCACACCCACCGCTGCTACCCTCAAACACGGAGATGCAGTCGGAGACACTAAGGTGGAGATGACCACAGGGACAGATGCATCTGGGGGACACGAAGGGCAGGTGCCCCCTTGCCCATCTCCCGCCAGCGACACAGAGACGCCTGCAGCTGAGCCAGGCTACGGCTTTCCAGCCTCCTCTGTGCTTGTGCCTGTAGCATCAGGGGTCGGCTGCAGTAGGAGGCTGCCCTGGGGAAACGGGGGAAGAGACCGCAGCGGCCCCAACCTAGAACCACACTCACCTGGTATTTCCCACTAGCACCGAGGAGCGTCCCCTCCTTGAGCCAGGTGACAATGGGCTTGGGGTTCCCAAAAGCTGTGCAGGTCATGGTGATACTACCACCCTCCTTGGCCTCGATGTACTGGGGGGGTGTTTCTGTAAAGGTGGGAGGGGCTGCAAAGGAGACCACAAAGATGAAGGACACGCCATCAGCCACATCGCTGCCCTGCAACAACAGTACCTGCCCCACACATCACCCTCGCTGCGGCTCTGCGGAATGCAAGGACAAAGGAAGGAAGGTGGGGATGGGAAAAACTTTCTGCCTACCAACATCACTGGCAGGGAGACCTGCATCCAAACTCAGGCTGGCTGGGTCCAAATTCTGTATTGTAGCTTATTCCCAGGTCACCGATGTTAACTGAGCATCTACTCTAGGGTGGCCCTTACAAACACTGCCTGCTCCCAGCTCCTCAGGCTTTGCTACCATCCTTCAGTCTTTCCCTTTATGATGATCCATGACACACAGGAGCTCCTACTTCTTGAAACCCAGCTCAGCCAGGCCCCCGCGTTTCCAGGACACTTGCCGTCGGAGCCCTACCAAGACTTAACACAGATGCAGGCCAAGGCTACGCGGAACCTCATTTTCCCAGATTCTGCTGAGAAAATCATCCAGCTTCCTCCCTCTCTGGCTTCCATGGATGAAGGTGGACAGCCCACCCGAAGGCCACTCCCTTCTTCATTTTCCTCTGATCATGTCAGGTCATCTTCCCCCCTGCATTGGAGATTTGATTAAAACTCCATCCTGTTTGGGTAATCGGCTTTTCACAGACTCAGTCCCATTTGCCTGAGCTGCTTGTAGAAGCAATCCGGTCAATCTTAACCCCTTGGACTATCAGTTCCAGAGTCTTCTGAAATGGCAAGGAGGCCCCCAGTTCTGAACTCCAGCCCGGAGGCCCACGGCACTAGGCTGGCGCAGGTCAAGCTGAGCTCATCTCAAGGTACCTGAAGCTCAGAACCCAAGTTCAAGCACTAGCCTGCCACTTCTGGTAGGCTTGACAAGTTACTCAGCCTCTCTGGGTCTTACCTAAATACCTAACTCCCCTACCCTCCAGAAATGATGTGAGGAATAAACATGTAAAAAGGAGCTTGTAAAATGCACCAGTTGCCAGTACCACCGCCATCTCTATCAGCTCTTCAGGAGCCACTGAGGCATTCACGGGAAGCTTTGGGAGGGTCCCTCCTCCCCACACAGCCCTGCCCTGAGAACTAGTCAGAGCGCTATAGGATCTTGTCCTGCCTGTGGCACCAGCCTCCTCTCCCTCCCAGCGCACTCCAACCACACTGGCTGCCTTTGTCTTCCTCAAATGCACCAAGAACTTCTGACCTCAGGCCCTTTGCATGTGTGGCTCTACCTGCTTAGGACTACATACCTGGAGCTCACTCCTTTGGGTTATGCAAGTCTTTGCTAAAATGCTGCCTTACCTGGGCAGCCCATCCCATCTCAGATGGCACTTCCAGCATTCTCTATTCCCTGGTGCTGTTTCATTTTCTTCAAAGCACATATCACTTACAAGTCTGTCTCTCTCTGTGTGTTTACCTGTTTCTTACCTGTCCCCTTTATTAGGATGGTGGCTCCTTAAGAGCAGCCCCCTTTTGCGTAGGTCACCACATGCCCAGCTTTTAGCATAGTTCCTGGATGTAGTAGCCAAGGGCTCAGCAAACATTTGTTGAATGAACGAAAGAATGAAACAAACAAATGAGTGGTGTTCACACATACACAGACCTGCAGGCCGATACCAAAACACTTCTTAAGAGCAAGGCCACAGCTAGACCACTTTCATCTCTCATCTCCAAAGCCTGCAGCTCAGTGCAAGCGCAGCAGGGGCGCACGGAGGGTGGCCACTGAATGAATGCAGGAGCACACGTCATCACATGCAAAAACACGCACCTCGCACGTCCTTGCACGCGTCATCGCACACAGAAACACACACCTCGCCCGTCCTCGCACGCGTCATCGCATGCAGAAACATACACCTTGCATGTCCTCGCACGCGTCATCACACGCACAAACACACACCTCGCACGTCCTCGCACGCGTCATCACATACAGAAACATACACCTTGCACATCCTCGCACGCGTCATCACATGCAAAAACACACACCTCGCATGTCCTCGCATGCGTCATCACATACAGAAACATACACCTTGCACGTCATCGCACGCGTCATCACATGCAAAAACATACACCTCGCATGTCCTCGCACGTGTCATCATATACAGAAACATACACCTTGCACGTCCCCGCACGCATCATCACATAAACATACACCTCGCACGTCCTCGCACGCGTCATCGCACGCAAAAACACACCTCGCACGTCCTCGCACGCGTCATCGCACGCAAAAACACACACCTCGCACATCCTCGCACGCGTCATCGCACGCAAAAACACACACCTCGCACGTCCTCGCACGCGTCATCGCACGCAGAAACACACCTCGCACGTCCTCGCACGCGTCATCGCACGCAGAAACATACACCTCGCACGTCCTCGCACGCGTCATCGCACGCACACACACCTCGCACGTCCTCGCATGCGTCATCGCATGCAGAAACATACACCTTGCACGTCCTCGCACGCGTCATCACATGCAAAAACACACCTCGCACGTCCTCGCACGCGTCATCGCATACAGAAACATACACCTTGCACATCCTCGCACGCGTCATCACATGCAAAAACACACACCTCGCATGTCCTCGCACGCGTCATCACATGCAAAAACACACACCTCGCATGTCCTCGCACGCGTCATCACATAAACATACACCTTGCACGTCCTCGCACGCGTCATCACACGCAAAAACATACACCTCGCACGTCCTCGCACGTGTCATCACATGCAAAAACACACCTCGCATGTCCTCGCACGCGTCATCACATACAGAAACATACACCTTGCACGTCCTCACACGCGTCATCACATGCAAAAACATACACCTCGCATGTCCTCGAAAAAATCAATTCTTATCCAGTGTCTAAGAATATACTAAAAATAATGGCAAAAAGTTATTCGAAGTCCTGTAAAGGGGTCCTGGGATCCTAACTTGCAGGCCTCTTCTCACTGAGAGCGTGCTTATCTCCGACACAGCCCCTGCCTGCCCGGCCTGCCCCTTGAAATACAGTGAACACAGATACTGCCTCTATTACCTCTGGTGCCAAGCTTAAAAGAAAAGATAATAAATTAAATTTACATCCTGAAGTGACAAATTACTTACTAATTACATAATTACTTTATTATTTAGGTGCTAATCAGGAAAGTACGTTGAACAATTTCTAGTTTTCAGGAAAATAATGGCTTGACTGTCAATTATTTACGGAACTAGATGTCAGCTTGCCAGCTGCATTTCCAGGCTTAATTCTTTTTTACAAGAGCCCTGTAATTAATAGTGCAGGTTAGAAATAGGCTGCCCTCTCCTCCATGTAATTCACCAACCTAAAGGAAGGCTTGGCTCAGGCTTTTGGGGTATTTTATATGTGATAAAGAAATAATTGGGTCTGTTTCCACCCAACTGGTCTTCAAAGAAAACACCGAAGGAAAATGAGACAATTTGTAATTCTAATTGTTCACTGGCCTTTCATTTTCCAAAGGTGATCCCCGTCAGAAAATGCCTGACATTAAACATTCTAGTTTGAAAGCAACGTAATGCTGGTGCTTGGATTCCTTCCTTCAGTAACGGAAATTTTTATGCTGGAAGGAGCCTCGAACTTGGGAAGAAGAGAAAGGCAGAAGAGGAGAAAGGAGATCTCTCACCGCAGAAGGGTTGGTTCTGTTCTGCCTGTGCGCAGGTAGGTGCCTTGATTATGGAAAAGCGTCTTTTATTATCAGCCCTGGTTCTCAAGCCTGGAGCAGATGGTGCACCATCCCCAGCTTTCCCGCCCAGCATTTCCCTATGAACAGCCTACCCGTGTTCCCTGAATGCGCCGCTCTCCTCGCTCTGGGCTTCCGAGCACGCTTGTCCACTCTGGCTGGAGGACCCTACTCCACTTCCCACCTGCACGTGACGAACTCCCCTCCCTAGCCAGGTCTCTGAAGAGAGGCCATTTCTTCAGAGAAGTTCTCCCTCCTTTGTGCTCCCAAAGCCATATGGCAGTAATCTCTGGATGTGACAGTCTCTTGAAGTCTCCTTAAGACCTAGGACAGGGTCATGCCTCCTGCTGTATTCCCAGAGCCTGCCACAGAGTGGATGTCCAAAACTATGTTTCGAATGGATAACTGCTGGTAGACTCACAAAACTACCAAAGTCCTCTACACCTTCCGGCCTGATATCCCTGCTACTAGATTTTCATCTGACTTTGTTTTTTTTCCTCTCGAGAAGGAGGATGGCCAGCATCTCACACATAATTACCCACATGTAATTAACACTCCAGACACTGTGCAAGATCCAGCATTTCACCTAGTCCTCACAGCAGCCCTGCAAATCATAGTCCCTGCTTTTTGTAACTGAGGAACCGGAAGTCCGACAGGTAAGTAACCTTGCCCAGAGCCACACAGCTAGTACACAGTGGGTTTATGAAACGAACCTCATCTTTTAAAGGTCTCGCTCCATGCTTATCCCACTCAAAGCAATTAGGAATTCCCAAAGAACCAACTCCCACTCGTGCAAACTAACACAGATACGCTCCAGAACATAAAATTGAAGTGAGATTCTACTTTCCAGTCATACGCACGTCCACTGAATGCCTGGTGTCTCAGATTCCTGAAATGAACACTGCCAATCAGGATGATGCAAAAGAACGGAGGCAGTGCCCCAAGATGGTTTCACCCTCCCATTCAGAATAGAGCACAGTCGAGAAGGGAAGCAATGCGGGGACCCTCAGCCTGGTGTTCATCAAGGCGAGGTTTTAGCGGCAGATTTGCCTTCCTAATTACACTTTGCTTGGGCTCCTGTTCCCTGCTCACGCAACAGCTGGCACCAAAAGGCGGTGACTCAAAAGCTTACCAGGTGGTCAGAACAATCCCCCCAAGATTTCAAATATGCTTCAATCAGTCTCTTGGGACTGATTGACAGGAGCCAGCCACCTCCCACAGGCAGGGCTGGGCTAGGCAGGCTGGACCCACACCAGCCTAGGGCCACCAGCTGTAAGGTTTCTTTTCTCAAAGCCAGTGATCTTGCTAAAATATAACATATTCCGTTCTTCCAGGGTCCTGGACAAGTTCTCAGACCCAAAAGGAACACAGGTCTGGCCCAGCCCCCCCAGGCAGGGCAGACAGAGCCACCCTTCGGAGCAGATAAAAACTGAGAGAAGCTTCCAAGCCAGGAACGTCAATTTCTCTATTCTAACCACAGCATCTATGGTCTCAAGGACCGTAAGCTGTATGTGGCACACCCAAGCACCCACGCTGTTGAAGCCTCAATAACTAGCACAGTATCTGCCACACAACGGTGGCTAGATACAAATTTTGTCATCAATGGAATAACGAAGGACACATTGTTAATTTTTTGGCCAAAAAACAAAACGAAATGTTTTTTAAAACCCGCTCCCCTCCCACGACGGGGACCACTTCTCCTTCATCTTTTCTCCATGGTTCCAGCCTTCTAGCTCCTCCAGAGTACCTCCTTCCAGGGACACAAAGAGGAGACTCTCCCTCCAGGGAGACCCCGAGGACCCAGCCTCTAGTGCTGTCACCGCTGGGGACTCAGGCCCCCAGCCTAGGCCAACTCCCAGAGCTCAGCAAGCTCTTGGGGCTTCCTTGCCCTTACCCAGATCCTTGAAAAGCATCTTATCCAGCACAAGGCATTTAACCTGAGCTGTAATAACTGACGCCCATTAAAACTGTGACGCTTCCCAGGATGCCTGCATTTTACTATGTGGTAAACCCCGCACAGGCAGGGACTGGGTGCAGGTCTGCTTGCCAGTGTTTATCCATCATCAGCTGCAGAGCTGGATACACACTACACCCTTGGTACATACTAATCAAACGAATACAGTTAAAGAGAACCAAAACATCGATCTAAAAAGAAAGACTAACTCTGGGACCCCAGGAACTCCACCAGAATTGGGGTAGCAGGGTCTTCCCAAGGCTGGGAAATAATCCCAGCGGTGACCCATTTTGCCACCTTAAAGCCTCAGCCCTCCTGGTTTGAAGTAGCAGCTTCCCATGTCCCTCTAAGGACTCTGACAGCACCACACATGCAGGGAGCTGCCGCTCCTGGGCACCTGCACTGCCTGCACAGGCTTCGAGAAGACAGCAGCGGGGACACTGCAGGAGTGAGCTGATGTCTCATGGGACCACAGCAACAAGGAGGGGGGCAGGGGGTGAGATGCAGTTGGGAGAAGGGCTTCCCCTGGGGCAGGCCCACCCCGGAAACAGCCCTCAGGCACCGTTGATGGTGAGGTGGACCCACCCTGGAAGCCGTCACTCACCGTTGATGGTGAGGTGGACCCAGCTGCCATTGTGGAAGGTGTCATACTGCTGGTCCAGCATGAGCACTTTGCACTCATACCAGCCCTGGTCCTCAGAGCGAACTTGTTCCAGCCGCAGAGATGCCTTATCATGAAGACTGGCCCGGCCTGGGGGAATAGAGCAGACAAAAGCCCCACAGGCCATCAGGTAAGGACAGCAGCTCCCCGCCCCCTGCCCCAGCTAAAGACAGGGGACTCATCATAATCTTCATACCATTCCCTATGGCAGGGCTCCAGAATAACAGCTGGCACCCACCTCCAGCAGCAGGTGGCAAAGGAAAGGGCATAGCACCTTGGCCACAGAGCCACTCTCCCGCCCCAGCTGGCCCTGCCCCAGCCTGCAAGGCAACTCAATGCACTTGGCATTGAGAGCAGCCTCAGTTCCCTAGAATACTCTCATTCTTTTGGAGGTCTCCTGAGACAAAAGTAAGGCATGATGGATACAGAGCTGTGAAGAGATGAAAGAGAGAATGAAAAAGTGCCAACAGAAGAGGATGGGTGGGGGGTCTCCAGCGCACCCGGGAGCACCTCCATTCAGGCTGAGCAATATCCCTATCCCAGCAGCATTTCCAGGACTACTGGCTCACCCAGCTTCCCTCTCTAGGGCAGAGGGAAGGCAGGCTGGGGTCCAGGATGCTAGGGTCCCCTCCCAGTCCTGCTGTCAGTGCCAGAGAGACTATGTATCCTACCAAAGCCCAGTGACCCCAGGAGATGAGGGCAGCAGGGCCCAGAAGCCTGAGAACAAGGAATGGGTTGGCCATCAGAGCAAACATCCTGGAGGCACCCTTCCTCAGCTCTAATCCCCTGCCCCAGTAGGATGCCATCTGTGTCTCACATGTGGCAATGAGGAGGCCAGAGGTGCAGAAGCCTCTTCCATGACGCCAGCAGGGTGGAGCAGCCCTCGAGGTCGGCCCACCTCACCCGCTCTTAGCTCACCCCTCACCGCAGCCAATATCACCACACCTCTGCTCTCCTCCTCGTCCTGATGCTGGCAATCTGCCTAAAAACTAGACTCTCAAAGCCAACCCTGGCCAAAAAGAGAGCATGAGACATGGGCACAGGAGCGAAAGAGGGACAGAGACGGAAGCATTCTGAGAAAGGCAGGGCAGACCTCAGAAGCCACCAGCAAAGATGAAAGTGAAGGCAGTGCCCTGCCTGCTTCCTCCCTTCCTTTCAACCCCAACAACGCTCGCTCAATGACACGCACACGCACGCACACACACACCCACGCCCTCCTCTCCCGCGGGCTGGGGGGCAGGCAGCGGCAGTGAGTCACGAGGCCTTTGCTGGCAGGAGTAACTGCCAAACAGGACACAGACGGGGCCAGGAGAAGGAGAGGACAGCATGACAAGGAGGCAGACACCAGGCACCTGCAAACGGTGGGAGGCCAAAGATTCATCCATACACTCAGGACGGGAAGGCGCCCCGACTTCAGAGCCAAGAGGAAAGGGGTGGGTGCGGCCAAGCAGGGAGAGCCGTGCTGGCCCAGGGCTGCCTGACTCAGTCTGCTGTCCTCTCCATCCCACTCTCCCACCCAGGCCTCTCCAGCTTCCCCTTTGGCTCCCAGCCCTCTCCACAGCCCAGGCGGTGCTGTTCAGAAGGCTTTACCCTGCCCCACCTCCACAGCCCTCTCCTCCCACCGCTTGATTAGAACCAACAGAGGACAAAGGATGGGAGGAACCAGGCAGAGACTGGGAAACAGAGATAAAGAGTGGTCAGGACAAGGCAGGGGCCAGAGGGGAACCACCGAGGAGCTGACTCCAGCTGGGGAAGGTGCGGGAGACCGGGTGCCCAGACCTTACCTGCATACTCAGGGTCCACGTGCGGCGGGTAGTAGCCAAACTTGATGAAGATAGGGATGGGGACCCCGAACTTGAACCACTCTACGACATAGGGTGGGGGCTGTCCCGTCACTGGGTGGATCACGTCGCATCGCAGGACCACGCTCTCCCCAGCTCTTGCCGTCACAAACTCGGGCTCCTCTCGCAGGCCGTGGGCGCCTGATGGGGACGGCCAGGTTGGACACAGAAAGGAGGTGACAAAGAGATCCTGCCCCAGCAGCCCCATGTCCGTGTCACAGGGTCACCCCGCCCCCCACCAGCTGCCCTCCATGGGCCACCGTACCCTCCCAGGAGGGTCCCAGGCACACCCTCCATCCCTCTCCCCCTCGCTGCTCATACCTCCCTCTGTCCTGGGGCCCCCAGGCATCCACAACTTGGGGGAAAGGAAGGGAGAGGAAAAGAGAGGGAAGCCATTCTCTTCAGCCCTACACGCCAGCTCTTCCCTCCCCAGTCTCAAAGAGCCGCAGGCGTCATCCAGCCCCACCCCCTGCTGGCATCCTGCCCCAAGAATTACAAGGAGTCCAGGACATGGAGGTGAGGGGCCCGGCCCCCTCTGGAGGCCCACGGCACTGCCCAGTTGTGGCCGCTCGTGCACAGGGAACATTCTTTCTGCTCCAGGACGCCTGCCACTACAGCCTGGTGGGAAATGACAGAGCCAGCCTTCCTCCTCCACCCCACCCCCAGCTCAGCCCGATGTGCATGGCACAAAACAAGGGTACTCCATGCAGGAGCAGGGAAATCCCTAACAAGCTCAGCCGAGGCTGCTCGTGGCAACACCAGAGGGAAACCCCGCAGGCTGAGCCGGCCTCTCCAGCCCCTCCTCCCAGCACAGTTCTGCCAGCCCTGCCGCAGAGGGGGGAGTGGGAGGGGCCCAAGCCCCAGACATCACCATTAGGAGAGCAGGATGCTGGCGACAGAGGAGGGAGATCCCAGGGCTGTCCCCACGTTGGGCAGAGGAAAACGAAATCAGACGGTGGGATAGGGAACACCCACCCTGGCTGGCAGCAGAGAGGGCGAGCAAGGCAGCAGGCGGGAGGACCACCCCTGCCTCCACCCCACCACAAGCTAGAGGACGCCGCAGAGAGGAAGAGCCACGCACCCCAAGCGCCGCAGCACCACTCCTGGGCCCAAAGAAGGCATGCAGCCCTCCTCCCACGCCAGGCTCCACTGCCAGGCAGGGCCAGGGAGGCCACAAGGTCACCTTGTCCAGTAACGTCCCAGGGAAAAGAACAGCTGAGGGGAAGCCTCACCCCCTTCATTCCCTGGTACTACCCCCTACTGCCAGTTGACCACAGCTTTCCCCAGCCCCAGACCCTTCTGGTCCCAGGCCGGGCACCCGACTCTCCAGGGCAGCACCTAGGACAGCAGCTGCAGTACCGAAGCGGCAGCTTAAAGACAGAGAGCCAGCTGGGGACTCCCGCAGGGGAGGATGCCCAGAGGAGGGCAGCACCAGCCCCTGCCATTCCCCATTCCGGTGCCTCGGTCTGACTCTCTCTGCATCTCGGACCCCTGTGTGCACCTCGCTGTCTCTTATCCCTTCATGTCTGTGTCTGGCCACCTCTCTGTGTCTGTGCACGCACACACACATGCTGGGCTCCTCTGTGTTTGTTCTCTCTCTCTCTCTCTCTCTCTCTCTCTCTCGCATCTCTGGATCTCTGTTTGTCTGTCTTACTGGTTCCTCTGTGTGTCTGTCTGTCTGTCTCTCTCTAGCTCCTTCTCTGGATCTCTGTTTGTCTGTCTGCCTTGCTGGCTCCTCTGTCTGCCTGTCTGTCTGCCTATCTGTCCTGCGGGCTCCATTTCTGCATGTGTCTGTCCGTCCATCTCTCTCTGGCTCCTGCTCCTTCACCATGTCTTTCTGTGTCTCCCTCTGTCTCTTTCTCTCTAGCTCTTGCTCTGTGTGGGTGACTGTGTCTACCTGCCTATCTCTCTCCCTGTTTCTGTCTACCAGCATGTGTGCGTGTGTGTGTGTGTGTGTGTGTGTGTGTGTGTGTCTGTGTGTGTTTCGGTTGGCTCATGCAAGGGGAGGGGTTCTGCCTGCTTCTCTGTATGCAAGGGCTCCGTCTCTGCATGTATGTACTTCTGTGTCTGTGGCTCTCCGTGTCTGTCTGTATGTCATCTCTGTGTGTCTTGTTCTCCCCCTCCCCCTCCCCTGCAAGTTGCGGAAGAGGGAGGAGGCAAGCCCTTCCAGAAGCTGATTGGCTCCCGGTGACATCACAGTTTTCTAGAGAAAGAGCTAAGATCACAGAGTATTTTTGGAGCAGAGCAGAGCATTGCACTCACCTGCCTGAGGCCCCAGCATGCTTCCCAATTTCCCCCACCCCCAACCTTGCTTCAGGCTAAGTTTGCAACCCAGCCCCTCAGGGAAAGCAGGGAGAGTGCCCAGCTGCAGCCTCACCTCCCCCACAGCCCCAGGGGCCCTCAGCAGGAGAGGCTGCCTCCCAGCAGCCAGGATCACAAAGGCGGATGCTGGACCAAGAGGAATGGGTGAATAATGGGTGCCATGAGTTTGCAGAGAAGCTGTGTGTGTGTGTGTGTGTGTGTGTGTGTGTGTGTGTGTGTGTGTGTCTACAGCACACACCTGTGAGGAGATAAGAAACTACAAGAGCCTAGGGGAAGAGGAGGGAGTTATTCCCAGGTGCCAGGTTACCTGGAGGAGGGCAGAGTGGGCAACAGAAGGTGGTTCCTTCCCAGGGCTTTGGCCCAGGCAGGAGGAACAGAGGCCTAGGGGGACAGCAGGCACCTCCAACAGTGGAGTTTGCTCTGGTGAGCTGGCTTCCAGGTGGAGGGCTCTAGCGGGCAACGCCAGGAGGTGGGTTGGCTTTGACGTGGGTTCCCGCTGTGAGGCTGCTCATTTGCACCGAGCCAGCCTCATTTTCACTGCACAGCAACGAGGCAGGCTCTTCAAATCTTCCCCAGCGCTGGGATTCCACCCCAGCCCCAGCCAGCCCCTGGGCTAAGCGCTGAGCACCCAACCCAAGGCCTACCTCCAAGGCAGGCCGTCCCCTCCCAGCATCTCTTCCCAAAGACCCTTTCAACCAGGGAGAGGCAGCTGCAGAGAGGACACATCCCAAAGAGGATAAGCAAGACAAAATGAGAGGGAGCTTCCCCAGAATAAAGCAGTGGTGTGGGCGCCCATGTCCTGGCCTCCACCCTCGCTCCAAGCCCTCTTGCTTTTCTGGATCCTAGAATATTTATTGGTTTTCTGTCATCTCCTTCACACACACATGCGCACGCACACACACACGCACGGCATATTCTCTCACTCCATCACCCACAAGCACTTCTCCCTAAGCCTGATCATTTCTGAGCCAAAGTATGTCTAATAACACACTCTCTCCAGAAAAGCTCAATATGAAAAAAAGTAATCAGGCTAGCAGTAAAGAGGGAAGATGGAGGATAGATAGAGAAACCCAAATACAGGGGGAAACCAAACCCACATCCAGGAGCAAAAGAGGTGCAAAGTGGAGAGCAAAGAGGAGAGCAGAGGAGGGGCCAGGTGTGGAGCCCAGCCCTGGGAGGGTGAGTTCAGGCCAGCTGGACACAGACACACCTGTGTGTGTCTGTGTTCTGTCAGAACACCCCAGAGCCTGGGTGGGGGCAGATGGAGACTGGAAGGGGGAGGGGCTGGCTCCTGAAGGGAGTGGGGAGGAAGGGGAGGAAGAGAGGAAGGGGAGGGTGGAGTGTGCTGAGCCCCTCTCCATCACAGCAGCTCAGAGGGGCCAGGCTCCCCCCTCAAAGGGGGAAAACCAGCATTGTCAGGAGTGGGCACAGGGAAAGGCACCATAGGTCTCACTCTCTTTAGAGAAGGCCAGAAATAGCGGTGCCCAGAACCTAGTAAATCTGTATCTTGGGGGTGTGTCCAGCTCCCTTTGGAGCAGTTATGGCGGGGAAGAGAAAGTAGGAGGGCAAGGAAAGATAAGGCAGCCCCCAGAGGTCTGGCTGACCTTTTGGGAAGCCCACAGGGTACAAATCTCCTGCTCTCTGGGCCAGGTGGTACCCAGTGGGTGGCTGAGTCCAGGGCTGCCGTTGGACCCCTGTGCAGAACCATGAGGCATCCAGGGCCTGGCACAGCCCATGTCTAGCACTCACAACCCGGAGCTCCTCCGCCGGGGAAGGGCTGGGGAAGGAGGGTGCCTGAAAGCAGGACTGCTCTGAATACGGAGGAAGGTGTGCAGGGCAAGGTGTGAGGAGCAGGGCCGGGCGAGCATCAGCTGGCATGCAAGCCTCGCGTGCTGTGAATGCCTGCTGCACCCTAGGCTCTGTGCTGGGAACGCAGGGAATCTCAGTCCCTGCCCACAATGGCCTCCTGACACACGCACCGCTGTCTCCCATTGAAAAATGAGCAAACGGGGAGTTGCGCCGCTCACCCAAAGTTACTAGGTTCCAGCTGTGCCCGATGCACGGATGGTGTCCCTATCCTTCTCAGAAAGCAGGTGGGGCAGAGGTCATCCTGGCCCAACCCAGGCGCCGGGATCAAGGCCTTTCACCCACTGAGCCTCACTTTTCCCTTTCTTAGGGCCTGAGCCAGAGGTCGGCAACTCCAACCCCACACTGGGGACAGGTTTTGCCAGCCCAGACCCTGAAGCCTAGGACCATAGGGTGGGCCTGTCTCAGAAGGCGGCCGGGTGGGCTCTGACCAGCTCTGAGGAGCCTGGCCTTCTGCCTGAGACTCTGAGACCCCTAGCTGGGTCTGGCTGGTGGCTGGGGAAGCGGGGAACGGAGTGAGCACCAGCATCCGTTGCTCATTAGTACAAGTCCTTATTGCAGCCTCCTCCTCCTCCTCCTCCTCCTCCTCTGGGCACCAGACTTCCAAACCACAGGCCTGTTGTCTAATAATACCAGCGACAGCCACCGCCACCTCCATCTGCCAGCCTAAAAATAATCCCTGCTGAGTCCAAAAAAGGCACAGCCCCCAATAGTCCCCCAACCCCTCCTCCCTGACAAGCCAGGAGGCTCCAGGAGATTCCAGGAAGCCGGCAGACCCGGGGCTCTCACAAAGTGGGAGGCACACGCCCAGAGGAAGGCAGGAGGAAGGCGGGACCCAAAGCACAGCGAACACCCAGAAAGGACGAGGCGGCGGGGGAGAGACCTGGTCCAAAACGCCGACGGTGTCCTGTTCTCCCTGCAGGAAGGCAGACGGGTACGGGTTGTTCTGGACAGCCTTCTGCCTGCGGGAAAGCCCCCACACCCAACCCGACAGCACCTCAGAGCATTTCCACCCTTCAGTGATCTCCCCTTCATGCCCTCACAGCCCTCCCGGCCCCCACGCGCCACCAAACCTCTCAGGTTCGGAAGCCACGGGTCAGGGAGCCCCAGCCGCTCCTTAAGGAGAGAGAGGCACTGGGGAGGTGCAAGCTCAGCAGGCTCCTTCCTTCTGCGGGGGCCGCTCCGGCCCTGAGCCTTCTCGGCTGGGCTCCCCCAGCAGCTGTGAGGCCGGGATGCTATTAGCAACCTTAATTTGCTCTCGGCTAGATTGTATTTCCAAGAGTCCTTTCCCCAGGAGCCACTGGCAGGAAGGAAGTCAGTAATTCAATCTCTGCTCCACTCCTTTAATGGCTCCTCAGCAGAGGCAAAGCCACACCCCCACTGCCCCTCTCCCCACCTGGGCAGAGGCCTGCCCGGCACTCACAGGGCCCAGGTGCACGCGCCCCTGCAGCCGGCAGGCCGCCTGGCCAACTGAGGGCACCGTGGGCTCGGCCCCCAGGAGGCTGGGCTCCGTGGTAAGATGCCAGATAGAGGCAGTAAGTCCGTGGGAAGCCGAAGTCCCATGTTTACTCCCCGGGCAACATCAACATTCCTACTCCAAAGCCAGAAAATGAAGACAGTGACTCACCTCGTACAGTCTGTGCCTGTGTGCAAGTCACAGGCCCCCGCTCCATCTCGGGGGCACACACGACCAGGAGGGAGGCAAGGGGCCACAGAGGACAGAAAGCCAGGCTGAGCGGGACCTTCTCAGAAAGGACAGTCAGGCCGGCTGAGACTCCTCCCAGCTCTGGCGCACTCGGACTCTTTCTCCAGAGCCCTCTTGGAGGCCCCATCTCCTGCTTATTCACGCAAGAGAGAACAGAAAAGCAGGAAGATTCCCAAGAAAAATAGGTCAGCTGCCTCCAGCAGACTGGGCTCACACCCATGGGCAGCGCCTTTTGGGGAATGGGCATAAGCTGCCTATCCAACCCCAGAGTCCTCTGGAGTGAGCAACTGAGACACAGCCACACCCTCAGGGAGACAGAGAGGCCCTGGGCTGGGGCCTGCCACTCTGGTAACCTCTGTGCTGCCTAGACTGCAGCACCAAGGGCACCGTGGCAGAGTGGGAGGGGATATGAAGGCAAGAAGTTGGCTCCAAGGGTCTCTCTGCTCTCAGGGCTGCAGCACGGAGAGGAGTGGCCCCCACCTCGTGTCTGCACACTAACTTCCCCACCCTGCCACTCCACGCACGTGCACACAAACACACAGGCACTCAAGCACTTGTGGGCAGGCACACATACAGATTTCACATGTATGTGCACACAGGCATACATGCATGTGCATGCACACGTATGGGCACATGTGCACACACATACAGGTGTGCACACATATGCAATGCACATACATGCCAGCATGCATACACACAGGGGCACATATATGCACACATGCAGGGGCACACACATATGTACACATATAGGAACATGTGTGTATGCGCACACACATGTGCACATGTATGCATGTGCACACACACACACTTCTGGACAGCTGGAAGCTCTCAGCAGTTGCAGCTCTTTGACCATTCAGATCCACTCTTCACACAAGCTGCTTCACCTCTTCTAGGAAGCAGGTGGAAGGGGACCGCTCCCTAAGTACTCTGCACCCCAACCTGAGAAGGCCACAGGATGTGGAGAAGAGAGCTACCTTAAATCTCAGGCCCAGCCCTCTTTGGAGCTTATCTCCCACCCCCACATCTTGAAGCACCCAGCAGGGCTGAGGAAGAGAGGGCCAAGGAAGAAGACACAGCCAGCACCCTGGCTGGGGAGAAGGCAAAGGTACAGGAGGTTGGAGTGAGGGCCAGAGTGATGCTGGGGCTCAGAATCTTCCAGCGAGGCAGCCTCTGCTCCTCTGTAACCAGATTCCAGCCTTCTGTCTCAGAGCCATAAACACGAAACCACTCAAGGTCTATCTAGGACCCTGCAACTCCAGGACCAGCACATGCAGGGCCACAGGCCCGCGGCTGAAAGCTGATTGCCCTCTGCCCCTCAGCCAAGCCCTTCTCACATCCCCGTCTCCCCAGCTTCCCACAGGGCACAGGCTGCCAGACACACTCCTGTCCCCAGCATGTGTGTGCTGAGGATACACACACACATCCATCCAGCCACTGACCACTTCCTGAGTGAAGTCCTTCTCAGCCGATAGGCTCACCACGGGGTCTTGATAGCAACCTCTGAGTCCAAACCTCCACCCTCCCATCTTCATTACCAAAAGGAAGCATAGGTCAAGGCCAGGTAGAAAGTAGAGGGCAATGGCCCAACTACCAGCAGGATCTGAGTCAGAACCTCACTGTATTTGGGGACACTGTAGTCAGGGATAATGTAACGACAGAATCTGTGGCAGACAGAGGAGGCAGCCGTGGGAGTAAAGTCTGGGACTTTCCTCCCCTATCCAAGGTCCACAATCAGCTAAGCACGGCCCAGGGTCCTCCCACAGAGTAGGAACTCCCCCGGGCTGGCTCAGCAGCCGTCTGAGATACTGAGTGCACACCAATCACTGTCTTCCAGGTTCTGGGTACCACTCCAGCCCCTCTCTTCTCCACACTTCCCCAACCTGTCCACTGACCTTAATCACCTCCCAGGCACACACACTCAAAGTCAAAAGGAGGAGCCCATTCCAACCTCTGTCCCGCACCCGAGGGCTGATGGAGTCGGGTCCCAACACAACATCATCCCTTTCCCCCTCTGCCAGAGCAGCCCCTGCTATGGCCAAATCCTAAGGGTGGCATCTCAAAGTCCCTCCTGCTGAGGGACTGCCCCAGAAGTCACCTCTGCCAGTCAGGGAACAGCTGAGCTCTCACAGGGAGACTCAGCAGCATGTGGACACTGGCTGGTGCTGCTCACACGAGCGGGCGCCCACCCGCTCTCTCCAGAGGCTGTGTGTTGCAAGCCCTCACTTCCCGGGCTGTGTCCTTCCATAAACCTCTGGCCACCAACAACACTCCAGCTTTGGAGACCTTGCAAAGGACTTCCGAGCAGCTTTGAGGCCCGCACATCCTGCACACGTGTCCCTGGGATGCCAGGGACAAGAGGTTCTGCCCAGACAAGGTCAGCCCAGAAAGGGGTCTTACTTCCTGACACAGGCAGCCTTCTGAACTTCCCCGCAACACATTCTCAGCTCCTAGTGCCCTGAATGGCCCAAGGGAAAGAAATTGAGGAGGATCTTGGAATCCCAGGGACACTGAGAAAATAATGTTAATGTTTACTGAGCACGTACTATATAACAGGTAGTTGTTTTGTTTCCTTATAACACTCATGTCCACCTAAAAACCCTAAAAGTACATGCTATTGGCACATTTTCTATTGAAGCAAGTGACATTTAGAGAGGTTGAGAATTTGTCCAAGGTCACAGGGTCGGCAGGTGACACAGCCAGAATCTGAATCCCAGTCATATGGCTCTAGACCTAGGTCCTTAACTACCACACACAGAGCAATTGAGGCTAAGAAAGACCCCAAGACCAGCAAGGTCACCCTCTGCTTCCAGACAGGGGTACATGTCCAGCCATTCCAGACAGAAGGACCCCTCTGCACCCTGAAAGAGGGCATAACCTTCATGCCAGGCAGCCTTCAATTTTGGGAAGCCCTTCCTTCTATCTTGCGATTCTGCGTGTTGCTGCAGTATAAACTCACATTCCTTTATTCTGGGCTGAAACTTGCAAAGAAGTCCATTGCCCACCCTGACTTAGGTTCGGAGGCTATTTCAGAGCCTTCCTTCAGCGTCTCTTTTCTATTCAAAGATCCCAGCTCATCCTTTTGTGCTTTCAGGGACAGTCCCATAGCAGGAACATACCAAAAACGGGAGGGGAGGAGGATGCGGGCATTGGAAGACGGCAAGGAAATGGGGGAGAGGATGAGGCTACAGGCAGACTGTCAAGCGCAGCCCGATGCACCTCACATCCACCCCCCGTTCCGTAAGCTTCCGCCATCACCCTTGCCTCAGTGTTCCCACCTGACAAATGAAGAGTTTTAAAACCGTCCGGACCAACATGTCAGTTAACAAAATCACCCTTCGCTTCGCCCTCTGCTCGTTCTGTTTTCAGACACCACCACCCCCCTCAGAAGCAGAGGCGACATATTCATTCCATTCCGGAAAGTTTCCTGAAGCACGCCCCCCTGCACAGACGAGTGACGAGGGGACCCCGTGAGAGGCGCCTCCAGCCCACCCGGCGCCCCATGCCGCTGGGAGAGGGTTCTCTGTCGGCGAGTCCTGCCTGCTGACTCCCACCCACAGCGGGTTCTCTCCCGCCGCCATCTCCTCCGGCTTGGTGAACTTGCCCGCAGCCGGGTCGTGTCTGCGCGCTGACAGCCCTGAGCTCACAGTCCTGGCACCCTCCAGGCTCCGCTCCCACTTCCATACAAGGGCCGAGAGCCGGGGGTGCCACCCAGAGGCTTGTAGGTCGCTCTGCCCATCTCCAAAGCAAAAGCCCGCGCGCTCACGCACGCATCACCCAACTCGGTGGCTCCCCCCTTGCGTCTCCCCCAGCTCAGACCCAGGAAAGCGGAAAGAGAAAATCCCCCCTCCGCTCGGATTCACAGCGTGGGGACCCCCCCTTCCCCGCCCCTCCCCTCCCCCGCCGCCGCCCCCAGCCAGCTCTGCCTCGCAGCCTGGGGAGGGCGGCGTGGGGCCCGCGCGGCTGCGGCGCGCTCCCGGGGAACTTTTGCCTGGCCGGGGCCCAGGTGCGGCTGAGAGGCGCGGGGGCCGGCGGGGTCCAGCCAAAAGCGGACACACCTCGAAGCTGGCCTCATCAATCCTCCTCTCACCGGGCGCCCCTGCTAGGGGGATCCGACCTCCAGCTGCCAAGATGTGTGGGCAGGAGGGGCGCGAGCGGAGCGATGGACGCCCGCAGGGCCGCGCGAACCCGGGGCCTTAGACGCGGGTGCCGCCAGTCCCAGGGATCCTCCGGGTCGCGCCTCCCTGCAGGCGCTCCTCGCGGCGCGGGGCTCTAGCGTGCTGCAGCCTGCCCGGAGACCGCAAACTCCCGCAGCCAGAGTTTCCCGCAGCTCTGGGAGGCGGCCGCCGGGCAGGAGGCGACGGGCTAGGCGCGCCGGTGTGCACCGTGGGGCCCGTGGTGGGCGAAGTCGACCCAGGTTCCACTGCGTCCTTTCCCCGAGTGCCCGGCAGCCCGTGGGCTCTGGCCCCTTCCCGCCCGCCCCTCCAGCCCACGGCCCCCAGGCCCTCCCCGGCAATGCTCCCGGGCCGCCTGGCCCGCGTCGGAGCCCAAGCCTCACCCGCGGGAAGGCGCGCCGGGGAGCTGGGGAACCGGGGGGCCAAGGAGCCGGGAAACCGAGGGGCCGGGCGCGAGGGGCCGAGGGCGCCGGGAGGGGCAGGGGAGGGACGCCGCACTTCAACTCACCTTCAGCCGCAAGCCCTCGGGTGCCGATCACACTTGCTATGAAAGTGGCCACATACCAAATCATAGTACTACCGCGCCAGCCCGGAGCCTCATCCTATCGCAAAGTGCTCCCGCGCCCGCACGCGCCTCGCGCCCGAGCGCCCGCCTCGCGCCCGCCTCGCGCCGCCTACGCCCCGCGCCGGTGCTCCTGCAGCCCGGGTGGCCAGCTCTCCATCCCTCCTAGGCTCCGCTCGGCTCGGCGCGCGCCTCCCCGGCCCCGGCGCAGCGGCACCTGCACTACTCGCCCGGGCGGAGCGCAGCCAGGTCCACGGTGAAGCCTAGCCGGGCCGGGCCTCCGGAACCGCCCCCGCCGCCCGCCTATTGGGCGCCGCCCGCAAGCCGGGGGTCCGATTGGCTCAGCCTTCCGCCCGTCGCGGCGCGAAGGAGGCGAGCCCATTTCAAGGTGCGTTGAAGTGTGGCGAGCACAGAGCCGCAGAATCATGCGCATTGCCGGGGAGAAGGTGGTATAGCGTCTCTGCCCGCTTCTCTCTCGGCTCACACTGCGTGGCAAGTTTCTGGTGAGGGAAATGGTAGCTTCTAACGGGACCCTGGCGGGTCTCAATTACCCCGGACAGGTCTGAGGGAAGTGGAGCCCCCGCCCACTCATGGAACCCAACATCCGGTTTCCATCCGGCAAAAAGCAGTTCCCGAGAGGACCATGCTGATTCTATGATGGGGAAACCCAGGAGCCGGCGGCCCGGGAGAGCCGGGGAACGTCCTTCGCCGGAGATCTTTTCAAAGAGGTCACGCGCCGCCTCCCCACCCCGTCTCCCTCCGCACCCAGACACGTCCCCAGAGCAGCGCACCACCCCCTCCAAACGTGATGCAGACCGGGGGATGACTAAAATGACCTCTCAAAGTCGCTAAGATTTAGAGTGAGTCATTGGCTCAGCTGCGAAGTGCCACAGACCCCTCAGGAACACTCGTGCACACACACTCCACCCCCAGTGCTGGTCACTGCTGCTCATCATTACTGAATCCCGACTCCAAGCAGTCAAAGTTGGGTCTTTTTCCCACTTCTCCTGATAAAGGCTGCTTCCTCACGCACATGGTTCCTCCCCTCTCCACCTTACTCGGAGCCCAGCCCCGACTCGGCCGCATGAAACCAAGATGGGTTTGGGGGAAGCTTTAGGAGTCTGGGATGGAGGAGACCCAGGGAAAGGGAAGGAGCTTCTCATCCTACAGAGGAATGTAAATAGGAAACTGGAAGGTCTTCGTATGTTCCAGTCTCCCTACCCTAGCCTGTCTGCTTCCCCTCCCCCAATACAGTTGTATTTGCAGAAGAAATAAATGAGTGTCATGGAAACATCTACTACAAACAATCACCTCACACCAGCGCTCAGAGGCTGCAGTGAAGATGTTTGTTCTTTCAAGGAGTGAAGGCAGTGGTAAGAATCACACCGCTCCCTGGGATGGGCTGTTGGCCAAGGAAGGAAGGCAGAGGGTCAGCGAGCGAGAGCTCAGGAATTTCATCCTCTCAAAGCACTCGTTAGCCACAAAGCCCTGGCTCCAGGACATGAAGCTCCCAAAACAACAAGAAGGAGACTTGCTTCTGGGAAAGCGTGCACACAGGTACACACACATGCACAAAAAGTGGCCTTGAACACCGGAGGTGGAGCATTCCCTGACACCGGAAGCCTCTTAGCTCACCGCCAGCTGGGAGGCAGAAAGAGGCCCCCAACAGAGCAGTCAGTGAGCACATGGATAAAGGTCGAGGGCCTGGATAGATCCAGAGAACCAGGACTGTTGAATAACCTTCTACCCTACCCACCCCTCCACCTGTGCAAACACACTCAAGATGCATAACTTGGGGCCATCTCTCCCTGAGCCATGATTTTGGTTCTCTTCTTGGGCAAAGATGCCTTTCTGGGGACAATGAAGTGAGCTGCTCCAGGTCTCATTGATGCAGTGATCTCCAGGTCTCATTGATGCAGTGATTTCCAGGTGGCATGACCCAGAATAACTCCACCCCCAACACACACACACACATATACATACACACACACTTACACACTTTCCCAGGGCCCCGGGACTGTAAAGACATATTGGAATCCATTTGCAGAATTGGTCATAACAGGATCCTTCTCCTCCCACAACCTCTAAGCAGCTAACTGTGGCCTAGAGAAAAGTGCCGGATCCACAAAGCCTGGCCCTAGTTCCTCACCATTGTTAGGTATGGAGTGGGAAACATCAGGTCTCAGAGAAACCCTCTCCTAGGGGCCTGCAGGGCAAGGAAAAAGATGGAGCCACTCTCACCACCCATCTTGATTGCTTTGTCTGGCCATCCATTTGTCCTACTCAGGGTTCTGCCTCCTGCTAGGAAAGTAGAACTGTCTGTCAGAATGGATGGCGGGCATGGAGGCTCATGCCAGTAGTCTCAGCTCCTCAGGAGGCTGAAGCAGGAGTATTGCCTGAGCACAGGAGTTCTAGGCTCAGTGATCATGCCACTGCACTCCAGCCTGGGTGACAGAATGAGACCCTGTTAAAAAACAAACAAAAACAACAACAAAAGTGTCTGTCAAATTGGAAAGAAAAAAACACGTAACAAGCTTTAGAACATGAGTTGGGTTGGGAAGGGGTTCGAAGGATCTATCTAAAGAGGAGAACAAATTTCTTCTGGATAATTCTACTGGAAACAGAGTGGAACAAGGGATGAAGGCAGAGAGGAAGGGGAAGAAAATTAAGATACAAAGGGAAAAGTTCGTCATCATCATCATCATTAGACATGTCTCAACTGGGTTTCAGATCAGCTAAAGAGAGATATACTGTATCAGCTTACAGTGAGGAGTGAGTCTGATCAAATCTTTTCCTCTTGGCGTATGGCTGAGCTTTGGACCCAGAAAGGATGGTTGCCCCTTCCTAGAATAGACACATCCAGTTGAGTGTTCAAGGGGAGCATGGACCCCAGATGTCCAAAAGGGACATGAGGGAGGAACATGAGCCACTTCCCTGCGCAGCTCCTAGGTGTACCTGAATGTCATCGATGTCACTAATAAATGCAGTAATATATCCAGGAATGCTATGTATATCAGATACGGGAGTGTCTGTCATCTTCTTTTAAGAGGTACTGACTTTTTGGAAATACAAAACAATAGTCTTATCAGTGTGTCTATGAAAAAAAACCAAATGTAGCCACCTACCTGCACATCCCAGAGGCCTTTGGAGGACATGTGAGAAAGGGGGCTGACAGGAGCTTCAAGTGTAGGAGAAGAGGAAACTATCCTCCTTCCCTCCTCATAGTCATCGAACAAGGAGGACTCAAAAACAATAGTTCACTTGTCTGTCACTTCTCACCTTCCTCAGTGGTTCCAGCCCTCATTGCAGAATCTAGGGTAGAACAATTGTTGGGACAGCTGCTTGTGAAAAGGAGAGGCAGTTCTAAATAAAAGCAGTTTACTCAACACAAACACCAAAGAGCGTGTTTAGTGTTTACATAAATAGGGAACTGTATCAGTTGTCTTACCGTGTAAAAACCCAGCCCAAAATATCATGGCTTAAAGCAAGAAGGCTCATTCATTTGCTCTTGAATCCGCAATTTGGACACTGGCTGGTGAGGACAGCTCTTCTCTACTTCATGTGGCATCAGCTCCACTGGGGTGTGGACCTTTCTCCTTTCAGGATGGCTTACTCACGTGGCTAGCAGGTTGACGCTGGCTGTTAGCCTGGGCTGCCAGCAAAGGGCTGTGATTCTTCCTCAAGTGGGCCTCTCTGCAGGCTGCCTGGGCTTCCTCAAAGCATGGTGGTTCCAAAAGCTGGCATCCCAGTAGAACCAGGTGAAAGGCATATGACCCTTCATATCCCAGCCTTGGAAGACACCTAGCATCACTTCCATCAGGGTCAAAAACCTGCCCCAATTCAAAGGGAGAGGACACAGTTCCCCACCTCTCAATAGAACAGTGGCCCTGTCACTTTTTTTTTTTTTTAGACGGAATCTTACTCTGTCACCCAGGCTGGAGTGCAGTAGCGCAATCTCAGCTCACTGCAACCTCCGCCTCCCAGGTTCAAGTGATTCTTCTGCCTCAGCCTCCCAAGTAGCTGGGCCTACAGGCACATGCCACCACATCCGGCTAATTTTTGTATTTTTAGTAGAGACAGGGTTTCACCATATTGGCTAGGCTGGTCTCGAACTCCTGACCTGGTGATCCACCCACCTTGGCCTCCCAAAGTGCTAGGATTACAGGCGTGAGCCACCGCACCCGGCCCCTGTCACATTTTAAGAAGAACTTACGGGATGGGAGAGAGTGTTGCAGCCATTTCTGGATGATACAATTTGCAATGAAAACAGTCTTCAAAATTGAAGGAAAAAAATGACTGCTAGAAGAAATATCTAGAAAGAAAGGTATATATTAGAGTTCTCCAGAAAAAATAGAACTAATAGGATTGATATAGACATCAATATTGATACCAATATACATATAGAGATATAACGGGAGGTATTATAGAAATTAGCACATGCAATTCTGGAGCCTGAGAAGTCCAATGCTATGCCATCTGAATGCTGAAGAACCAGAGAAGCTGGTGGTATAATTCAGTCTGTGTCTAAAGACCTGAGAACCTAGAGTTCTGATGTCCAAGGGACAGGAGAAGCTACCCCAGCTCCAGAAGAGAGCAATTTGCCCACCCTCAGCCTTTGTTGCTCTATATGGAGCTTTGATGGAGGGTAGGATGATGGCTGCCCACGCTAGTGAGGACAGACCATCCTCACTCAGCCTCCCAATTCTGTCGCCAACCTCTTCCAGAAGCACCCTCACAGACACACCCAGAAAGAAAGTTTTGTGAGGTATCTGGGCAGCCCTTACCCTAGTCGACATCTAAAATTGACCAACACAAAAGGGCTTGGCATATAGTATCCGATCTCAGAGTTTTCTCCCTTTGAGTCAAGCTACCACTACCAGTCCCAGGTGTCAGGGATGTACGCTTGATCCTTACAGAAGACTAGCCTGTTTGTGAAGCAGATCCTTTCACCTTGCTTTCTCTTAATACACCAGAGACCAGTCAGCATATTTTAAAAGAACTTGGAGGAGAGAGGAAAATAAATAAAATTGCATTTCTGAAACATAAATATATAATCTTAAGATCTGACGCAGAAGTGGAGAAAAGCTTTGCAAGGGTCTCAAGCCCTCTCACCGTAAGAATTGTTCATCTAGGCTCAAAATCCTCCCACAACGTTGCAAGCACCTCACATGGCGTTCGTCTCTCCTGGCTCCCCGCTTGTCTCTTGGGTGGGTGGCCTCTGGTCTTAAGTTGTTTTTCTGGACCCAAGTAGATATTCTAACCATCCATCTTGCCCTCTCCAAATATAAATTCCTGAATACTTTGTCTTATTCAAACGCAAACTTCATTATGAGTCAAATTTACCAGGTTGGGCATGGTGACTCACCCCTATAATCCCAGCACTTTGGGTGGCTGAGGCAAGAGGACCGCTTGAAGTCAGGAAGTTGAGACCAGCCTGGGTAACAAAGCAAGACCCCATCTCTACAAAAAAAAAAAAAATTTTAAATTAGCAGCACGGTGGCATGCTCCTGTCGTCCCAGCTACTTGGGAGGCTGAGGTGTGAGGATCCCTTGAGCCCAGGAGTTCTGGGCTACAGTGAGCTATGATTGCACTACTGTACTCCAGGCCAGGTGATAGAACAAGACCCCATTTTAAAAAAATTGCTACAATGTCCAGAGTTCTATTGAGGTGCAATCTCCTCTGAAGGCCACAGCTTGGTTAGGTGGTGGTAACAGACCCAGAGACTGATCCAGCCCTTCCTAGCTTAAGATACCCGTTCCGACCACCATAGGATCATTTTATATTTCATCCAGATGAGTCCACAGCCCAGGAAGAGGATCTACCCAAATCCCATCCATTGCAGGGTGCAGCCTAATGTTGCTTCCCTGTGCTCTCACCATCCCGCGCATACGGCAGAGGTAACATGTATGCTAACTGCTGCCCACATATGCAAGTGGGCAGCAGATGACACTCTCTCAGAACCTGTCCTGGTCATTTGTGTGTGCACAGGTATAAACATGCATCTCTACAGAGCAGAATTCTCTCATGCTGAGCCTGAAGTCCAAGTTCTTAAAGATTTGTTTGTGGCAATGTAGTAGAAATTAATGATAAAGAAACTAGAATTTTAGCTGAACTGTATTCATTTCTTGCCTGGCTGAGAAGGGAGGAGTCCTTGCCCAAGGTCGAAAGTAGACCTATAATTTAGGATAAGTTTATTTGAAAACTAGGTGGACAGCACCCTCAGCCTTACTAATCCCTCTCCTCTTTCTTCTAGGTGTTCCAGGCCAGCTCTGAACAATCTCAGAGAAAACATATTTCATTGTTGTGTGACTTAAGGTAGGACTACAGAAAGGAAGTTCATTACTCTGCATGAAATTTGTCCCATAGAACTCAGGAGCCCTATATAGATAGCCCTGCTTGTGAACTGCCCCCCAGGAACATTTCACCCACACTGTTCAGCAACTCCTCACCTCGCCAATGTCTGCATCATTAAAAATGTTGTTCTCAGGCCTCCTGGGGCTACCCTGGCCCACCTGAGTATGCCCTTGTCTGCCCATGGCCACAGGCCCCAGCTGCAAGGCGCAGTGACAGATGAGCAGAGCGAACCTCACTCAAACTCTTGGCATCCAGAAGTCTGGAAGACAGCTAGAATCAGGGCTCCACTGCACCATCCAGCTCTGGCCCCAGCAGCCCAAAGGTGTGGGTCATTCTCTTTGTCTGAGTTCTACTTCCTCCATCTGGAAAAGGGACCGTAGAAGGTAGTGGGAACTAAGGCCCAGGAGAGAAGGATCTGAAGACTCTGATGGGCAGTTTCTTTGTCACAGACTCTCCAGCAGCCCAATGTCATGGCCCTGTGATATGATACAGGAAGAAAATGAGACCTGGCTTTCTCCCCAAGGCTTGAATAGCCAGAGATTCTAGTACAGCACAGACCTTCCACAGAGGCACATGGAGTCCTGGACTCAGGCAAATGGCAACCTTGAAACTGCCAAAAGGTGGACTCGAGCAGTGGCTCAAGAAGCTGTGAGGAGTCAGCCAAGGAGCAAGCCATGCTAGAATGCCAGAAACAGACAGGCCCAGGGCCTACGCTCAAGAAGCACCAGCAGAAGGGATTCCACAATGAATGAGTAGCACCTGGACACCAGCCTGCAGTCAGCACTGTGCTAGGCCCTATGGAGAACACCAGAGTGACCAGCCACAGTCTCAGTCACTCAGGACCTTGGCACCTGGATGGAAAAACAAGGCTGACCACATGAACGGCACTTACTAAACTCTGTCTACACCATCGCAAGAGTGATGATGGCCCAGACTTGAATTGCAGTAGAACAGGACAATGGCGCCGTGGCTCATGCCTGTAATCCCAGCACTTTGGGAGGCCGGGGCAGGCGGATCACCTGAGGTCAGGAGTTCAAGACCACCCTGGCCAACATGGTGAAACCCCATCTCTACAAAAAATACAAAAAATTAGCCTGGCTTGGTGGCAGGTGCCTGTAATCCCAGCTACTCGGGAAGTTGAGGCAGGAGAATCACTTGAACCCGAGAGGTGGAGGTGGCAGTGAGCCGAGATTGTACCATTGTACTCCAGCCTGGACAACAAGATGGAAACTCCATCTCAAAAAAAAAAAAAAAAAAGAAGGAAAAGAAAATGGAGATGGTGCAGATGGTGAGGGCTGAGTGAAGGAAGTGAGGTCTGAGCTCAGTCTTCAAGAAAGGAGAGGGAGAGACGGAATGGAAGAATAAGAGACTGCCAGCCAGGAAAGCTGCTGCTCTGAAACTTGCTGAGGTCAAGGGGCTGGCCTGTGCAGCACCTAGCCAAGTGGGCATTCCCTAAAGATGTGTGGCAACCGAACGTGCGGAAGTGGCAAGGAGGTAGCCCGGCTGGTCAGTGTGTGGCACGAGGAACAGGCTTCCATGTTTAGAACAGAACTGTGTTGGGGGAGAATGAGGAAATAAGTCCACTCAGAAAGGTGGAAAGGAGGCATAGGCAAATGGGGCGAGTTGTAGGTTAATTTGGAGGGAGGTGGTGAGAAACAGGTCTGGGTGGAAGGAAATGCTGAGGAGAAAGCACCTCTCTTGGCCGAAACAAAACTGAAGCCGAGGGCACAGAAGTGGGGGCTGGAGAGAGGAAAGAGGCCCTCGCAGGGGTGTGGGGGGCCTGCGCTTCTGCTTTGGGCCTGCAGATGGATAGGCTGGGGGTGGGGGAGGAGACTGGGCCCTGGAGCCACAGCTGGAGGGCTCTAGGGGGTCTATTCTTGTACCCATTCGACCCCCAGACCTCTCATTCCCGGACCTCTCCACACTGAGCTCTCAACACCCACACAAAAGGGCCTTGTGTGGTATTACTGGAGATGCCCAATGCAGCTTTATCTCACTGCCCCCACCCTTCCCGGGAGCCTTGGCATGCACATTGCCCCAGCAGGTGCAGGGGACAGGAAGAGAGGGGCTGGGGACCAGACAGGGGGCAGAGGTCAGATGGAAACATCAGCCTGCCTTCCTCCGCTGCTACCCCGCTGCCCGGCCTCTTTCACAGTCTTCTATCCTAACCCCTCCCTTCTCTGTTTCTCTCCTCTCCTCCTCTCTGTCCCTCCCCTCGCTGGGCTTCAGAGTGGTATGGACAGCCTAGAGACAGATCCGGATTTATTCTTGGAAAACACGTCCATGGCAGAGGGTACCACAGCAACAAGTTTCCATGGTACTTGGACACAAGGCAAATATGGCACAGAGGAGAGATTCCTGGACTCTGAGTCAGAAGACCTGGGTCCTGTCCCTGCCTCTCCTCACCACCAGTGCCTCCTTAAGCAAGTTGCGTAACCTCCCTAAGCCTCGTTTTTTTACAAATGTCCAACCACTCAATCAACAGTCTGAACAAACCAACGTGTGCCAAGCACCTACTGGGAGCTGAGCACTTTACTAGGTGCAAGACAAGTAACACAAACATGGTTCTTGCCCTCACAGTACGTACAGCTAAGAGACAACAGGGTTGCTCAGAAGAATTAGTGAGCTAAGAGGTTAGTATGGCAGCCAGTCCGCAGCAAGTGCTCAAGAGGTGCTATGCACAGGAGGTCTACCAGAAGCCCAGTGAGGAGAGCGCAGCCGGACCTCCATCTGCCCTGTGGGATGTGGTTGCAATGGCCCTGACTAGAATTAGAGGGTGGTGCTTAACCTCTGACCTTGTCTGCAGCCCAGTGTCTGTTCTAGGTGGTTAAAGACAAGGGGAAAACATGAGATAGAGGATAGAGAGGACTGCCCAACCCGGCGAGGCCTGGCTGTCAAGGATATTTGGGTGTGTATGAATGAGAAGGGTGTGTTCCTGGGGGCAGGGTGAGAGGAATAAACATAATAACGGCACCTGTTTGAGAAAGGAGAGTTGATCCAGAGCCCTGACTGGGGAGGGCTCAGAAGCTGGACTCCCTCCCCACTCCCTTTCTAGGAAAGCAACTTGGAAAAACAGAGCCTGGGCCTTGGTGGTGGGCACAGCTGCCAGGGGAGCCTGGGGCAGTGGTGGGGGCGGGGTGCGTGTGGGAGGAGGCCAGTGGAGGCACTGAAAAGAGAGTCTCATGGGGAATCCGGGACAATGAGCTGATGGAAGGGGGAATATGGGGAGAAGGAGACGGAGGGGCTGGCTCTGCGAGGGCTGCTCTCCTGGCAGCTTCCCAAGGTTAATTGAGGGGCACCGAGCAGCCTCTGCAACATTCCAACAAGAGGGAGGCTGGTTTGAAAAGAGCATTTGCTGTGGGGAGAAGGGGCCTTTCTCTGCCCTGGGCTGCTGTCCCTTTGTGGAGGTTCTTTGAGGCATGAGCCCTGTGAAAAAGCAGGGACTGAGGAGGGGCCAGGGTGGATGGTTCACCATTCATCATCCAGGCCAACGGGCTGCTCTTGGCAGAGAAGAAGGGGTCAGTGGCTGGTTCAGCCACCCTCAGCCCTGAAATGATGGTAGCTGGGAAATCTCTGTACACGGAATTCCACCGAGTCTGACTCTAACATGATTTATGGGCATTTAGAGAAGGGCACGAAGGAAGAGAAGGGGAGGAGGCTGAGTATCAGCTGAAGGACAGGCAGGACAGGCAGTGCCCTTGGGGGGATCAGGAGTTGGCAGTGTAGAAGAAAATGTTGACAGTTTTTCAGAGACCTGTGTCTAGGTTGAAGGGTTTGGCATAATCAGAAATGCCCAGGCTTTTACCATATGGTGTGCTAACATAACTAAAACCCACGTGTTTCCACAAACACACACACAAGCAACATGCTGCACACACAGACATTGTAGGAACACACACACGTATGCAAAATCACACGTACAGAGGTCCACACACCAATGTGGGCCCTCCTGCGCACACACTCACACGCAGAATCTCTTCAGATAACCACACATATGTTATCTTCACCATCTGCTCCCTCTGGAGCTGCTCGTATGTGCAAGTGTGTGCCACATCCTCACGCATCGCGAGGCTAACGTGGGTTGTGTGCAGGTAGGACGCGTGAACACACGTGTTCATGTGCAGGTGGGCCTCGTGCTCTCCCACACCAGAACTCCTGGCATAGACGTACCCAGGACACCCTTCTCGTCTTGCCTAAAGCAGGTCCCAGGGAGACTTGTCCCCCCATACCCACCTTCTCCACCCCTGCTCCGGTCCCAGCGTCCAGGCTGCCGATGCCTCACGCAGTCCCGGCCTCCGGGGCACCCCCGGGTCCCACCCGCCCGGGCTACAGGCGCTGGGGAGCGACCGTCAGCAGGTGGCGCCGGCGGGAGCCTCGCGGAACCGACTGGCAGAAGGAGGACAAATCCGGTTTCCGCGCGGAAATGCGGCCATGCCGGCTAGTGCCTAACCCTCCTCACTGTGCTGAGACCGAGCCCCGGAATGATCTACCGAGACCACCAGGCCAAAGAACGCCACTCCCAAGAGAGAAGAGACAAAGGACAAGATCCTGCCCCTGGGAGGAGACAAGAGGCGCAAGATCAGGGACAGGAAAGCGGCGGGGAGCAACGAACCTCTTCTGCGGGGTCAGCCAGGGGCCCGGGTGTGTGTGCTTGTGTTCCGTGTGCACCTGGCTCAGTGTCTGCATGCACATGTGAGCGCTGCACCCTCATGCAGGGCGCTACCCGTGTGTCAGTGGATATGGAAGAAGGAGGTGTGAAAAGCTTTGAGGACACAGGTGTGTGTGCGTGCATGCGTGTGTGAGTGTGTGCATACGTCCCTGCGTGTCTGCACATACGGCTGCGTACAGGGCGACTCACGGAAAAGGTAAAGATGAAGCCAAGAAAACTAGACCTCACAACTGCAGTACAGCCAGCACCCCACAGACCACAGTCGTTAGCCTCCCCCACATACTCCCCACACCACGCACACTCCAGGGACACACACTCGCACACCACCCACGCAGACAGGTGCTGTGCCACCCCATAGAGACCTGCCACCCACACACTTTCTCACATACACGCAGGCCAGTAGAGAACCTAGAGATGCATACAGATACAGCAACGGCACACCGGCTGTGTGTGCACATGCACGCGTGTGCACTCACACACATGCTGCGCTGTACCTGTAGATCCGTAGTGCCCCACACGCCCAAGAAAGGGAGAGAGGTTTAGGATGGACAGATGACTCTCATCCTGTAAAGCACCCTGGTTTCTGAGCCTCTGGAAATCAGAGAGACATGTGGCATCAGAAAGCCCCTTGTCTGAGGATAGGGGTGCAGGGGAGTGAACAGAGAGCCTTGTACACACACACCCGTGTGCCCCAGGCTGGGGGCAGTGGTGGTCCAGCCGAGTCCTTCAGCACTGTGGACAGCGCCTCCATAGCAGGGCTGCGAAGCCTGGAGCAGTTCTCAGAGGTGCAGGACACCAGAGGCCGCTTACCTGCATCCAGAAGACCAGCTAAGTCAGATATATTCAAGTCCAACCCTGTTGACCCAGGAGTCTTATAAACAGGGGTTGAAAATACCTACCTCTCAGGGCTGTCGGGATGATCAAATGACTGGAGACCATACAGCACCCAGCACTGTGCCTAACATGTACTAGAGAACACTGTCAATATCGCTAACAACCACTCTGGCTCCCAGCCCCAGGCACTTCCAGGCCAGGAGATGAATAGTCTGTGCAAAGCATATTGATTTCCTTGGTGACACAGCATTGCCATGTTGCGGGACCATAAGCCAGGAGATCTGGGTTCATGCCCCAGTCTTGCCAAATTTTTGAGATGTAGGCAGGTTACTCACCCCATGTGAGTCTCAGTTTCCTGTCTACTAACCTGGAATAATCACCATAATAATACTAACACATATTGAGCTTCGTGAACGCCAAGTCCTGTTATAAGCACTTTACAAAGATTAAATCCTTGAATCCTCATGACATTAAATGGAATGATCTGTTACTATCCTCACTGTATAGAAGAATAAACGAAAGCACTTGCCTAAGATCACACCAATGGTAGGAGTAGAAACTGAATTGGAACCCAGGCAGCCCGCCTCCAGAATCTGTATTCTCAGCCATGACACTGTGTGACCTCCTTCGTGGCATGCCGTGTGCATCCAATGACGTCATGGGTCTAAAAGGAGCTTGAGGACTGCACAGCATTATACGAATGTTAGGGTATATTGTTATGCATCCCAGCCTAGCTCATGTATGAGTAATTGTGCAAGGAATGAGAACCGAAATGAATACAGGAAACCGGGTGGGGACGGGTGCCATCTGGGACTGGCGCATCACACCAAGAAGGGAGAAATGGGTAGAAGATGGGCCAAGAGGGGTGGGCAGGCATATGCACCCTCGCATGGCTTTTGACTCTCTCCTTAGTCAGTCCGTGACTAGCTAAGAGGTCAAAATAGTTTCTAGAAAATTAAGAAGATAATTTCAAGTCACCCTGAAATCCTTCTAATCCTTCTCTTAATTATAACTTTTGTCTCACCTGACATCTCTCTTCTCCTTCCAACCCCTAAAGCTGTATGCTGTCCGTTTATCCCTCTGCTCCTCCCGTCACCACCCCTCAACCACCTTCCCTCATGTGAAACCCGTCACCAGGTCTGTGACCTATCTGAGAATCACTATGCTAGGAGGACCGGTGTTAAGCCGAGTCATCCTAGGACAGGTCCCAGAAGGACAGTCAGGAGGGTTCTGTGGATTCAAGAAGGTACTTCTGATGTTTCAAAGTAGTTCTTGGATGTGGAGACCGAGAACTACTTTGCAGATTACTTTAGGCAAAGGAGACCTCTGGGCACTGCTAGGTCCCCGACCAGCCTCATCCTATGACCTGCTGCTTTCTGTAGAAGGTTCTCTGATGCTCAGAATGGAATCATTTCACTTACATAAGCACACACCCCATCTTTTTGGAAGCCCCATACCTCTCATGCTTGGTTGGCTGCTGTGCAGGGCAGAACAGTCACTGGCCAGGGACGGAGGGGCTTTCAGACCCTCATTTTACCCCATCTCCTATGCTGTCCCAATCTTCCTTTTCTTCCCAGAATCCCAGGCAGTCTTCCCAGCCCTGAGCTGGTCCCCCTTCCTTCCCCTCCTTGCTGATGAATCTGTTAGGACAGAATTCTTCCCTTGTGCTCCTCACGCTGGCAAATGATCTCAGGCGTTTAACAGCAATGGCTGTGAATCTGTCACCATTAGCAGTCAGTGAAGGCACCCAAGCACTCTGCTCTCTGTTTTGTTCTTACTCGTTTTCTGTCTCCTGTCATGTTCCCCTCCTGTTTCCTGAACCTGCGCCCCCCGACCCTCCACTGCCTAAGAAAGATGCAGCTGCTTCTCTTCCAAAGCCCATAGAACAAGAGTCTTAAGGAGCCTCAGAACAGCCCGGGTTTTCAAGAACGGTCATTTGGTCCTTCCATCTTCACTCTTCACTCACAGCAGAGATGGCCCCACTTCTCTCCTACCCTACCACAGGCAGGCGGGATGCCAGGCACTCAGGCTTCCCTGTAGCAGCCCCTGCCCTGAGCTGGTACTACCTGCTTCCTGACATCTCTCTGGGTTTCCACCCCCTAAAGCTCTGTTTCTGTTCCGCCAAACCAGGCTCATGGACCACCGGTGTCAGGATCACCTGGAGCACATGATAAGAACTCAGCTTCCGGACTTCACCTCAGATGCCCCCAGACCTGCTGAATCACAGCCTGGAAGCAGGGCCCGAGAGTAGAGCCTCTGCAAAGCCCCTGAGGCTCAGGCACAGCTTGGGGAGCCACGGCCCTTGTAGGAGCAGGGACCATACTCCAAACCACAAACCTTCTCTCCAGATGACCAGGTGTCCTCAGACACACACAAGCTCTGTGACCTGTTGCTAGAGGAACCCCTGTGCTGGCCGAGCTGGGCCTGAACTGTGAACCAGGCTCTGCCAATCACTCATTATGGGAACCCTAGCAAGTCACCTTGCACATGTGCCTCCATTTCTGCAGCCACAAAGTGGGGCTTGATACTTGTTATCTCGTCTCATGATTATGATATAAGGTTCAAAGGAGAAAAGAAAAATGGAAATTTGTTGAAAGGCAAGTTGAATAAATGACGTGTGATTCTATTATCATGTAAGAGACGCCTGGTGGTGAAAGACACGGTGTCTGTCAGGAGATGCTGTTCCCATCACGCTGTAGACCAGCAAACAAGCAGCGTGGCCTCCACCCCAACACTCCCTGTGGGCTTTTCTCGGAGCTTGTCCTGAGCCCAGGAAAGGAAAGGAGGCTGTGCTGGGCATCAAGCACTCACATGAAGAGTCCCGGAACCTGCTGAATGAGGCTTTGCTCCGCCCACGCTGCCCCCATCTGCCCACAGGCCTGCAGCCCCTACCAAGAGCAGTGGGCCCAGCCCTCTGCATCGGCTCCTCTCCCTCTAATTACTCTTCACACACTCTGGTGCCAGGCCCTCCAACCAAATTACAATTGATTCTTCACTCCTCTTGGATCAATGCCATCGACCCTGGAGCATGGAGGACAAACCCAAACTCACCCTCTAGGAACCAATGGCCCAAGGCAAAGCCCGGCAAGAGACCTGCACGTGCAAACTTGGAATGTGCATGCACACATGTATGCACATGCACACACACACATGCATTCATCCCCTTGCCCAAGAAGCATATGGATCAGCATGCACACACAATGCACCGGGCCACATATGGGTATCCACATGTAGACACATACATAGCTTGATATAGACAGACACTTTCATGCATGTCTACATGCACGTACACAAAAAGCACACAGGCCCACTCATATGCAGGGGTACAGACGCATGCCATTGGCTAGAGAAGAGGACACTCTGAGGCTCACAGGAAGCATGCTCTGGCCAAGTGAGGAGCTGGATTCTAGCCCATCCCAGCCCCCTCCCCGGCTGCTCTCCTAGCTCCACGTGTGAGCACACCCACCATCAGTTACGGTGGGAGGGGCCCGGCATCCTGCGACACACACCTCCGAGCCAAAACTCCTCTGCCGTTGTGGAGGCCTGTGGCGTGCCCTCCCCTGCAATGGACCCTGCCCCATCATCCCTTTGGGGTGTTGGAGAAATGCCCAGCCACTTCTCCACCAGACAAAGCCCGTTATAACTCAGCTGGGCTCTCTCTACACCTCAGTCCTCAGAGGAGCTTGGAGTGCATCTGCACCTGAGGCCCCAAACCATTGGAAAGGAGGTGCCAATCCCTACAGATGCCAACACAGAATGACAGCCACCAGCTCACTCCCCTCCCACACAGAATGGGAACATGAATGGCAAGTATAGAGGAGAAAGAAGACAGAGCAGGACCAGCCATCCAATACAGCCCGAGCAGACACCCAAGGCCTCAGACTCCACTGCTCCTTTCCTTATGGTCAAATTCTCTACTCCCCGCCAATGGCCAATGGCTTCCTGCCAGGCACATCTCCAGGTTAAGTCACAGAAACACAGAATATCAGGAGAAAAGCTCTGGGAGATCCTCGAGTCCCTCCAGCCCACATTCTCTCGGTGCCCAACTCTCCTTAATGACATTCCCAGCAAGGGACTGTCCCTCACACCGAACATACCATGCCCAAGGACACCGGAGGAGCAGAGGCCTCATCACAGAGCCGGTTCTCTGCCGAACAGCTCTAGAATTCTCTCTAAAGAGAGTAAAATCTCCCTCCCCAGAATGTTCACCGGTTGGCATGAAGTGGAAGGAAAGCCATTTCAATAATAAACGGTTGGTCTGCAGCTTGTCTGAAGGAAGAGCCACTGTTTGGCATTTCTGCTCACAGTTCTCAGTGCGAGGCTCTGCAGCGCCTGAGGGTGAGACCTGGGGGTTATCTGACCCTTGGAAGAGGGTGAAGGGCACCGTGGCCTTCCCTGTGCAAAAGGAAGATCTTGAAAAAGTCAGATGTCTGTCAATCTATGGAAGAAGCCTTATTTGAGTTTTGTCTCTAATTTTGTCTACTAATTTCCCTTTACTATACTAATATATTACTAATATTCCTAGTGAGTTCTTGGCCTCCGCCTCCCCCCAGATAAGCTGCATTTGCAGGCTTACAGCAGCTGAAGATAGATGTGTATGATCTGGGGAGGACGTCTTCAGTGCTGTGCCCCATCAACACCTCAGGACTTGGCCCCAGCACTGGAATCAGAAGCCTGGCACATAAAGCCGAAGTCTCTGTCCTCATGGTCTCCATGTCCGTGGTCTGAACCTTCTCTGTGTAACCTATTTCCTGTCCTCGATCATACAGAGCTTTTCCAACCATCCCGGAGGGCTTAAGGACCAGCAACTCTGCCCCCACTCCGCTCGGGCCCCCATACCCCGCCAGTAAGAGCTGCGTGGACTGAGAGGGATTTGCCATTCGGTGATCTCTTGCAGGCCAGAGTAGTGGAGAGAAGCCTGTGGAAGACCCCTGTGGCTGGCTCGCTCATCCACCATTTCACTCCCAGCATTCCACCATCGACACCACAAGGTTGGAAAGCATTTCCCAAAACACCTTGCACTATGTTTCTGGGTGTGGATTAGATGCCACCCATCGCGCGCACTTGCACAAGATTTGGCAGACAAACGGGAGGGGGTGTTCTTCCTGCAGCCCTAGCTGTTGGTGGCTATCATGGTCATCACAGGCTTGCAGGAGTCTCCAGTGTTCATGCTTCATTTTCCAAGATTCGAAATGTTAGCCTGCACAGCCTCTCCATCTGACTGCCTGCTCCCTGAATTCCACTGTCTCTTCTCCCATCTGCAGGTCTCTAGAGGCTTCTCTGGGGCCAGTGGCAGCTCTGACGTCCAAGAGCATACCCTCGATGGTGCCTCTGAGCCATGGCTTCAGTAATTCTGTGTTGTTCTGGGAGTCGCTGTAGTAGCCTCAATCCTGAATCTGCTTCTTCTGCCCTTCCGATGATTGCGTGAGCCCCCAAATTCCTGTACGCAACCCCTTTTGGTTTGAACTACGTAGATTGGAGACTTTTTCCTTTACTGAACCTTGACATACAAGATGCAACCTGGGTTAAGAGCAGTTATGGTGTCAACTTCATTCAACAGACATTTAATGAGTGCAAACCATTTCACCCGGTGCTGTGCCAGGCACAGTGACATCCCGCAAGCAGGTGCACCGTGTCCTGACATGGTGGCGATAGGCAGGGCGAGGGGTCCGTACTGAGTCTTCACCCAGTCAGCCCAGCTCAAGGGAGTGAGGCAAGTGGGAGTAGGGCAGCCCTGGCTTCAGAAAGGCCAGGTTGAGCCCCGCCCGGTTCCAGTGCTCACCCCAGACACAGGCGGGTTGCCAACCCTCTCTCCAGGGCTCAGTTGCTTTGCTGCACTCCCACCGCTCCTCTTCCCCTTTGCACTTTTATCCCTCATCCTCCAGACTCAGGGGATGTGCTCTCCCCTGCAGGTCTTCCTGGCCCTCCTCCCTCAGTGCCTCTGTTCCATGCTTCATAGAAAATGTTCGATGAATTGAATTCATCTGATCCCAGCCCAGCATTTCTTCTTTCCTGAACACACACACATGCACACTCTGACACACTCACACACATACACATTCACACACACACTCACCACTAGAGTAAGGTATTTGTCTTGGGTGGGGTTCCCCAGATGCTAAGTCTGAGATGGGGGATTCTGTGCCAGGTAGTTATGGAGGGAGGGCTCCCAGGAGGAGCCTTAAGGAGGAGAGGAAAGCAGAATGGCAGGGGAAGAAGCCAAGAAAAGAACATGGCTTTATCCGAAGTCTCTCTTCCAACTGCCCACCCCCAGAATCCCGGGGCAGGAATGGCACCCAGACTTGTCCCACATTGGGGGAAGTGCTGGCCTTTTGTAACCTGCACCAGTTCCTCACGGCTGCAGGTCACCCTGGTGTGGGGCGTGGCCTCCTCAGCATCTCCCTGCAAGAAAGGGTGCAGCTCTGAGCAACAGCAGCCCACACTCAGAGAGAGACAGAGGGAGGGACGGTGGCAGCCCAGGAAGGAGACCTGGGAGGTGCACCGACTGCAAAAGTATAACATAGCAAATGCACTGCAGGATTCCTAGAGAATAGGCACTGGACAGAATGGGGTCAAGGGAAAGGTAGCAGGTTCCTAATCCAGTTGCCTTTCTCCCTGCCAGCCAAGCCAGAGGTGGGCCAGGCTGATTCCCAGCAAGCCGGCACATGGTCACAACAAAGAACTGGCTGTGCTTGCGGCGTTTGGGGATTCCTAATGAGCTTATTAAAAGAGCGACATAAAGCTGCGGGGCGTGTTTTTTACCCTACCACAAACAGAGCTGTTGTTTAGATGCCAGTGAATTCTGCCCTGTGTGGTGGGACCTGTGCACTGCCAATGGGCACCAGGGCACGGCACAGGGAAGACGCCCCACTCTCCCTGAAAGCTCTGCGTATCTTCTGAGTACCTCCTCGGAAGGTGGCGGCCTCTAGCACCCCCTCTTATGACCAGCCTGTAGGGAGATCTCCATCCCTCTAGCTGGAAGGTGGTGCTGTTCCACCCAGAAGCCAGGACTGCCAGGAACAGCTGTGTCAGGGGAGCAATGCAGCTCTGCAAAGACACAGTGAGCAGAGTACGTGTCGTGTCACCTGAGCCCAGAACGAAAGGGCAGAGCCAGTCAAAGCCGGCCTTGCCCAGAGAGAGGAGACACAGCCCCAGAGCCTGCAAGGTGACCTGGATACCTTGTACTTTGGCAAGGAGGGACAATGCCACAGTGACCTGATGCCTCAGTTTTCTGCCCAGGGGACTGACATCAGGGTGATGTGCTACCTGCCTTGAGGTGGATCTCCAATCTTCTTGTTGTTATTGTTGTTTCTTCGTGTGTAAGCCAGAAATCATGTATTCTATACCCCTACAATAGACTTTAGTGGGGGCCGGCATCACCAAACCAACAAAAGAAGCACTCTGGGATATTCTGCAGAAGCCTCTTCTAACTTGTGCTCAGCCTCATGACTTTTCCTTCTGCTTCCTATCCCTGACTTCTTCCTGCCCTAATGGAGCAGATGGTGATCTGTCTTAGGGTGGAATTGGCCTAAGAAAATATCTCCCCTGGCCAAGAAGAAAAAGTGACAGCAACAGGTCCCAGAGAATCTGTCTCTATCTGGATGCATCAGATGCCAGAGCAGAAAAGCCTGCACCAGACGCCACCAGCCTGGAGTCCCTGGGGGGCGTCCCCTCCTGTCCCGAGAAGATACACTGGTGACTCCCTGCTTACTAGGCTGGGGTTGCACATTGTCTTAATTTACTGTACAAGCAGCACCCACGTTGGTTCTTATTTGCATGGTGAACACTGAGCTGGGGCAGTAAAGAAAGGGTCACATTTTACAACAGAGCTGGGAGCATTCTCCTTGCAGTGAGAAACGGCTGAAAATAGGCTTAGCCAGGAAGATGGGACTCAAGTACCAGGGAATTAAGGGAGATGTAGATGGGGCTGTTGTTGGGGGACAGAGCAGAGTTGAGCATATAGTCTGCCTGAACCAACTGGTTGGCCTCAGTCAGCCTCTTGAGCTGAAATCCACCCTTATTACTTTTATGTTCACTGGGACGTCTCTCTCCACTCACCTTTGGGATACCGCTCCTAGCATGGCAAACACCATCAGCTCTGCACCAAAGGCTGCTCGGAAATACTGTTTCCTTCTCTCCTGAGCAATTGCCACATACTGGAAATGCAAAAGCCTTGTGAATTCTGGGGTTGTGCAGGGTCAAACTGCCCATTCCGTGCCTCCAGAGGTGCACACGCCCTAGAACATCAGGTACTGTCCTGTTCCTATGCGTAAGTTATGTGAAAGTGGAAGGCAAGGCTTGGCCAGGGACTCCAGTCCCTGCACACCTGAGTCCGGGCTGTGCCAGGTGCTCCCGTCCCCCTCCCTGGCCCTGTGGTTCTCCTGCAGAGATAGAGGTGGGGAGGACAAAGGCAGGTCAAAGCACACTCTTAAAGTTTGTGCTGAAAACTCTGCAATGGTCCTGGAGGGGAGCCTGGACACAAACATCTCCTCTGGCCAAGACCAGAGGCAGGTGTCCTTTGTTCTTTCTTGTCTCCAGGTCTAAACCCACTTGAGCAGAAAGGGGAGGGGAGCCACCTCAAAGCAGTATTGAAAGCACAAGCACTTCCTCCTTGTGCAAGTGTAGGGCCCCAGCCAGGCATGCATAGGTCAGGACGGCCCACCAGTAGGAAGAAGGACAGTCCTAGGCACAGAATCCCCAGGGAGAGGGATGAGACCTGCAAGGTGGCCCCAAACCACCTTGGCCCCAAACCACCCTTGCCCTCAGTCCATGGAAATCCAGTTTCTTTCCACTTGGGCGTGAGCTGAGGGAGGGAATAATGGGTCAGGAAAGCCCCGAAGCTTACCCCAGGAGCAGGCGTCCCAGGCCGGGTGTGGTCCCTCAGCTGAGCAGCGCTTCCCACATGAAGCAGTTAGGAAGCTGCCTGTGTTTCCAGGGCCCTCGGGGGGGCCCTGGCTCTCACCTGAGCTAACACAGAATGAGAGGCCAAACTGCGATGCCGTGGGAGGCTTCAGACGGTGTTTCTTGTGGGTGTTATTTCCAGCCTAATGCTGCATTCACATGGCTCTGCCTGTTGATTACTATATTATGATGTATTAATCACAGGCTAACGAGGCACTCCGCCCCACTCCTCTCTCCAGGCTGTACAGGATCCCACCTGGATCCCACAGCACCACTGGCTCTCCTGTATCTGCACCCCCAACCCACCCTCAGGGCCAGCCCTGGGTTCAGCCCCCTTGCCTACAGACAAACTCAGAGGCAGTCATTTCTTGTGTCCACATCCAAGCTAACAATGTTTAAAGCCAGGGTTTGGCACCCACAGATCTTTGTGATGCCCCTCTTCCTCACTCTCTGATAACAAAGGTCTAGGAGGCAAAACAAAGCCCAGAAGAGAGGAAAGTCGTTCTGATGTTTTTCTTGGGTCCAGGAGAATGAGACAGGCTATGGCTCTCTGGGACCTGCGAACTCTCCCAAGTGCTGAGTGAACTTGACTTGGTCCTGGGGAACCGGTTCATTCAATAGCATTTAAGTCTTTATGTGGCAAGTGCTGTTTTCAGCCAAGTGAACGGGAAGTTCCTAACTCCCGGGACTTCACTCCTGACAGAGGTGCGCTGTCAGGCCTTGGGCCGCTGCAGTGAAAAGTCTTGGTCCTTGACCGTCTGGCGAGGACAGTTCAAACCAGTGACTTCAGGGTATGATCTGAGTCCTCAGTGGCGCACTGGCTTTAGAAGAAAGAGAGAGAGGACCCAGAGAGAGAAGACTCACTCCCTGACCCCAGGAACAGAGTCTAGCAGGAAAGAAGTACAGATGAATGTAGTGTCTCGCATCAGGACCGAGGAATCAGGGGACGTGCCACTGAGCTGACAGAGCTTCGGGGACGATGACACTCCATGTATCTGTGTCTGTTTCAGGAGTCAAACCCCTTACCTGTGATTTATACTTTGCCCTTATAGTCCTGTTCATTTTTTTAGGAGTCCTTCAAAGGCATGAGGTCATTTGTATATGCTCACCCACAATATGAGCAGGCCATAGAATATGCCCAGACTTGGGTATAACGTCCTGGACTTAATAGTATTAGTGGGTACCATGATGAGAAAACAGAGGCTGGTATGGTGATGATACTGAGGAACAAGAGGGCTTCTTAGGCAGGAGAACTGGTCACCTGGAGATGATGTGGGCATATGCTAAGCCCAAGCCACAACAATTTATTTGCAAGATATGAGCACTACAAATAATTCATGCATCCTGTGGCTCCCAGTGCTCCAGGCCTCCTGATGTCCACATGCTTTTATACAGTCCCCTTCCCTAGGGCTGACTTACGTTACTCACCAATAGAATCACATGGAAGTGATGATGTATAACCTCCATGCTTTATCACAGAGGCATTGTGCCTTGGTCTTCTGGATGACTCACTTGGAGAGAAGTCATTGCTATGCCATGAGGACACATCAGCAGCCCTGGGGAGAGTCCTCACTGAGGACTCTTGCCAAGTGCCAGCATCAACTGCCAGCCACATGAGTGAACCTCCTTGGAAGCAGGTCCTTCCTCTCTTCTGGGCTTTAGTTTTGCCTCCTAGACCTTTGTCATCAGCGAGTGAGGAAGAGGGGCCTGCAGCCTGAGTCAAGCCTTCAGATGATGATAGCCCAGGCTGGACATCCAATTACAGTCCCATGAGAGACCCCAGGCCGGGACCACCCAGCCAAGCCACTCCTGAATTCCTGACCCATACACACTATGAGAGGTAAGAAATAGATATGGTTGCTTTAAACTGCTAAGTTTTGAGATAATACACATTGCAACAGAAATAACTAACACATATCCCTAGCAATAATGTAGTTCCTAGAATACAGCAGGTGCTCAGGAAATGTTTAATGGATGAATGAATGAAGCTTCTAGTAGAGGGGCTGTAAGTCAAACTTTATGACTACTGATGAGAAGAGGGAATGGGTAGCCATGGCCAGGAGAACTCATGTTCCAAACTTGGAAAGATAAAACTTAGCTCATAAACTCGAGAATACAAGAAATGTCATAATACTTTATTTTCTTCAAATCTGAATAAATTGACCCTAAGTCATTATTGTTACCCAAGACCCCTCTCTACCCCACCTCAACCTCATCCAAGGATCTGGGAAAAAATTCACTGTGGGAAAAGAGCCTCTACTCCCCAAGTCTATGATGGCCATTTATAATACCTTCAAACCTCACACACTATGATTCCTTAAAGCCAGGTTATGCTACAGCTATCAGGACTGTCTTGGGAGTCCCTGTGTCTACAATACAGTCTCTTAGACACCCAGGAAAGCCATTCTCTTCTGAGGTCTCACACCTCATTCAGACCTTCAACAAACATTTATTGGGTGCTCTACTAGTTAGGGTTCTCTAGATAAACAGAACAAGTACGAGAGGGTGGAGAGAGAGATTGATTTTAAGGAATTGACTCATGTGTTTAGAGCTGGCAAGCCCAGAGTCCGCAGCGTATGCCAACAGGCTGGAGACCCAGGCAAGGGCTGATGTTGCAGCTCAAGTCCAATGGCCATCTGCCAGCAGAATTTTCTTTCCTTCAGGAGATGTCAAGTCTTTTTTCTCTTAAGGCTTTCAACTGATTGGATGAGCCCCATCCACATTACTGAGGGCTTTACTCAAAGTTGACTGATTTAAATGTTAATCCCATCTAAAAGGTCCCTTCACGGTAACATCCAGATTCATGTTTGACCAAATATCTGGGTACCACGGCCTAGCCAAGCTGACACATAAAATTCTTCATCATAAGATGCCATTGAGTGATGTAGGCACTGGGGATAGAGCAGTGAACCAACATGGGCAAAAATCTGGGACTTTTACATTCTAGGAGTGGGACAAATAATAATAAACCATAATAAAATACATATATCATATGTCAGGTAGTTCTTGAGCCAAGAAGAAGCACCTATCAGGTGACATGAAGGAAACTAATGAAGGCTGCCATTTAGACAGACTGGTCAGGAAGATCTCGAGAAATAACACTTTGCTTAAGTGAAGACGTCATACAAATACCTGGGGGAAAGAACCTTCAGGCAGAGCAAACAGCACTACAAAGACCCTCTCGCCAGAGGGTAGGGACCTGCCCCTGCTCCCAGGCCCGAGACCCTCCACCCCACTCCCCACCACGGCCATCACTCCCCTTGGACGTCCCCCTTCCACCTCCCCCAACCCAATTCCTCCAAGGAGCCCAGCCTTAGAAAACAAACGCCAGGAAGGAAGCGTGTCTATGAGGAACACATCTCGTCTGCGTAAGCAAGAGAACATAGAAGACCTGGCTGCTTTCTTGGAAAAGTGTGCTGGCGGGAGTGGGGGTGGGGAATATAAATAGACCAAAAATTAATTTCTGAAAAAAATCAAACAGCCACAGAAACAGCAGCTGCTCTCCACATCCCACTCCCAGCCAGGCTCTTGAGGTAGGATTGGGGGTGAGGAGAGGGGATGAAGGGAGAAGCAGGAGGAAATCTCTAATTCTTAGAACTCTCTGATTCAGGAGAATTCACTAATTTCCTGACAAAAATGAGAGAAATTCTCCCCACAAGCTGTCAGACTTCTCCTTCCCAATACATCCAACTTGGATGTGAAAGTCTGTGGGAAAGGCGAAAGGATGTCTCTCCACTCACACCAGCTCAGAGGCGGGAGCCCAGCACTCCCTAGAGAGGAAGCTACCAGGAGTCCTGTGGCAGCCCAGCACCAATCCGCAGCCAGGCCCTGGGAGCCCCCCTCAGAGAGATCAGAGGCCATGGTGACCGCGCCCCAGGAGAGGGAGAGGCAGGAAGGAGCATGGCCTCCTGTGCCTAAGCTGCTGTGGACTTGAAGTAGGAAAGCTGGAGGGGGAAGAAGTAAGCCCACACCCAGTCCCCTCCCTGAGGACAGGGAGCTTAAACCAGACCTGCTGCAGGGGAGGATGGGGGTGGCTCCAGGCCAGAGAGCCATGAAGAGACCTCGTTTCTGCCCCTGGCCTTTCCTTCCCTCCGCCTCTCACACTGCACACACACAATACCCTCAGAGAACATGGTATCTGAGAAACTGAAATCAATTCAGCACAACAAACCGGTGTGCATTAAATGTTCTTCTCTGTGCTAGGTGCTCTGCCAGGTGCTGGAAATGCCAAGATAAATAAAATGCAGCCCTGCCCTCTGTAAGCTTACCCATGGTAACAGCATGATCGCTGGTATACCACTCGTACAAATAAAGTACAACGAGGGCACAGAAGAGGAAAAGCTTAATTCTGCCCAGGGGCTGGCAGGGAAGGCAGCTTTGTCAGAAAGGTGACATGTGACCCCTGGGAGTGAGCTGGGGATGGTACAAGGGCCAGTGGCACAGCAGGTCACATGGTACATGCTTCCAGGGTGGTCCTGGGTACTGGCCAGAAGGCAGGCTGTGGTCAGGGAGAGGTCTCAAATGAGCCTAGGAACAGACATAGGCTTCAATTAGGTTCCAGCTCTTCTGTCAAAAGAGCTGGAACCTCATCCCATAGGCAGTTTTTAAACTTCAGTGTTCTTAAACAGGGACATGTGCCTGTGAACTCTGAGAAAGAAAACCCAGGTATCAGCAGGGGATGGGTTGGGGTGAGTTAGAGACAGATTGCGAAGCGGGAACATGGGCCACTGCCGGAGTCCAGGTCAGTAGTCCAGGTGCAAGGTGTTGCCAGCCCCTTCGAAGGCAAGGCAATGAGGACAGGGAAGAGAGGGCAGATCAGAGGGAGGTTTCAGGCGGATACCAAGGCCTCGGGGATGGCTGGACGGGGTGGATGGTGGATTCAGGGACAGATGGCCCCCAGGTTTCTGACTTGGAGGAGAAAGGGCCCGGACGCGAGCCCAGGGCAGGCAGGGCAGGCTCTGGATCATTCTAGCATGAGCGCAGTGACTAACACTGAGAAGGTACTGGATCACACGTGTAGGCTGAATGGGCGGAAGAATAAACGCAAAGCGATAGAAGAGGAAATGTATGGTAAGCTCTCCCGGTGCCTCTCCCCCCAGGAACAGCTGCATTTCACCAAAGGGCATGTCACACACAGCATCCTGCAGGGAGAGGTTTCTCACTGAGGGGACCTGCCACTTGCTCCTGCTCTGTCTGGCTTTGAGGCTACACGGAAAGCTTGGGTCCAATGGTGAGTGAGAACTGCAAATCCTAGAGTGGAATGGGAGCCATTGGGAGGCAGAGGGTACAGCGGCAGCAGTAGAACTGGCAAGAAGAAGACAGTGAAAGGACAGAATTCTATTAAGAGCAAGAAATCCATCACTGGGTCTGAGGCCAGGAAAAGGGATTTGCAAAGAAAATTCTATTCAGGGTGTATTTCCCTCTTATCGCAGTAAATGGGCTGCTAAAATGTATTGCTCTGTGTTAAAAATATGCTGTCCTTTTAAAATGGCACAGACACCGGTGTATTCTATCTGCTGTGTGTACATAAAGAGAGAAACCGATCCGCGGCTCCCATTCATAAACGCAGGGCCTCACGTGTGCTGATCAAGGTGGCGGGGGAGTCGTTTCCGCAGCGTAGACACTTCTCCCAGAAGCAGGGCTGATACTCCACTTAGGGATCATCCTGGAGCCTGTGCACCTGCACAAACTCCACCCCTTCCTTTTTAAAATAGTTTTTTGTTTATTTTAAAATTACTGTACGGCAAAATTAAGGCTTTTTTCTGTTGGTCTATAGCCCTATAGACCACGTGAATTTCTCCCCCGGGTCTACAGTCATGTGGCCACCACCCAATCAGGACGCATAGCAGCTCCATCACCCAAAACACTCACTTGAGCTGCCTGCTTACCCTCCAACCCTCACTCAATCCATAACCCCTACAATCACTGATTTGTTTTCTATCACTATAATTTTGTCTTTTCTACTATAGCAAACAAATGGAACCTTACAGTACTCAACCTTGTGAGACCAGCTTCTTTCACTCAGCACAATGTCTGAGATTCGCCCAGGCCATTGCCCACAGTCAAGCCGTTACCTCTCTCCATAGCGCGTACTTTTTTCTCTGGAGCTGTGCCCCGTGGCATGGGCGGGCCACGGTTTGCCCCCTGCCCTCTGGGTCTACTTCATAAAAGCTTAGCACCTTCCTCACAGAGGGGGCCAAGAAAGAAGGGAAGACACAGCGACCGTCCCTCCTCCTTCATTATGTAAGAATGGATGGAGTGTCCTCCGTGTTTTCACTTTACAGGACTGGGATGCACGTGTGAACAAAGCAGGCTGCAGTTCTTGTCCTCCTGGCGCTTCCGTTCTGGCGGGAGGAGAGGGGTGGTGAAGGATGCACACACTAAGTGAGTGTTGTGGTGTGTCAAGGGGGGAGTGCTGCGGGGAGGACAGAGACGTGGGAGAGGAGTCAGAAGTGCGGGCAGGAGGCCCTGGTTAGGAACGGCGGGGGCGGGGGCCAGAGAGGCCTCTTTGAAAAGGGGACCTTCGTGCAAAGACGAAGGGTGTTAGCCTCCTGGCGCGCCGCGGAAGGGCAGCCTGCCCGGCAGGGGAAGCACTGGAAGGGAAAGGCTGGGCAGACTTGGCCGGAGCAAAGCCAACTAAATAAGGTGCAGCTGGGGGCAGAATGTGCTTCTCCAAGCCCAGGCCCTCGGCCGCCCAGTGCTGCCCCAGTGCCTTTGGCTGCGACATCTCAGAGCACCCAGGACTGCTGCCTCTGACTCGGCTCTCGGTAGCCATGCCCGGGAGAGGTCCCTGAAGCTGGCTCAGGCAGATGCGCCGCGGAGAGCCCGCCACAGGCTTCCCCAGCCCTTCGGGAACTGCGGTGCTCTTGCAGCCTCGCAGCCAAGGACTCCAGGCCCTGACTCGATGACTTCATTCTCCTCCCAGGTAGTTGGCATTCTGGCCAAACTCTGCCAGCAGCAGCTTGAGCTGCTGAGGAGGCCATGGAGGAGATACCAGGGCTCAGGCACAGCCTTAGTCCTGGGGCACAGCCTCAAGGGGCTAAGGGGATAGGGGTGCGGGTCCCCCACAAGGGCTCCCATCAAGCCCTTCTAGAAGCAGCAGAAGGGCACTAATCCGTGCTCCTTCCCCTGGCTGGGGTTCCAAATCTCATTAGCATTTACAGAAGTGGAATTAATCTTCCCTTGGTAATCTGGTCGTTATTGATTTTTATTTTTAACTCTTGTCTTATGAAGACAAATAAAGTGCCTTCGGCAGCACAGATGTTCCCAGGGGTGCAAAGGGAGCAGGGGCCGGAGAAACGGGCATTCAGGCAGGCTCAAAGGGTCTCTCGTGGCGCCATCAGCAGCTTCCAGGAGCGAGATAGGAAGTCAGATGTGTCCCAGCCTTCCAACTATCATAAACAGGGAGGACCCCCAAAGAGGACAGAGAGGCCCGAACCTCCAACGCCCCAATTAGGTGCATCTGCAGCTGACGGAGACAGCTCTGATTCATCTCAATCACAAGCCAGTTAAAAATAAACATCAATAACCAGCGGCATGAAGAAAAGAGGTGACATTCTGAGATGCAAATGAGGTGGGAAGTCCGAAAGCCAGGCAAGGAGAGTCCCAACCCCCTGAGTGCCTGAGCACACGCAGCCTGCAGACAATTTGGAGACCCCTCAACCACAGCCAGCCCCACCTCCACACCTCTCAGGACCAGGTACAGAATGTCAGCTGCTAGTCTGTCAGTGCCAAAACTGTGATGGCTTCGCACATGTGACACCTTCATAGCAGCAGTGGTGTGACGGACAGACCTGGGCCTTGGCGGTAGAAGAGGTGGGCTCACATCCGAGCTTGCTGGCTCACCCCTACCGCACCTCAGTTCAAGGAGGTGATATGGCACCACACCTGAGAGGCCTGGTGTGTACAGGCCCTCAAAGAGTAGGGATCTAGTCCTGCATTTTCTGCTTCCCTCTGAAGCAAAATCCAATGGTTAGAGAAACTGGTTTAAATTGCAAAAATAAAAACCTTGATTAAACACCAAACATGAGAACTTTCTCATGCTAAATCAGGTGCCAAGGATTCTACAGGAATATGCAGAAATATGTGAGGCCCTTGCAATATATATGAAATAATAAATTCCCAACTCCCACCCACACAGAGCTTAAAAATCTCGCAAGGGCGTTTATAAACAGTCCATGGAGTATGAGGGGCGTAAGAAGCTGCCAGAGAGACTGTGTCGTCTACCTCCACGTACATCTCACCGTCTGGCTTCCAGCCCTTCCTGCCCAGAATCCAGGGCAAGATGGTCGGGGGCACCTGCCACTCTTACGATATTGTGTTTAATTCCCACAGCTGCCCTACAAGGATCAATATTCTCAGATGAAACAATGGGGCTCAGTGAGCTGGGTGATTTTCCCAAGACAGGGAGCTGTCGGGGATTCTGGCCCGCATCTGTCAGCCCAGAACCCATTCTTGCTCTTCCTTCCCAGGCTTGCTATCAGGAGGAGCCTCAGCCCGAGCACAGGGGCCTCTCAGCCCAAGAGTCCGGATTCCCTCACTCACTGCACCTCCCAGCACATGGCCTCTCCTGACTGTGCCTTTGCTGTAGCTTCTCTGAGGTCCCACAGCTCACCCTCATTAGCACAAGCTCCTGCACCTCCTTCCGCACGCACACCCTCAGCTTGCAGCTTGCTCTTCTCCACTCAGCTCTTGAGCCTAAGGGCCTGACTGGCTCCCTGGTGCTGTCATCGCAGCCAGCGCAGGGCAGGGTGGCCGGGCTCAGCCTACTGTCCCACCGCCCACCCCTGTGGTGGGCCAGGTCACCCCAACACAAGGGAGACAAGGCCAGAAATATTTACCTACTGAAAGATTATCATCCCCTCATTCCTGGTGTGGGGGGATCAGCTGCAGCATCAGCTGATGAGGAAGGCCACATTCACATCCAGTCAAAACAGCTCTGTAAAACAGGCTTTGACAAAATTGTCACATTAGATGTATCTGAATAAAGTCACCCGGGCGGCTGGCAGAGCACAATTCTACATCATTTTGACAGCCTGCATTACGAAGCTGCAGGCACCACCAGGAAATTACCTCCAAGCTAAGCCCAAATTATAGCCAGTGCAACATAGTCAACACTTGGTAGGGTGAGAGGAGGCCAGGAAAAAGGCTTGGAGGGCAAAGAATGAACATTTTCCTCTCCTCCCCTCCCTCAATCGGAAGTGGAGAGAGGGAAGCAAAATGGGTGTTTGTACAGCGGGGAGTCTTCCCCTTCCCTCTGGCTGGGAGCCCGGAGCTTGCATTTCTGTCTGGCCTCCCCATTTAGTGGCCTGGGAAATGCCCCAGGTGGGGAGGCTTCTGCTTCTAATGAGCTTGTCCATCTTGGGCGATTTACCTCCCCTCCCTGGCCCTTCATTTTCTTTCCTGGGGGGTGGGAGGGAAGGACTAGCATCAATATTTTTAAAACTGTATTCCTTAGGTTTGCAGAAGGTGTCCCAGAGGTGACCTGATGCGAGGATAGGGTAGAAAAGCAGAGTGTTTTGCACCCTCAATTGCAGATGAGCTAGAACTGTGCTGTTTCCATCTGTTATAGCTACTGAGGCTCCAGGGAAGATGCCTTTGAAGGAAGGGTTCTATTGCTAATTTCTTTTTTCAAAAAGGAAGAAGAGGAAAAAAGGAAGGGAGGAAGGCAGGAAGGCAGGAAGGAAGAAGGGAGGGAGGAAACCACTAGACTTCTAGTTGCTCCCATAGTCTGTGGAGAGAGTTCCACATTCTAGTGCTCAGGGTGGGCCTTTCCGGAAGCAATCATCCTCATAGCCTCTGCAGCACGTGCAGAAAATCCGCCACGCATCTGTGCATCCTGCATCTCAGATGAGATGATCTGACCGCCAAGCCCTCCGGCCCCTGGATAGGGAGGGGCAGTCGTGAGAAGTGTGGCCTCAGGCCTAAGTCCATCCCAGCCTCCAAGGAGGCCAGGCAAGATGAGAGGAGTCTGAGCTCCATGGGTCTCCACTCCCACCCCAAAGGCTGTCACCAATGCATTGACAGAGCAGCCTCATCGGGAGAGGCTGGGTGGGGGGGGCATTCAAAAGGGCACGAGGATGCTGAATATTCATGATGCTAATTAAGCAACAGCTAATTGGAAAATGCTGGATTTTATTAAGACCCCAGATTTATATCATTGCAACAGGCACCAACATAATAACAATCATCTAATGGCCACTTTGGGTTCTTTCCAGAGTTTCTTTCCTCTCTTGCTGGCTGTTAATGTGCATATATAAAGGAAACATATTTATTTGTGTGTATATAGATGTGTATGGGTTACATATTTTTTCCTTTCTGTTCTTTCTTTCAAAGGTTTGGTAGGCCTTCCAGTTTCTAAGCATGAGCTTCCACAGAATGAAATGTCATCGTGAGTCAGTTATTGTATACTCTTGAGATTTCCTGCAGGCTTGTCCTTCTAGGTATTTAAAAGGAAAGCATTTCTCCAGCAGTGAAAAAAATAAAAACCTCCCCCAAGGGCCGGGGGTCAGTTGTGAGCCAATACGGGCACTGAGGCACTGTGAAGGAGGAAAACCGCCTGTTTCTTGCTCAAAGGTCTCAGGTAAACCAGAACAGCTGGTAGAGTGACAGCCCCAGGGAGGGGGCCCTAAGCAGCTGGTGTCAGCAAAACTGGCAAGGAGGGGAGGGTGCCCACGTGTGTGTGGGCAGAGGATCAGGAAGATTTGAGGGTCAGCAAAGAGGACTGGAGGGCAGGAGTAAGGGAGCTTCAGGGTCTGGGGCACAGGACACCATGGAGGGAGGAGCCTTCTCGCCAGCACCTGGGCTCTGGGCACCTGTGGGTTCAGCACCATGAGACACAGGTCCAGTGGAACCCTGTCCCCACTCCAGGTCAGACACTGGAGACTGTGCCTCCACATAAGGCAGGGGAAAGGCCCATTGTTTCCATCGTTTCCCGAACCCCTTATTCTCCACGTGACTGTGTTTCACTGGGCGGAACTTCGCCAGCCGCTCAGGACTCCTGCACTCACCTTTCCCCTTCTCCCGCTCCATGGCTATGGCCTCATCTCACCTCCCTTACCCAGCCCGGAGGCTGGGTTCACGCTGCCCAGCTCTCCTGCCGAGTGAGCCCCTCCTCCACTCGCCCTCTTTTCCCTCTGGCCCTTCTTCTCTATTTACCGGAGTCACCCGCAGGCCTGCTCTCCTCTCCCCACTCCTCGGGGGTCCTCATGGTCCCTCAGTCCACAGTGCTCTCTGCCTCTGGCCCTGCTCACCCACCCCCAAGGTGGCAACTGGTGTCTGTCGGCATCTTCTCCTTCCCATACTCTCCACCGGGCACCAGGCACATGCCCGCCTGTAGGGTTTTCTGGTGTCTTCCCTCCACAAACCTGCATCGAGGGTCTCCCATGCACTGGGCGCAGTGCCAGGAAGGAGGTCTTCCAGTACGCAACCACTCAGACCCTGGCCGATGGATGGCCAAAAGATGCATCGGCAAAAGAAGCAGTCCTGAGCTCACCCGCCTTCTCTGTCCCTTCACGGTCAGTAAGGAAAGGCCCAGGAGCAGCGTCCCCCCGGGGCAGGCACTCAAGTGCAGGCCTCTAGGACAGGGCCGCAGAGCCAGGGCTGCCACCAGCTAGCTTCTCTGGCCTCCTCCCCAAGGCATCAGGCCTGCCCTTGACTCAGTGACAGATTTGGCTGCTCCTCACCCACCGTCTGGCTGCATCCCTGCTAGCCCTGGGTTTCTGACCTCAGCTGCCACTGCCAGCAGGCTCCGTCGGCCACAGCCGTCTCCACGCCTAAGTGACAGCCCTGCTTGTCACTGTGGCCAGGCGGCAGCACGCTGTGTCCTTGGCTCTCTCCTGCCTGTGGCACACACTAGGCTGCCCCCTTGCCTGCTGCGGTTCTGCTCACACTCTGCAGCTGTACTGTTCCTCCCACCCAAGCTCCCCAGCACCTGGGGAAAGCTGACTGCGTCTGGCTTCGCATGTAACCTTGGCGAAACTCTTACCCCTTTCACACCTGCCCTCTCTTCTGTAGAATGGCAGTAATAAGGCACAGGACTGCTGGGAAGGGAAAACCAGGTCATGGGTGTGGAAGTGCTTTGCAAATCCCAAAGCCTATAAGATTCCAAGATAGATTTCTTATTATTCCGATTGCTATATTACGACCTGTCCCAAAGCTGATCACCTTCTAGCTGGACTGTGCAAACACTTCATACCTAGGGACACCTCCTCCGTCCCCAGCTAGATTCTGCAGGAGTCACTCATAGCTCAGCCCGGCAAGCTGAGGCCACAGGAAGACACCTCACAATTGTGGTGGGTAATTTTACCTGTCAACTTGTGTGGGCCACACGGGCCCAGATATTTGGCCAAGCACTGTTCTGTTTGCCTGTAATGTGTCTCTGGATGAGATGAGCAATTGAATCTGCAGACTGAGTAAAGCAGATGGCCCTTCCCAGTGTGGTGGGCCTCACCCAACCCACTGAAGACCTAAATAGAACGAGAAGTTTGACCCTCCCTCGAGGAAGAGAGAATTCCTCCTGCCTGACTACCTTCAAACTGGGACGGCAGCTTGTCTCTGCCTTCAGACTTGAACAGAAATGCTGGCTCTCCTGGGTCTCAAGCCTGCTGGCCTTCGGATGGGAACTATACCGTCAGCTCTTCCGGGTCTGTAGCTTGCTGACTGCAGATCTTGAGACTTGTCAGCCTCCGTAATTGCATGAGCCAATAACACACAGACACAGACACAGACACAGACACACACACACACACACACACACACTCACCCGTGCTGTTGCTTCTGTTTCTCTGGAAAACCCAATACAGCGATCTTCCAGTAGTCTTCATCAGGCTGTGTGTCAAATGGAAATGTGTTGGGGGATTTGGGGGTTGTCAGATGATTTAGGAGAGTAGACACTGCTAACATTTGGGGTTGAGGGTACGAGACACCAAAGGTCACCTAAAACCCATACTTGTCCTTTCGGACATTCTGGATGGAGGCTCTGCCAACCTTTCCAAGTCCCTGTCCTCTACTCTGGCAGCCACGAGAGCCACACAAGCAGCCCTGGCTTCCTTTTCTGTTTCTTAAACGTACCAAGCTGGTTGCTGCCTAAATATTTCACACCGGCAGTCTTTTCTCTTGGAGCAATCTCCCCTGCCCACTGCCAAGGGTTGAATGGCTGGTTCCTTCTTGTCCGCCCGGTCTCAGCTGTGACAGCACCAACTGAGAGAGGTCTTTCTTGATCACTCGGTCCAAGGTGGTCCCCCCGCCCCGAGACACTCTTTACTCCACCTGCCTTTCCTTCTCGTTCCCCCGTGGAAGGGCAGTGTGCTCTCCTTCCTCTCCCTGTTGTCTCTCTACCCCCACCAGAGTGTGTACCCCACAAGGACAAGAGCTGTAGGCTGCTCACCCCTGTATTCCCAGAACACGGTAGGAGTTCCGTCAGTGTTTATTAGACCTATGTTTGGAGCCTGCAATGTGCCAGATGCTATGCTGGGCACTGAAAGATGCGAGGTAGAACAAGCTCTTCCCACTACGGGGAGAGGTGTCTCTGGAATTTGTTTGGCAAAAGCCCCGTTGGCCTTTGGCATTCCTAGGGGAAAGCGCTGGGCACCAACACAGCCACCAAGACGTTATTCCTATGACCAGGCTGCTGCCTCAGTCCACAGGGGTGCGGGGCCCTCTCAACCTCCAGCCTGCTTAATCAGAGACACATCCCAGGGCCCTTGCCCTGTCAGCTCCCAACCCTCCCCTGACCCCACCCCACCCACCACATCCTGTCTCCGGAATCTAGAAGTCTGACAGTGTGCAGCCCCCCAGCAGGGCTCTGCGGCTAGCCCCACGCTGGGCCCCTCTGCCCAACCCCTGACACCCTGAGCACGTCATCAGGTGTGGCCGTCAGCATAGGAAGCAGCCATTGCACGTGGGAACGTTCCCCAAAGCCCCCACCCTCTCCAGACCACCTGCGATTTAGGCTTCCAGAATCCTACCTTGTCTCACGCGCAGACCCACTCAGGTTCAGAAGGATGGACCCACCCTGACCAGGACTTGGTCTTAAGGAGAGTGTTTCAAAAACTGCCTGACCTTCAACTTGATCCCAAATATCTCCTTGCTGACTCCGTGGGACTTCAGGTCGGTCAAGCCTCTGGGGCTTCTTGGCGAATCTCGAATTTGATGGTATATCTGGAAACCAGCTTCATGGGCTGTCTGCGGAGAGCAGTGGGCTTGAGCAAGACAACCAATGCTGTGGGAAGAGAATGCACTCGGAGAACGCACGGACTCATGGGGGCCAACACACACCGGGGCCTGTCGGAGGTCAATGGGGTCGGGGGAGGGAGCCTATCAGGAAGAACAGCCAATGCATGCTGGGCTTCATCCCTGGGTGATTCGATGGTCTCTGCTGCAAACCTCCATGGCACACCTTTACCTGCGTAACAAACCTGCGCATCCTGCACGTGTACCCCTGAACTTAAAATAAAAATTAGAAATTTGAAAAAAGAAAGAAAAGAAAATGCATTCAGAAATGGCAGTGAGCTGGCCCGGCTGGCACGCAGGTAGACACCCACTTGCTGAGACTCGAGATATCTGCTCCTGCCTTTGATTCTGGCACTGTCTCCAGAGCTTTGTGTTAAAAATGTAAATGTTATTATTCATATGCAACCTGGGAGGAGTAAAACATTAGTATTTCCGCACTGCCATTTTATCACCCTAGTAGATCAAATACCTGAGGAGAAAAAGCCGGAATAGGGTATCTAGGAAGAAGGAGGGGAAGGAAGTCCTGGAGACAAAGATTTTTGTTTCACAATTTTGCCTGAGGCCACACCTTCGTGATGCTCTCTGGAAGGGAACACCCCAGGCAGGAAAGGATCACCAGGTGTCAATCCCAGCTGGTATCACAGTCTGCCTCAGCCTTGCCCTAGGTCATTAGGAGTCAGAAGAACCACTGTCACCCTCTCCCCCGTTTAGAGATGTTAATCTGATCACTAACCTGTCTCTGCAAAGTGTGAACATTTGTTTTTCTTAGATCAGTTGATACAAGGTTGAAATTATTCAAAGGGAATTCTTAAAATATGAGACAGAAATGCAAAAAAACAGAAAATGCAGACAACTGTTTTCTCCTAACACAGTGCATCTCTTTCTGCGGGTGCAAATGGCCCTGCTGGCTGCTGGAATTTCCATGTCCTCAGAATCTAAGACTTCTGTTCAATAAAATTGTATCAAATCCCAGGGACATGGATGAAACTGGAAACCATCATTCTGAGCAAACTATCGCAAGGACAGAAAACCAAACACCGCATGTTCTCACTCATAGGTGGGAATTGAACAATGAAAACACTTGGACACAAGAAGGGGAACCTCACACACCGGGGCCTGTCGTGGGGTTGGGGGAGTGGGGAGGGATAGCATTAGGAGATATACCTAATGTAAATGATGAGTTAATGGGTGCAGCACCCCAACATGGCACATGTATACATATGTAACAAACCTGAACCTTGTGCACATGTACCCTAAAACTTAAAGTATAATAATAATAAAATTTAAAAAAATTGTGTCAAATCCATAGGTGTTTCATTTTTTCTTCAAGTTAAGCAAGCTTTATTATGTTATAACTTATTTGCACAGAAGCGATAGACTACAATAATATAAACTGCAGTGTAGATTGTAGTCAAACTTTCTAGTATCATGTATTTTCATTTGATCTACACATTTCAATCAAGCATATCTAATATATTTGCTGAAACCACTTGGAAGCTTGGACCAGGGGCTCACGTGAACCTCAGACTGAAGTCGTAGCTTCAGTGTGGTGTTGCCACTGTGCCTTCCTGGGGTGGGGCTCCGGGAGTGTGGGGGCAGAGCCAAACTTCTGCCTGCAGCCCAGGCTGCTGGAGCCGTGGCCTGGGTGGCACCTCCCAGCTGAGGCGGGGGCTACTCTCTCTGGCCCCCAGGCATTGCAGAGACAATCACCATGAACCACGAGGACGCTTCCTTTGTCCTTCTGGAAGGGTCTGTGGCTCTCAGCCTCCTCTCGCCCCAGCCTTCTCTGTCATAGTCCTCGCTCTGTCACTAACCAGCTGTGACCAAGGGCTTTGGGATCCATACTTGGGACTGGTCTCTCTACTTCAGTGCTTTGCAGTTTGACTTTCTGCAGTGATGGAGACATTCAATATGGCAGCCACTAGCCAAGCAGAGGGGGCTTCTCAGCACTTACAACATGGCCAATGTGCCTGAGGAACTGAGGTTCGAATTCTATTTCATCGTCATTAATTTAAATGTAAAAGGCCAGACATGGTGGCTCATGCCTGTAATCCCAGCACTTTGAGAGGCTGAGGCGGGTGAATCACCTGAGGTCACGAGTTCAAGACCAGCCTGGCCAACATAGTGAAAGCCCATCTCTACTAAAAATACAAAAAGGGGTGGTGTCATGTGCCTGTAATCCCAGCTACTTGGGAGGCTGAGGCAGGAGAATTGCTTGAACCCACGAGGTGGAGATTGCAGCCAAGATCACGCCACTACGCTCCAACCTGGGCTACAGAGCAAGACTCCGTCTCAAAAAAAAAAAAATGTAAAGAAACAGATATGCTAGTGGCTACCATTCCAGACAGTGCAGCCCTGGCGAGTGGCCACATGGGCACCGCCGTCACCAGAGGCCCCTGGCGCCTGTCAGGAACCTACGCGCCAGCCCTCCAGGCTGCAGGGACATGCACCTTGGAGCTTACATTTAAAGACCTACCCAGTCTAAGAGATGCTTTCTTTTCATCATATCTGCGCAGCAGATTTATACCTTTAACCTTTAATTATAGCGTCAGCCTACGGAATGATCTGTTTCTCTCCAGGTTGGATAATGGGCTCTGCCACCACTAGGAGATCTTTACTTCTCCCTTGTGGGTGCCAGAGGGGGGTGCCACTGAGGAGAAATACCTGAGTGGAGAGGAGGAAACGCAGCCATACTGTGCAGCACCTAAATGCCAAGGAAAGGAGTTCAGGCGTGATGCCTTCAGCAGTGAAAAATCCTTGAAGATTATAGAGCAGAGGGGTAGCAAAGGTAGCAGACAGTGAAGGAAAGCCTGCGAGGTTGAAAGTCTAGAAGCATTGGATTTGGTTCTCTTCACTAGCTATGAAGAAGTATCTTATTCATAGCTCACATTTCTGAGACTCAATTTAATCTTTGTCTGTAAAATGGGGATAGTACCCACCTGTATTAGTTAGGAGTCTGCAGACAGAGTCAATAAAATACAGATAGATAGATACAGATATATAGTTACATAGATAGATATAGATATAGAATATATATATATATATGTATAGAAAGAGAGAGCGAGAGAGAGAAACCAGGCTTTAAGGAATTGGCTTACACAATTATGGAGGCTGACAAGTCCAAAATTTGTAGAGTGGGCCAGCAGGCTAGAGACCCAGGGAAGAGCCCACGTCGTGGTTCAAGTCCAAAGGCTGGCAGAATTCCTTCTTTCTCAGGGGAGGTCAGCCTTTTACTGCATTTAGGCCTTCAGCTGATTGGCTGAAGCCCACCCATATTCCAGAGGACAATCTCCTTTACTCCAAGTCCATCAACTTAAACGTTAATCTCATCCAATACATCCTCACACAAACACCCAGAATATTGTTTGACCAAACAGCTGGGCACCCTGAGGCCCGGCCAAGTTGACACATAAAATTAACCATCTGAACACCCTGTAGTGAGGGCCACATTCATTCACATGTTTGAGAGAATGTATATGACCATGTTTTGAAACTGTCACGTGCTGTAAGAATACAAGACCAATAGCCACATGAAAACATGCTCCATTACTAATCATCAGGGAAATGCAAATCAAAACCACAAGGAGGAGACACCACTCGCACCTGTCAGAATGGCTGTTATCAAAGAGGAAAGATACGTGCTGGCAAGGATGCGGAGGAGAGGCAGCCCTTGCATACTGCTGGCGGGAATGTGAATTAGCGCAGTCATTATGGAAAACTGTACGGACATTCTCAAAAAATTAAAAATGAAACTACCATACGATCCAGCAATCCCACTGCTGGCTATCTACCCAAAGGAAATGAAATCAGTGTGTCAAAGAGACATCTTCACCCACCCCCCACGTGCACTGTAGCACTGCTCACAATGGCCAAGACATGAAACAACCTAAGTGTCCATCAGTGGGTAAGTAGATAAAGAAAACATGGCATATAACATAACTGAATAGTATTCAGCCTAAAAAAGAAAAAAATCCTTCATTTGCATGGCCTGGATAAACCTGGAGGACGTTATGCTAAGTGAAATAAGCCAGGCACAGGGAGAAAATCCCGCAGGATCTCACTCCTATGTGGAATCTAAGAGAGTGTAACTGGCTGGGTGTGATGGCTCATGCCTGTAATCCCAGCACTTTGGGAGGCAGAGGCGGGAGGACTGCTGGAGCTCAGGAGCTCAAGACCAGCCTGGGCAACATAGTGAGAAGCCATCTCTACAAAAATTAGCTGGGCGTGGTGGCGCGCACCTGTAGTCTCAGGTACTTGGGAGGCTGAGGTGGGAGGATCACTTGAGCCCAGGAGGCAAAGGTTGCAGTGAGCTGAGATTGCACCACTGCACTCCAGCCTGTGTAACAGACTGAGACCCTGTCTGGAAAAAAAAAAAAAAAAAAAAAAAGATACTTTGGAAAAGAGGAGTCCTCGCCTCTGCTCCCAAATGTGCCGAAACACGAGACCCACAGGCAATCGACATGCCAGTCTGGGTCTTTAAGAAGAGAAAACAATGGGATTTAGAGTTAGAGGCCCTCAGCAGATGCCCAAACATGGAAATGGATGAATATTCATTAGAGTTGTTATCAGCCAGGATCCTGGCAGAAAACAAAATCATCTTGGCTGGTCCAAATGAAGAGACTGTAAAATGGAAGAGCCACTTACAGAGGTGAAGGCTGGGTGAAGGGAGGGTGGGTACAGCACAAAGCAAGCCCACCCCCTCGGTGGTTATTAAAGGTCACAGCCTGGCATGTAGCACCTCACACCATCAAAGCAATTTCACCCCCATCATCCTGCCTGACTCCCGCAACAGGCTTGTCGTGGGGTACGTTACAATCCCTATTTTACAAATTGGGCGACTGGATTGAAAAATGAAGCAACTTGCCCAGGGTCACAGGACTGTTCCCCGTCTTCACATGCCCTCGTCTTTCCACCACACCACACAGCTGTCCCCAGAGAGGGGACACAATGACGCACCTTGTAAAGTGAATTTACATTCAAGAATTTAAGAAGGATATTCCCAGGCATTATCTCCTAGCGGTGCTCACCCTGTAGCTGCTGCCCCCACGGGAAGAGAGTCACACGTGGCAGCTAAGTGATTCCCATAAGCACACACTGGACGATGCTACATGCTGCTCTCCATCCCTCCGATGGCTCGCTGTCACCCGGCCAAGACAGTAAAGAGCCCTCTGTCATCTGGCCCTGGCAGGTGATCTCCCGGACCTAACTTCCTTTGCCCAGGCTGGTATCGAACTCCTGGGCTCAAGCAATCTTCCCACCTCAGCCTCCCAAAGTACTGGGATTACAGGTGTGAGCCACCCACTACACCTGTTCTCCTCTTTCCTTAGGACACCCAAGTTAACCAGCTTCTCTGCTCCCCCTTAAACGTGTCAAGCACAGGCCCATCTCAGCTCCCACCCCCTCTGGCTGCTCATTTCACTTGGAATTCTCTTCCCCCAGGTTCCATATGGTGTACTTCCTCCCTTTATCCAGGTCTCTGCTAAAATATAAAAAAAAACTTTCCCAAGGAAGCCTTCCCTAGTTACCCTGCATGTAATCACGCGCGCGCGCACACACACACACACACACACACACACACACACACACTTCCCTTATCATTACTTGGCACTTTGTCTATCTGTTTATCACCTGCGGTCCCCACCAGCAAATAAGCTCCATGAAGGTGGGAAGTGTCTTCTCCTCATCGTCTCCAGTGCCTAGAGCAGTGCCCAGCACGTATAAAGGGCACAGAATTGTTGCTGAGTGAATGAAAGAGCAAATGCCGTGTGAAGAGGTGAGAGGGCCGGAAGGTGCAGAGGGTTGCACGCTGCGCACTGCGACCCGACGTCTCCCTCTTCTTCCTCCCCATTCCACGCTGGCTGCAGCTGTGATCTTCCAAATGTTGAATCAAGTGCCTCCTTGCAGAGCTTGGTCTATTAAATATTGCAGAGCCTCCTGGGCTGAACAGATGCTGAATGTCAGGAGAAAGTTTGTCTCCAGGAACAAAAGCAGGAAACACTCTCCTCACTCCCAGCCTCCAGATGTCAGAGGTCCCTAAGGCAGAGGGTGAAAGAGCCGCCAGGACAACATCCTGCCCTTGAGTATAGAGATAGATGCCCACCTCATCTCATTTCCCAGTTCCTTTTGGGCTTCCTTCAGGGAAATTCACTGTCCCTTCTGCCCCCAGTGCCTTCTCCCCACTTGCCTTCCTCATTAGCCCCATAGAAGCAAGACACCGAGGTGGGAAGGGGGACGAGGAGGACTGGGCCCTATTTCTCCCATCTATGTAAAGGGAGGGATATCAGGGAAGTCTCTGTCTGTGTACTCAAGTTTGGGATGCTGGGACATGTTTCGAATAGCAGGAAAGGACCCCAGAAATATATTATCCAGAGGAAACTGGCTAACTAGGAGGCATGGTTTGAAAAAAAAAAAAGACAGCGTCTGCAGCTTCCTGAGTAACATTTCCAAACAAGAACTGCCTGGCCCATAGCAGGGGCTGCTATGCGTCTGAAAGGATGGCAAGACTGCCATCCTTGAGTCTAGATGGGTGGGAGGGGACCCCCTCTGGAAGGCAGGACGCTGGTGCAGAGAGGGAGTCAGCTCTGTCTTCCGCACTGGGACCACTGTCTGGGGTCCCAGGCTTGGCCTGTGACGGCACACCATGTTCTCTCCCTCCTCATCCACCCTCCGGCCTGCCTCCAAGGACATGATCCAAAGCTTGACACAGGGAACCTTAAACAGTGAGGGAGGTAGAGCTGCCCCTGGAGTTCCAAGAAGGTATAATTACAGATTTTTCACACCATTCACCACTGACAGTGATCTTGAAACCCTGGAGGACTCTTTTTTTTGTTGTTGTTTTTTTGAGACAGAGTTTTGCTCTCGTCACCCAGGCTGAAGTGCAGTGGTATGATCCGCCGCCTCCCAGGTTCAAGCTATTCTCCTGCCTCAGCCTCCCAAGTAGCTGAGATTACAGATGCCCGCCACCACGCCCAGCTAATTTTTGCATTTTTACTAGAGACGGGGTTTTGCCATGTTGGCCAGGCTGGTCTTGAACTCCTGACCTCAGGTGATCCGCCCACCTCAGCCTTCCAAATTGCTGGGATTACAGATGTGAGCCGCCGCCTGGCCTGAGCCACCATGCCCGGCCAACTCTCTTTCAAAGTAGAGGGCCTGCCATGGTGTGGCACCTGGAGAAGGGGCAGTGAAGGATGGGAGTGGCAGGCCACGGACATGAAGCCGGTGGTGGGGACCTTATAGCTCCTCCTGCACAACAGCAGCCCTCAGAACCCAGGGCAGGAAGAGAGGAGGCAGGGCCCAGGCAGCAAGGATGGGGGGCCCAGGCAAGCCACTCTGGTCTCTCTGGACAAAACACCGGCCAACCATGGTCCACCTCTAGGCTCTGCAACAGTGGAGATGTCACCAACTGATGAAAGTGCATCGTGGTCTTTGGGTAGAGGGAAGGCCCAGAGGCCCACAGGAAAGCTGAGGCGCAGGCTGGGAATTGGGAGACCTGCTTCTATTTCAGGTCTGCCACTAGCTCCCTGTGTGTCTGGAGCAAACCACTTAACCCCTGAGGACCCCATTTTTCATCTGTGAAGTGGAATAACACATCCTGGGAGACTTTAGAGGGTCACGAGAGATGCTGTGCACACAGGCTGAGCTCCTTCCTGGGTCCCACCTCCAACCCTGACGACACTGACCTCTGCTTACCACGCCCACCCCACCATGCAGAGCCGCGCCTCCAGTGATGTGATAGGGGACAGTCCAGCCTCCATGGCCAGGACGGTGATGAGTGCCCACCCCCGGCTCTGTCCCTGCATCCAGGCTGTGGTTTCCATCATGAACACGTGATCCAGCCTTGCAGACAGCAGAGACAGAGCCCAGGGGACAGAACTAGCTCTGGGGTGGAGGTGCCTGTTCTTCCTCCCAGGAGTCGGAGAGGGAGCTGCAGAGGGAGCCACAGAGTCCCTGGGGCAGCAGATGGTCGCTGCACGCTTCCCTCAGCCACCTGCCTACAGCCGGGCAGTGGCCCCTGTTGTTCATGCCCGGGACCAACCCCTGTGAAGCTAGGGGGCCCTTGGCAGGGGTCTTCAAGGCTAGAGGTTCCTGGATTTATTTTCAGGACCACGTATGTGTGTATTTGCTTGGTGAGAAGCGGCGCTGAGGGTAAATTGCAGAGGGGCTGAGGTGCTGCAAGGAACACAGATGAGGTCCCACGACACCCACCTGTGCACTTCTGTTCCTCCTATTCCAAAGCCCCAAAGAGCATAGAGGGCTGTCCTACATCTACCAGAAAAGGCTTTGCGACAAGGCCGATCTGCTGGTGGGAGGCCTACGACAGGCATCACGAGGGTCCTCCTAAGGTAACCATCCATCCTGGCATCCTGGGACAGAAGAGTTCCCAGGGTGTGGGACTTCCAGCACTAAAACCAAGACAGTCCTCGGCACACCAGGATGAGTTGGACTTTGGAGTCCTGCAAGCAGGCGCTCAGCACCAGCACGGGTGACCATCCTGGCATCCTGGGACAGAAGAGTTCCCAGGGTGTGGGACTTCCAGCACTAAAACCAAGACAGTCCTCGGCACACCAGGATGAGTTGGACTTTGGAGTCCTGCAAGCAGGCGCTCAGCACCAGCACGGGTGACCATCCTGGCATCCTGGGACAGAAGAGTTCCCAGGGTGTGGGACTTCCAGCACTAAAACCAAGACAGTCCTCGGCACACCAGGATGAGTTGGACTTTGGAGTCCTGCAAGCAGGCGCTCAGCACCAGCACGGGTGACCATCCTGGCATCCTGGGACAGAAGAGTTCCCAGGGTGTGGGACTTCCAGCACTAAAACCAAGACAGTCCTCGGCACACCAGGATGAGTTGGACTTTGGAGTCCTGCAAGCAGGTGCTCAGCACCAGCACGGGTGACCATCCTGGCATCCTGGGACAGAAGAGTTCCCAGGGTGTGGGACTTCCAGCACTAAAACCAAGACAGTCCTCGGCACACCAGGATGAGTTGGACTTTGGAGTCCTGCAAGCAGGCGCTCAGCACCAGCACGGGTGACCATCCTGGCATCCTGGGACAGAAGAGTTCCCAGGGTGTGGGACTTCCAGCACTAAAACCAAGACAGTCCTCGGCACACCAGGATGAGTTGGACTTTGGAGTCCTGCAAGCAGGCGCTCAGCACCAGCACGGGTGACTTTGCTATTCTAAACCAGCCTCCTCTCTCAAATTTCCCACCCTCCACGAAACTCTCCAGCCCTCTTCTGGCAGCGCCTCCACCAGCCCCGAAAGAATGGAAAAGGCAACCGTTGAGGGCCACCTGGAGAGTGTGTCCCTGGAACTCAATCCTCATTTGCCAAGCCCCATCCTTCCCCCTCTTACCAGGTGGGTTGCCTTGGCACGCAACTTCGTGCCTCAGCTCTCTGCATCTGTAAAGTGGGAATCCTAATAACACCTCTTTGTAGTAGCAGAATCGTCCTGGGGAACAGACGAGTGAAAACGGGTCAACCTCTTAACAGAGTGCTGGCTCACAGCAAATGTCACATAAATCTTGGCTATTGCTATTACTATGCACAGAGAACATGAGATATTCTCATAGGGACTTACATGTGTCACCTTGTCTAATTAAAAATAAATTTTTTAAAGCCTTGAGACAGATGGTATTAATCCCTGTTTGACAGATCAGGAAATAGGCTTAGAGAAGTAATGGGGAGATTGGGGGTCAGGGCAGGGCAGGGCCAGAGGAGCAAAGATGGATATTCAGAGCCACGGTGAATGCTTGTAAAAATCCCAATCCTGCGTGCAGCCTTCCCCAGCTGCTCAATGTGCCAAGGCTGAAGTTCCAGTGTCCAGTGTACTATGAGCCCTGCTCCAAGCCATCCTATGCCTGCCTTCCCTGGCCTCTTCAGGCCTCATGTGTTCTGGATCTCTCCTTTCTGTTTTCACGCTCCCTGCCCCCCTACCCCAAGAGCTCCTCACCCTGCCATGCACCCGTACCTGGCTGGCCCCTTCTCGTGGGCCAGCAGCCCGTCAGGCAACCATGCCAACTGAGTGAGCCCTTAGTGCAGGGCACAGTCTCACAACAGTGCCCAACAGGTCCCAGGCCCAGATGCCCCTGAGAAGGTCCCTGAGCTGCCTCTGCTCATTAGGACTTTCCCCTGGCTCCCACTCGGTCCTGCCTCACACTGGCTGCAGTCGTGACTGGATGTTTATGTGTTCATTTGTCAATATCTGCCACCCCCTCTAGACTCCATGAGGGCAGGAACTGTTCCTGACTTATTACCATCTGTGGCACATACTAGGTACTAACTAAATAAGAATTGCATGACTATAAAGTGGATGAGTGAATGCGAAATAGTATCGTGGCCGGAATTGGTGGGTTCTTGGTCTCACTGACTTCAAGAACGAAGCCGTGGACCCGCGCGGTGAGTGTTACAATTCTTAAGGTGGCGTGTCTGGAGTTTGTTCCTTCTGGTGTTTGGATGTGTTCGGAGTTTCTTCCTTCTGGTGGGTTTGTGGTCTCGCTGGCTCAGGAGTGAAGCTGCAGACCTTCACGGTGAGTGTTACAGCCCTTAAGGCAGCGCGTCTGGAGTTGTCCATTCCTCCCAGTGGGCTCGTGGTCTCGCTGGGCTCAGCAGTGAAGCTGCAGATCTTTGCGGTGAGCGTTACAGCTCATAAAAGCAGCGTGGACCCAAAGAGAGAGCAGTAGCAAGATTTATTGCAAAGAGCAAAAGAACAAAGCTTCCACAGTGTGGAAGGGAACCCGAGTGGGTTGCCGCTGCTGGCTGGGGCAGCTTGCTTTTATTCTCTTATCTGGCCCCACCCACATCCTGCTGATTGGTAGAGCCGAGTGGCCTGTTTTGACAGGGTGCTGATTGGTGAGTTTACAATCCCTGAGCTAGACACAAACGTTCTCCACGTCCCCATCAGATTAGTTAGATACAGAGTGTCGACACACAGGTTCTCCAAGGCCCCACCAGAGTAGCTAGATACAGAGTGTCGATAGGTGCACTCACAAACCCTGAGCTAGACACAGGGTGCTGATTGGTGTGTTTACAATCCCTGAGCTAGATATAAAGACTCTCCACGTCCCCACCAGACCCAGGAGCCCAGCTGGCTTCACCCAGTGGATCCCGCACCGGGGCTGCAGGTGGAGCTGCCTGCCGGTCCCGGTGCCCTGCTCCCGCACTCCTCAGCCCTTGGGTGGTCGATGGGACTGGGCGCCGTGGAGCGGGGGGCGGCGCTCGTCGGGGAGGGGGTGGGAGGCTCAGGCAAGGCGGGCTGCGGGTCCCGAGCCCTGCCCCGCGGGAAGGCAGCTAAGGCCCGGCGAGAAATCGAGCACAGCGCCGGTGGGCTGGCACTGCTGGGGGACCCAGTACACCCTCCGCAGCGACTGGCCCGGGTGCTAAGTCCCTCATTGCCCGGGGCCAGCAGGGCTGGCCGGCTGCTCCGAGTGCGGGGCCCGCCAAGCCCACGCCCCCCCGGAACTCCAGCTGGCCCGCAAGCGCCGCACGCAGCCCGGGTTCCCGCTGGAGCCTCTCCCTCCACACCTCCCTGCAAGCTGAGGGAGCCGGCTCCGGCCTTGGCCAGCCCAGAAAGGGGCTCCCACAGTGCAGTGGGGGGCTGAAGGGCTCCTCAAGTGCCGCCAAAGTAGGAGCCCAGGCAGGGGAGGTGCCGAGAGCGAGCGAGGGCTCTGAGGACTGCCAGCACGCTGTCACCTGGGTTACCTAGGTCACCTGTTTGGATTGTCAGAGCACCACCAAATGGGGTAAAAGAATATTTCTGATGATACCTATATGAGAGCCCCAACCAAAGGACCTGGCTCTGCTTAGAGGGCTCAACATCACGTTCGGAGTTTCCGGCATAGCTTCTGCCACCACAGTGTCAACGACAGAGACCTGCTCTGTGGCTCACTATGACATCCCCAGGGATGACCACAGTCCCGGCACGCAGCAGGGACTTCATGCGCTTTTGTTAAATGAATAAATGTCACCAGCAGGTGTGGCTTCAGTGCAGTCATATTTCTGTATTTAAGCTGGAATCCTATTTCATTGATCGAATATTAACTGGAAAACTATATTCTCTGGAAATTACCCAGAAGCTCCCTGAAAAATGTGATACTTACCTAGGTCAGGGCCTGAGCATTCGAACATCAGGATATCAAACTGGCAGACCTCGCTGCCATTGTCCCTCTACAAAGAGCAGTGATATAATCCACACAATAAACACAGACAATTTCCATTCAAGTCCAGTATCCGCACTTAGGTCACAGTTCTTTGGAAAAGCGTCTTTCCTGAGCCTCAGTTTATTCATCTATAAATGGAGACGATAAAAATACCGACCACACAGGGGAACTGAAGGATTAAACTCAATGTTATCTGGCACACAAAGAGCAGCTATTATTACAATTGTTTAAACAGAAGGTATCATTTCAAAAGGAAGCTGTTTAAAGCTCTGAAGATATTTTGTAGCATTTTCCTGACGTCATTCTATAGACAGAAAAGAGTCAGGAAATTCCTTGAAAAGTGCAGTCTTAATGAGAGTGTTCCTTCCAAACCCCACTTCCACCACAATCAACTACCCAGTTTGAGGTGGATTCTGATTGAAATTAAAAAAAAAAAAAATTTGGCAAGATGAATGTATATTGCAAAACAAAATGTGTTGCTTTTAAAGTGATTTTGGAGCCTCGGTAATTAGTCTAGCAAGTTCCAAAGACACATTCTGTAGTCATCATTCCGTATTTGTTTCCTTTGGTAATCTGCCTTTCTTCAAAAAAAAAAAAAAAAAATCAACTGGGGAAAAACATCTGTTCGGAAGCTGCCTGGGACTGAAGGCCCCCACCCTCCCCAGCTTTGCTGGGCTCTGTATTATAAGGAAACTCCCTTGAATCCCACATTTTTTCTTCCTGCCAGGCTGCTCTTGGGTCACTTCTCAGCTCTGGTGGCTGCTGAAACGAGACAGATGCTGCTATACAAAATAACTCAAGAACATACCAAAGCCTGTTGCTTCCAGCACTTGGAAAATCTGACATTCAAATATGCAAATATTTTATGGCACGAAGAGAGAAAAAAAGAGAGAAGGAGCTGCAAAGTCACATTTGAAACGAAACATACTAGAGATGAAAGCAAACTGGAATTTACACTTCTGGATTATAATTAAACTGGTGCTATTATCAGAGAAAAGCACAGAATTCGCCATGATTTGCTGCAAGGGTCTCTCGTTACTGCTGAAGTCACCAGACATGTCACCCAGTCTCCAGCACCTGCACGATGACAGAGCTGGATTTGCAGCCCTGGATGTGAGCCTCATTGTCAGCCTTACAGAAATGCCCTTGGCAGAGAGGACAGGGAGGGGAACGAGGCAGGAAAGCCATACCACTGTCTTCACCCCGTTTTCCACAGTGCAGTGTTTGTGTTCCTCTCGATATCTGGATTAAAATTCTGTTGAACAATCACCAGCCTCCACACAAACTTTGAGTTCGTTTTCTTGGAGCTATGAAGGAATGAGCCTTACCGTCAGGCTTACCATTGCGGAAGGTGAAGTGAAAAGAAAAGCAAACCAGAAGGCCTAAGTCAATCGGGGTCAGACCATTAATAGCGGAGTTATTCTGATCAGTGACTTAACCTCTTAGAGACCCTCTCTCCCCATACGCGTGAGGGGAGTTAGTCCAGAGGATTCCAAAGCCATCTTCCAGATCTCGGAGTCTGTGAAAGACTGTAGTAGAAAGAGAAGAAGCCAATGAACCTGTGTTTAAATCATAGCTTTGTTATTGACTCGCTTTTGAACTTGGACAGCTTGCTTGGAATCGTGCAGCTGGGGCTTCTCGTGTAGAACAAGGACAATAGCACCTGGCTCACAAGGTTGCTGAAAAGTTTAGCTGCAATTATGTTGGTAAAACATTTGACGTAGCGTGAATTCTGCTTTTACTCCCTGTTTCTTGTTTGTTTGTTTGTTTGTTTGTTTGTTTGTTTGTTTGTTTTACGACAGAGTCTCACTCTGTCGCCCAGGCTGGAGTGCGGTGCCACAATCCTGGCTCACTGCAACCTCCACCTCCCAAGTTCAAGCAATTCTCCTGCCTCAGCCTCCCAAGTAGCTTGTATTACAGGTGTGTGCCACCACACTCGGCTAATTTTTATATTTTTAGTTGAGACGGGGTTTCACCATGTTGGCCAGGCTGGTCTCGAACTCCTGACCTCAGGTGATCCACCCGCCTCGGCCTCCCAAAGTGCTGGGGTTACAGGCATGAGCCACCGAGACCGGCCTACTCCCTGTTTCTTATAATTTCTTTTCCTTTGTGATGGAAGCCAAAGAACACAACCAGACGAATCATGATGAGAACCAAAGATCGTGACTGGGATGCCTGCAAGGTGAACCTCATCAATACCATTTTCAGGCCCACTGCAATAAACTTTGAAGGTCTACATTCAGGCCCAGTCATACATGGGACTAGCCACTTAACTGAAAGACCATTTATGGGACTTTTTGATTTCTAACTGGCCATTCCCCGATGCCAAATGTACTTCTGAACATGTCCTGCCATCATCAACTAGCATGTATTTAGTGCATACAAATTTATTTTTAATACCAATCTGGCAATAAAGGGTGAACTTTACTATCTGACTCCTCCTGGCCTCTTAAATCACAGAAAGATACAGAAATTAGTTTTTTGTTGTATGGCTGGGGTGCAGTGGTGCAATCATAGCTCACCATAGCCTCAAATTCTGGGCTCAGGCCTCCCAAGTAGCTAGGATTACAGGCATGAGACATGATGCCTAGCTAATGATTTTTTTATTTTTGTAGAGATGGAGTCTTGCTATATTGCCCGGGCTGGTCTCAAACTCCTGAGCTCAAGTGATCCTTCTGCCTTGGCCTCCTAAAGTGTTGGAATTACAGGCATGAGCCAGTGTGCCAGGCCTAGAAATGAATTTTGTTCATCTGTAACACTTTTCCCCCTTACTTGACATAGACCCTGAAATTTATTAATCTACTTAATTCAATCAGTTGATTCCACTGGCATTTGTGCCATATTTTTTAATACCGAGACCTATGATGTACCAAGTACTATGCTAAGCGCAGAGTAAACAAGAGGAACATTTCTTTGTTTTTGTTTTGTTTTGTTTTGTTTTGTTTTGTTTTGTTTTGTTTTGTTTGAGACAGGGTCTTGCCATGTCACCCAGGCTGGAGTGTTGTGGCATGATCTTGGCTAACTGCAACCTCTGTGTCCCAGGTTCAAGTGATTCTCCAACCTCAGCCTCCTGAGTAGCTGGGATTACAGGCATGTGCTACCATACCCATCTAATTTTTGTGTTTTTATTAGAGACAGGGTTTCACCATGTTGGCCAGGCTGGTCTCAAACTCCTGACCTCAAGTGATCAGCCCACCTCGGCCCCCCAAAGTGCTGGGATTACAGGTGGGAGCCACTGTTCCTGGCCCATTTATTTGCTTTCGATAGGATGAGGCAACTCTCCTTTATCAGCAGGTTTGGCTACATTAAAAGACGTTATTGTAGAGAACATAATGAAAGAAGCCTGCCTCCTAGAGAAACAGAAGAGCACGTCGTGTTAGTTATCTATTGCTATTTAACAAATCACTCCAAAACTTAGCAGCTTAAAACAATAAACATGTATTATTTCACACAGCTTCTAGACTCAAGGAGGAATCAGCTCAGCTTGATGGTTCTGGCTCAGGGAGCCTCTCAAGGCTGTAGGTGAGACGGAAGTCATCTGAAGGTGACCGGGGCTGGAGGGTCTACGTCCAGGTGGCCACCCACACACCTGGAAGGGCAGCCCTGGCTGCTGGCAGGTGGCCTCCTTCCTCCCCTGGTGGCGCTCTCTCACGGGGATGTTAGAGTGGCCTCAGGACATGGTAGCTGGCTTCCCCTAGAGAGAGTGATCCAGGAGAAAGCTAGCATGAGCCACAATGGCTTTTATGACCCAGTCTTTGGAATTCACATTCTGCTACTTCTGCAATTTCCTATTGGTCACACAGGCCAAGTCCACTCAGTATGGGAGGGGGTTACAAAGAATGTGGATGCCAGGAGGCGAGGATCGTCAGGGGCCATACAGGGGGTTGGCCAGCACACATAATTGGACAGCAAGGCTGAGCGTGGTGGCTCATGCCTATAATCCTAGCACTTTGGGAAGCTGAGGCAAGCAGATCGCTGGTGCTCAGGAGTTTGAGAACAGCCCGGTCAACATGGCAAAACACTGTCGCTACAAAAAATATAAAAATCAGCCGTGCTTGGTGGCACATGCCTGTGGTCCCAGCTACTCTGGGAGGCTGAAGTGAGAGGATCGCTTGAGCTCAGGGATTCCTGGTTGCAGTGAGCTATGATTGTACCACTGCACTCCAGCCTGGGCGACAGAGCAAGATCCTGTCTCTTAAAACAAAAATTAAATTAATTAATAATTATAACAGAGAATGAACCTCAGTTACATTGACAAATGTTACTCTATAAGACACCATTGCAAGGCTCCTGATTTTGCACTAGGCAGATAACTGTGGCTTCCATTGCACTGCCTGAGGCGGGTCCTTGAGGGAGTGCCTCCTGGGTATTTGCTAGTGCTGAGTGCCCACAGCCTCTGCCCCCAAGTAAATGCAGCTCCCTTTAGCCCCTTGAGCACAGGTGATCTCTCCCTGCTGCCCTTTGAGAGGCTGACTACTGATGAAGCCGAAACCCACCTCTCCTCTCCCTGCTCTGTTAGACCTGAAGACACAAAGTGGAAGGAAGGTGAGGAAGGCATCAAAAATCTGCCCATCAGTGAGCTGCTCTGCTTCAAGGCTGCTCTGATGGCACAGGGCTGATGTGACTCCTGGGCCCGCAGCGCTTTGGGAATCAAGCCTGATCTTAGAGGTTGGCGGGTTCTGCTGACACTGTTTAACCTGGTGAATAATAATAAAAACCTGGACCGGTCTGCTCAGAACCACCCAGCTGGGGCCATCCAGGGAGAACACAGGGCAGAGACATGCTGGCCTGAGCTGGAAGGCAGCTGGGACCTTGTAGCCTGTGAGAATGACGTCATCTGACAAGAGAAACCTGCAGAGTGAAGCAGAGCTACTCCACCGGCCTCCACACACTGCAGGACTCAAGGTAGGTGTCAGGACCTCTGCAAGGAGGAAGCAGATCTGTCCCAAGGCACCTTATGCAAACAGCAGAGCTGCCAAGGGTGAGTTGAGATGCAAATACTGAGGACAGAGATAACAGCATTTCCCTGAGCCCTTGGCTCAGCAGGAAGACAGTTCACCTTCCACAGCAGTCGGGAGCTTCTGAGCTGCCTGGAGAAGCCACCCAAGCCCTTCCCAGCCTCCCTGCCTCTGATCACTACCCTACATCTAGAAAGAATGCACAGCAGAGCCAGCGGCCTCTGAGCCCTTCCCTTCTACAGTGGTCTCCACACCCAAGACAGATAACAAATGCAGGCTCAGAACCATCTTACTCTTCCTAGGAGCTGCAAGAGTGTGCCTAGCTCTAATCTAGTTGTTTTGCATAAATTGTTTCAAATCTGGGTTTATATTGTTCCCTGTTTTAGAGCCTTCTTGTCCCAAATATGCATTCTTTGCTTTTTTCAGCACATACTCAGACAGAGAGGCATCTGTACATTTTCCCCTTTAATTGGAAAGGAAGATCTGAGTCCCTAATCCCTATCCACATGGCCACGCCAAGGCATCCTTACCCGACAAAGGGCTTTAGTACACACACACACACACAAACACACACACACGGACATACACATACATACGTATACACATATACTCTACTAAAACAAATGTTAGAGAACGTATATGTAAATAATATTATACATTTCTTAGAGTATTTAGAAAAAGGCAAATACCCTAGAAGAAAAATTGACAGGAAACCTGAAAAAGCAGTTAACAGCAGAGAATATCCAAATGGCCATTCAATACATGAGAATTTCTCAGTGGTCAAGAAAATGCAAGTTAAAACTATAGTGAGTTACCACTACACACCCATCAGAGTAGTTAAAATTGAAAGGACTGATAATACACACAGGGGCAGTGGCTCACGCCTGTAATCCCAGCACTTTGGGAGGCTGAGGCAGGCAGATCACTTCAGGCCAGGAGTTCGAGACCAGCCTGACCACCGTGGTGAAACCCCGTCTCTATTAAAAATGCAAAAATTAGCTGGGTGTGGTGGCGGGCATCTGTAATCGAATCTGGGAGGCAGAGGTTGCAATGAGATGAGATGGTGCCACTGCACTCCAGCCTGGGCGACAGAGTGAGACTCTGTCTCGAAAAAAAAAAAAAAAAAAAAAAGGACTGATAGTACAATGTTCACAAGGCTGTAGAACAACAGGCACTCTCTTGTGTTCCCGGTAGCAGTTGGAAATGGTATAATCACTACAGAAGACTGTCAATATCCATTACAGTTGAACAAATGCACCCCCCATGACTTAGCAACCTTACTGCTAGACACATACCCTACAGAAATGCATGCACATGTCCCCCAAAGGGCACATGTTAGAATTTCATAGCAGCAGCATGATTTGTATAATGAAAAGGATTAAAAACAAGCCAAATGTCCATCACCAGTGAAACGAATAAATTGTGGTATATTCATATAGTAGAATAACCAATAAAAATTAATGAACTACAGTTATACAAAACAACATGGCTAAATCTCAGAACATAACCTTTAAACATAATCTCTCATAAAAGAAAGTAAACACAAGGAATACATGCCATGTGGTCCATTTATACACAATTTACAAAGGGCAAGACTGCTAGTTTTTAGTAATGAAAGTTTAGGTAGTAAAACTATGTTGGTTTTCATAAGAGAAATGATCATGATCACCTTCAGGGCAATGGGAGGGGTGGTGATTGGGACCAGTTGTGAAGACAGAAGCTACTAGGATATTGGCAATGTTCTGTTTTCTTGACCTTGGGTGGTAGATATATAGGAATTTGATCTATGATAATTCATTGACCTGTACATTTTTGTTGTGCATTTTTTTTTGTTTGAGCATATATTCAACAATAAAAACAGTAACTGGCTGGGCGCGTGGCTCACACCTATAATCCTACACTTTGGGAGGCCAAGACGGGAGGATCACTTGAGGCCAGGAGTTTGTGACCAGCCTGGGCAACATACTGAGACCCTACCTCTACGAAAAAAATTTTTAAGTAGCCAGGCATGGTAGTATGCAGCAGTAGTCTCAGCTTCTTGGGAGTCTGAGGTAGGAGGATTGCTTGAGCCTGGGAGTTCAAGTCTGCAGTGAACCATGATTCATGCCACTGCTCTCCAGACTGAACAGCAGAGCAAGACTCTGTCTCAAAAAAAAAAAAAAGGTAGGTGTGGATAGTCACAACGGTAGCAGTTGTGCTTCTTGCTTTCCCTTAGTTACCTTGATCAGTTCAGCCTAAAATTTGAGATGGCAGAAAGTACTATGAATCTGGAATTACATCAAGAAAGTTATTTTCCTTCTTTAAGATTCAGTGATTATATCTTAAAATGTGATACTACCTATTGTAGATGGTGCTTATGAGGATTAAATCAATGAACATGGGAATGTGTTTGGCACATGCTAGATACCCAAAGTTTGTTCCTCTAGTAGTAGCAATAGTTGCTGTTGGTGATGGTGGTGGTGGTGGTCATGATGGTGATGGTGGTGGTGGTGATGGTGGTATTGTTGTTTAACTTAGGACATCAAATAGTGAGGCATTATAGGAAGGAAGACCAGACCTGGAGGCTGTGAGCTGCTGTTCTGGTTATGTATTGCTACATACCATTCACATTATCCTATAACCTAGTGGTTCAAAACAACAATTTGCTTGTACTTACAGCCACAAGAAAGGCAGGGTTCAGCTGAGCAGTTCTTACTGAGGGTCTCTCATGAGGTTGCATTCAGACCTTGACTGAAGCTGCAGTCAGTGAAGGCTCAGCTCAGCTGGGTCTCCAAGAGGCTGGCTCAGGTGCTTGGTGGTTGCTGCTGGCTTTTGGCTGAAAGCTCACTTGGAGCTACTGGCTCTGCCTTTGGTCTGGGCTTCCTCACAACAGGTGATCCCGTCTCTGAAAGTGAGTATCCCAGTGGGCAAAGTAGAAGCTGCATTGTTTTTTATGACATAGCTTTGGAAGTCATCTAGTGTCACTTCTCCATAATTCGTTGGTTAAGGTAGTCACAAACATGCCCAGATTCAGGGATAGGGGCATAGAATTTGCCTCATCTTTTGGTGTTCAGTTTACCATGAACACTAAGATTGTGTGTGAATTCTGGAAACCATTCCTCTGACATTATAAGCAGCCTTGCATAATGGTTAAGAGTTCTGTCTGGGTTCAAATTCTGACTCTGCCACTTATCCTTTGGAAGTTACTTAAAGTTCCTGTGTCTTAGACTCCTCATTGGTAAGCTGAAGTACTACCTTCACGGACTCTTTTGGAAGGAGTATGTGGTCCATGGTGAACAAGCTCAATGAATGTTATCTTTTAGTATTGTTTCCGCCTAGAACGATATTCAACCCCATGGTGTTGGGCTCCGGTCCTGTCACTCCTAACATCATTCTTAGGCACCCCACATGCTTCCTATGGAGATAGCTTCCTTCCCGGAATCTCAGCCATATGGCTGCCTCTGGAAAGGATGGGCCAGGCCGTTACAGTGGGAAGAACCCTCGAATTGCAGCTGGGCAGGCCTGAGTCCAAATCTTGCTTCTGCCTCCTATTTGAGGGACGTGGGATACATTGCCTGTTCTCTGAGAGGTGGTCTCCTTATCTGTAAAGAGGAGGAAAATGAAACCTCCTTGACAAAGGGGCTGAAGAAATTCAGTGAGAAAGTGTTGATGGGATCACTTAGTACAGTGTCCAACACTTCATGGGTATTTGGATTTTTTGTTTATTTTTAGTTTTCAGAAGAAAAAGAATATAAATCTCAGAGATCACCAAAGAAGCATATCTCAGTGGCCGAAATAAACACCTCAGTTAAACCATTCATCTTCTTTGACCAAGTTCAGGGAAGCATAAAATCTTTGCTGAGGTACTTCTGTTAGAGTGGGAAGAGCCCATTTGCTCATTCTTTCATGCAACGGATATTTATTAAATACCTACTGTGCACAAACAAGCAAAAACAAACAAGTGGGGGTCTTCACTGCCTCCTAAAGGGGTCTCCTCCAGCTCAAGAGAAGATACTACCCACACCAGCAGCCCAGAGGAGCATTGCAGTGGACAAAGGCTTGCTCTGGTGAATGTCCAGTGATGGTCTGTGGTTCCCGACATGGCTGAGGTACAAGGACAGCGTAGTGGAGTGTGAGATGAGGTTAAGGGTGCCACTGCAGGAAGTCGAGGCACAGGCCTTTTCTGAATTTATAGAAAACATCAAGGCCAGAGTTGGATGGAGCCCAGTGGTGCAAGGGGAACTGCACCAGGTCTGACCAGCAACCCTAGGGAAGAGAGTCGAGGGAACGTGGATCTAGAAGCAATGATTTCCCTCTCTCAGGGATTTAAAACCCACAAGCAATGAGGCGCTGGAGATCAGGATTGAATGCCACTCTCCCACTGGGGCTTTACAAACTGCCCAGCCCAGCTGACGGCTCCTTCAAACAAGGAGGCAGCTCTGCTCTACAAAGACAAGGTGGTGGTTGAACTCAGGGCCCCTGGAGCAAGGGCTCTCTACCCACAGTCCTCACAACAATGGGATGCTGGGGGCCACAGGGGAGTCCCGGCTCTGGGAAGAGTATTGCTGCTTCCTCTTCCTTGGATTCCAGCCACCAATGAATTTACCATTTCTCCACTCAGAAAATGTGAGGCACCCCAGAGTTTCTAGATAGAACAAAGCGTATGCACCCCCAAGTAAACTTGTGTTTCAGCTTTTTTATAATGACTACATTCAGTCTCCACAGAGGCTATTTCCATAGAGCCCTCAAAATGAAAACTATACAAATGGGCCAAAGCCAAACAAAATGAGAATAGGTTTGTCACATTTTTGACAAACTGCCCAAAAGTTTGTCAATAGCACTCAGTTCTCTGAAGTCACCTCATGACATCTACTCCATCCACCTCTCAGAAGTCACAGCCAGCCGCAAGTTTCTGCCATCGGAAGGGCACACAGGTCTGCACTTCCGTCCGCTAAAAGAAATAGACTTAGGAAAATAATTGAGGGTTCAGGGGAAGAAGAGTTTCCTGAGGGGACAGCCAGGGACAGATTAAACAAATTACATCAGGGTGACAAACACACTTACCTTGATCTATGCATTATATAAATACTGAATGTCTCATTTTATTTTTCTTAACTTAGTTTTCTGTGTCCTACGGATGGTTGCTCATATCATGCTGTCCATCTTTAGACTTGATTCCTCAAAGACAGGTCTTTGTCTCAAATAATAATTTTTATTTAAAAACATGAACAAGGCCAGGTGCAGTGGCTCATGCCTGTAATCCCTGCACTTTGGGAGGCCAAGGCAGGGGGATCGCTTGAGCCTAGGAGTTTGAGAGCAGCCTGGGCAACATAGTGAGATCCTGTCTCTACAAAAAATACAAAAACTAGCCAGGCAGGATGGCACAAGTCTATAGTCCCAACTACTGGGGAAGCTGAGGTGGGAGGATTGCTTGATCCCAGGAGTTCAAGGCTGCAGTGAGCCATGATCGCTCCACTGCACTCCAGTCTGGGTGACAGAGCAAGGTGCTGTCTCAAAGAGAAATTTGGAAACACCCAAGGAAGTGTATCCCCTGCCTAAAAGCGAGAGCCTAAGCATGACGGAACTGCTGCTGGCAACCCTGGGAGAGAGGCAGGAGGGTTCTGATGTAAAATGTTCCTGATAACTAAGAACAAAAAACTGGAAAAAGCAGACTAGCGATAATATTTGTCAGGGGCACATGATTAGATTAAGTGTTAGAAGAAGGAGCCTAAAAATGGTGTAGAGAGAGAACCATAAGCAGACAAAGCCAAGTTACAGCCATTATAAGGAGCACTGGGAGCCCCTGCAAAGCCCCAAACACCTCACATGGGGGCACTGGAGAGTTGGTGGCCGAAGGGTCCAAGACCTCAGTGAGGCAGGAGGAACAAGTGCAGTTAATAATCATGCGCTGTAGCCTTGGAGGTTGCTAAGGGATTTTAAGTGTTCACAACACACAGTGATAAATATATGAGGTAATGTGTATGTTAATTAGCTCAGTTTAGCCATTCCATAATGTATCAAAACATCACAGGCCGGATGTGATGGCTCACGCCTGTAATTCCAACACTTGGGGAGGCCGAGGCAGGTGAATCACTTGAGTTCAGGAGTTCGAGACCAGCCTGGCCAACATGGCAAAACCCCATCTCTACTGAAAAAGCACAAAAATTTGCCGGGCGTGGTGGCACACACCTGTAGTCCCAGCTACTCAGGAGGCAGAGGTTGCAGTGAGCTGAGATTGCACCTCTTCACTCCAGCCTGGGCGACAGAGTGAGACTCTATCTCAAAAACAAAACAGAACAAAAAACCCCATCATGTTGTACATCAAAAACATATGCAATTTTTGTCAATCAAATTAATAATTTTTAAAATAAAGTTAAAAAGAAAAGGGTGTGGAATATTTAAGGAAGAAGCATTCATTCTTAATGGCTAATCTTTAAGAATGCAATAAGCCACCATGCCCAGCTAATTTGTATTTTTAGTAGAGATGGGGTTTCTCCATGTTGGTCAGGCTGGTCTCGAACTCTCAACCTCGGGTGATCCACCCGCCTTGGCGGGATTACAGGCATGAGCCACCACGCCCAGCCTAGTTCATCTTTCAAACATGACTTTCTCTTTAGATGTATGAAAAAAATTTCATAAAGAATGCTATTTTCCCAAGAAGCAGGTGAATGCTTGGACTTGGAACTATAAGAGCACATGCTAGGTGCCCTTAGTGTGTCATTAGACACCCTTGCTGCACTGCTGGACTGGACCGATTCAAAAATAAAACAAAAGGTCTAAACCCAGATGCATCCACTCCTCCCCAACAACATCCAGTCCACCATGGCTTCATTGCCTGGAGCAGGAGCCTGAGGTGGGCGCTGCAGTCTGGCTGCTGCACTGAGTCTCACACCTTCCACGGAGCCCTCACGCCCAGCTCTGCATTTCTCCTTGATCCAGACTGTTCTGTGGGTATTTTTAGCCTGGCTTCTTGGCAGTTTCACAAATGCTTTTCAAGATGCTTATGGCCATGTACTGAGAACTGCATGGTAGAAAATTGGGGAGCTCCCGTGAAATCTGCCCACTATACCTTTGTCCTACAGCCCCCCTCAAGAGGGTCCCCATCTTGCTCTCTGTCCCAGTTTTGCTCTCTGGCATGCCTGCTGCCAGAACCCTAGGCTGGATCTAGCCTAATAACTTTGGCATGAAATGAAAGGGAAGGCTCTTAAAGATATTACTTTTTTGGTCATTAAGCAAAGAGTCAGTTCTCCAATGGACTAACCTCTATTTGACTTTAGGATGCTAAGCACATGGCTTATGAGCTTGGAAGTTGTGATTCTTTAACTTCAACAAGAGAATGCTACACCAGAGGAGGGGGCCGGGCCACAGGGAGGGCAAAGTTGCCCATTTGACACCTATGGAAAAATAAGTAAGCATGGAGATCCCTTTCCTCTCTCTTCACTCAAAAAGTTTAGGAAGTATGGCAGCAAGGCAAATTTAGATGGAAAGAAAACTTTGCTGATGTTGGGATGTCATGTTCTGTCTTAAGGGCTTGAGAGATGCTAGTCATCTCCTACATACTAGGCTTAAAAGCCCTTTCCCTTATGAGATGTTTCGGAAGAAGAGAGATGGCTCAAACACAAGTATACCCAGCAGTGGAGTGGGGTGAGCTAAAGATGAGTTGGAGTAATGGGAAGAGCATAGAGGAAGGAGTGACTCTAAGTAGCAAGCCACTCAGCACTCCTGGACCTCAGTTTCCTCTTCTATTTAATAAGGAGCTGAAGTGAACGTCCTTAGCTTTCAAGCTCTGACATTGTATGATTCTGGAGGTCTTGTCCAGTTTGAGAAGAATGTAATTCCAGATGGCGAATCCCAGGATTTGTAAGGTTACATCACTAGTCACTGCCAGGTCAACTTTCTCAATTACTTGTGGTAGAGTCTTGGACTCCTCTGATGCCACAAAAAAGAATAGATTATGTCCCTGGCAGGATGCAGGCTCACAGACAATCCCTTGCTTGAATTAAATGGAAACTTTTTCACTTGATGAGCATGGAAAGGGTGGGGCTGTGGGGGGAGAGAGAGAGAAGAAAATATAGCAGGAGAACCAAGACTCTTGAGAAAGCTCCACTGTTGGAGGAGACCTCTCCTGTCCAAAGAAGAGAGGAGATTATGTCATAGAAATACATAGCTATCCCTGCATATTTATTCATGCACCTAGACAAATCACAAGGTGAACAGGGAGATGCCAACCCTGTTACGGTCCTCATGCCCAGATCTTCTGTGTCCTTCTTAAACACAAGGCAGGTGATAGGGCGTGTGGACCTGCCTGCTCCCTCACAGTGATGGATGTTGAGTGGCACTGCAGGGAGGCAGGATCTTGTCACAGCCCTTCCCGTTTCAAATATTTGTGCCAACCACCTGTCGGCATTCCCCTCCTATATCCAGAAAACCCACTGCATCTTCTTCCCTCAAATACGGTGGCACTGGTTGAACAGCACAGCCAAGCCAGAAAGCATTGTGGTTGGGTACCAGATGAGTATCTGCACTCACGTATGAAAACTCTCCGCTATTGCTCACATATAAAATGATGTTAGTATCTGTCCCTTCTCATAAGAAGGTAACATGATGGAAGATGTGGACGTTTCTGAGAAGTCTCGAATGCAGACAGTTATGGTCACTGCCCTCTGTCAAGTGCATGGCTGGCATCCTAGACTTCTTTGTCACACAAAAGACATCTCTGCCTCTCGCCACCTGGAACAGACATCTTGCTTCTGTCTGTTTCATTGATTGCTGTCTCATTCTGTTCCTTGCTTAAAAAATCTTTTTCCCTTGCTGATGCCTCTTACTTCTCTCTCTCAACTGTTATTTCGGCAGCTCTGCTATTTAGCTCCATGGTGTCATAGCAAACAGTTGGTGGGAAGGAACTGTGCTAAGTGACATCGCATCAAAATTCAGGACTGGCTTCTTAGTGGGTAGAAGCCCTCTTCAAAGCTCATCACAATTTCATTGCTTTACAGGGATTTCCCTTTGGCGAGACAAAGGAAGGCAGCCTTTAACCCCTCTACTTTCCCACCTCTAGCTACACAACGACCGCTCCCAGGAGGGAGTCCAGTGGATCCTCATTGCCAACATGGCATGGCTGTGACCATCCTGCCTCCTGGGGGAAGGAGATGTGCCAGCAACGGGAGCTCAGGGCAGCCAGTCCCTGCTTTCAAACCCACACAAGCCCGACAGCCCTCTTGCTAGAATATGTGCTTCATGTTTGCAGAGCTGTGCATATTCTTCTGCACACATTTGAACTCAGCAAAAAGAGAACACGACTCTCTTTTGAGACACTGGCGGGTCTGCGGGCTACCCGGCCTGCACAAGGGACAGCCTGGCGAGCAGAGCCAGGGGCCCCATGCCCGGCTCTACCTCTTCCGGGCTGCGTCACTGTGAGCAGTTCCCTTCTCAGCCTGCTGATCCACAACAGAGTTCACAAGCTGTCGGGAAATCATCGCCTTCGTCCGTTCACGAAGCATTATGATGTGGTGGACTGAACATGAGCCTTAAAATCAGGCAGCATGCTAACCCTGGCTCTGTCCCTCCAACTGTGTAACTACCGGCAAGCTGCTTAACCTCCCCAAATTCAGTTTCCCCATCTTAGAACGAAGATCAAATGATAAAAGATATAAGTCTCCCACTTACACATACATATTCTTCTAGGGATGGGAAAGTGGATTTGAAAGAGAAACTATAACCTGTTCCTTGCGAGTCTGTGAGGAGGCTGGCCTGAGACTTTCAGACCCCTCTGTTCCAACAGTTCCCAATTATAACTCCTACGTAGACTCATAGATCCTGCAGCTACGGTTAAAATCAGCAGCAATTACAAAACCAGTCATTTGTTGAAAACTACTGTGTGTCATTCTACTCTTTCCCTTTCAAGCCTGAAAATAGAGATGGGCTATATATTTTTTAATCACTAAAATATAAGACAGCATATGCTAAGTGGCAGATGATGGAATTGCACAAGCAACACGTAGCCCTGGAGTCCAGGAGGAACTGACTATCCCAGACGCCATGGGAGCGTGCTCCATCCATCCCGTCCCCCACCGACTCAAGGCTCCGCTTGACTCTAACCAATTTCCATCTCAGGTAGAAGAGGACAAGCAAAATGCGTTATTAGGAGGATTTTTAAAACTCGAAGATTTCAGCTTTCAGAGGACAAATCAGGTCATCCTCAAGCCTTCCATGAATGAGTTGTTCTTCCCAGCCCCAGTTTAGGCAGCGATGTCAACAAGAGTGTCACGGTGGCCCTACAGGGGAAGGGGCCTGGCTCAGAGCTGTGTTCAGATGGGAATGCCAGCAAACAGAGGAAAAGGCAGAGCTTTTATTTTTCTATGTTTCTCCTTTTTTTTTTTTTTTTTTTTTTTTTTTTTTTTTTTTTTTAGACACAGGGTCTAGCTTTTTTGCCTAGGCTGGAGTGTAGTGGTGCAATCATAGCTCACAGTAACCTGAAACTCCTGGGCTCAAGCAATCCTCCTGCCTCAGCCTCCCGCATAGCTGGGACCGCAGGCATGTGCCACCATGCCCAGCTGGCATAGCTTTGATCTAACTAGCATCTAGCCAGAATCCAAGTCTTAGTACCTCCCTGGGCTTGTAAGGAGAAACTGTCAAGAATTTTTCTCCCCATTTCAAAGATGAGAAAACTAAAGCACGAAGTAGAAAAAGATGTTTACCCAGGTTTCAAAGAAATTTGAGTAGAAACTTGTAGTGAATACTGCCCGTGAAGGCCAAGTAGCTGGGCAGACCCAGGGAATATCTTGGAGGTGCCATCTCCCTCCCAGCCTGCAACCCTTCCCACTGAGGGCGGGCTGAAGCTGGACAAGAGGCAGGTAACTTGAGCCAGGCAACAGCTTGCAGGGAAGGAGAAAGAGGAAGAGACCTCTCCCTGGGGAGCCGGGTACTCTTTTGCTGCTGGGTTTATGTTTTTGGAATAAATCACTTGGTATAATAATAGAAATGGAGGCGCTGGAGTGAAACATCGTGACAAGAAGAGTTCCCACTGGCATTGCAATCGATTTTTTTTTTTGGCCCTGATGTCCTGTTGCTCATTGGTGGGGGGAATCCTGACCCGACCAAGGGGAAGGGGAATGGGCTTTCTTCACCCTCAGCTCACTCCACCTACCAGGATAGGGCAGGTTCCCTCACCACCATCTTGACCAACCCTGAATCTGACTGTCTAGGAGGTCTAAGCATCCATGAACCATATTTACTTTTGTTTGGTTTTCTTGTGTGTTTGGAAGGCAGAGGATAGTTTTGGAGCTGGAAGGGACGTCAGAGGCTATCTTGTCCAATTCTCTCTTTTTCCTCGAGGTTAGGGTCAGTGACTTGCCAACATCATCGAACTGGTTCATGGTGGACCCAGGACCACACCTGCCTTCTGACTGTCGTTGGATCACTCTTTCCACCACAGCATGCTCGCCCCAGAGAGAGGCCAGCTGCCTCAGAGCCCACCATCCATCTGGGGAGATTTCTAACAGATCCAGCACCTGCCCCGTGCTGTCCCCTTGCTCTCCCAGGTGGAAACGGGTGGCCTCCTTCCTGCCCTTCCCTCAACCTTAGCTGCCCACTTCATCCCTCACCACCCTCCAACGCCCACTCAGGCACCACATCCAAGGGCTTCCTGCTCCCCTGCTTGACTTGACCGTCGCTCCATTCCCTACCTAAAGCTCCTGTACTTGGGGCCATTGCAGCTGACATGGGCCCATCAGATTGTAGTGAAGCCACGGATGTACCCGCTTGCACGAGCATTCCTCTGAGGGCAGAACCCCTGCTTTAGGTGACAAGGCCATGGCGTCTGGCATAGTGCCTGGCAGGCAGGTAGGCAGCGATGTTCGTTGGGTGGATACAGAATTGCTCACATTGCAGCAGGTGTCTGGCCTGCTGAGGGATGTCTGCCCCACCCCCGGGAACTAGCAAGGCTTCCAGTTTCTCCTGAGCCTCCCTGTGCTCTCCTCCACCGCGGGGTTAGGAGGGCGCCTCCGATGGGGGTGAGAACAGCTGTGCAGCTCATGGGAAGAAGCCGCAGGTGGAGTGGAGGAGGCCCCTTGGAGGCGGTGACGGTGGGGGAGGGAGGCCACACATTCCAGATCAGTGGTGGGAGTAGTGACGATGATGAGTCCAAGTGTAAGGAAACGCTAAGTCACCAGGAAAATCAGGAGCCACCCTGGATGCAGGAGAAATCAAGGAGACAGAGAGAAAATGACTGGTTTGTCTTCTGCAACTTCCTTCAGAGCTTTGCGACCATCACAAAGGCTGTGGCAGGAAGCAAGGTGGTGCTTCCCCAGGCTTCATGCCCCATGGCGACAGGCCCAACATCCCTCTGTGTGTTCCCCAGGCCAAGGGGCTACACCAGACCCACAATGCGTATGACCCTGGAGCCACGCAGGGGATGCCTAACAAAGGGTTGGGGCAGGATTGGATTCAGTTCCCGGAGCTGTGCAGCCTACTGTCAGCAGAGCTCCCTGCCTGGAGAAGGCACCAGCGACAACAGGAAGAGCTAGGAGTTAGACAGCCTGAGTCTTATTCCTGCTGTTCTACCAACAAGCAAGATCTTTGATGAACCATTTCATCTCATGAGGTGTCCGTTTGCTATTCTGGAATCCCAAAGGTATATCCTAAATCTATGCTTCCACAGTCACCTGCCCCTCAAGCCTCTGGCCGAGTGTGGTTCTGCGCCCCCACAACCAGGGACTGACAGTGCATCGTAAATGCCTTGTACTCACAAGACTCAGCAAAGATCTGGTTGTGCCAGGAATTCAAAGTAGTTGGATTCCAGGAGGACCAAGACCCAAATTTGCAAATGGAGGACGTACAGGGGAAATCCTTGCAGCCAAGAGCACAGATCTTGGGCTCAGCACGTGCTAACCAGTGGGTCCAGGGAGGAAACAGAACGAGGCCAGCAGCCGAGGCCACCTGGATCTTTCCTTCCCCTTTCCTTTCTCCCGCTGCGTGTGTGTTGGGGGTGGTGGGGAAGGGGAATTTTGTGACCAAACCTACTAGTAAGACTCTTCCCTCCCCTTCACTAAGTGGCGGAGGCAGCCGGCTAGTCCCTCCTCTGAAGAGTGATCTTCTCCCTAAGAGAAGCCAACTGGACTCTAAAACATTGTCTTGGCCGGGCGTGGTGGCTCACGCCTGTAATCCCAGCACTTTGGGAGGCCGAGGTGGGCAGATCGCCTGAGGTCAGGAGTTTGAGACCAGCCTGACCAACATGGAGAAACCCCATCTCTACTAAAAATACAAAATTAGCCGGGTGTGGTGGTGCATGCTTATAATCCCAACTACTCAGGAGCCTAAGCCAGGAGAATGGCTTGAACCCGCAAGGCGGAGGTTGCAGTGAGCCGAGATTGCACCATTAAACTCCAGCCTTGGCAACAAGAGCAAAACTCCTCCTCAAAAAAGAAAAATAAATAAAAAACGAAACACTGTCTTCTCCGTTTTCGTTTTGCCCTCCGTATAGCGGCAGCTCAATCTATATGCTGATTTTTGTTGTCCACACATCAAATGGCAAGAGGCTGCAGCCCACAAATGCTAACTGTGCAGGAAGCTTCACAGGACAGAGTTTGTTTATTGTTCTGCAGCTGGTAGAGGCTGAAGGACATTGGAAGAACTGGGCTTCTTGGGGCTGAGATGGGTGCTTATAGGCCTTCAGCCCCTCCCACCAGGGAGGAACATACCTCTAGGGAGATGTGAAAATTGCAGTTTTATTTCTAATGATCTCCAGGGTAAAGGTCTTGGTTACCTGGCTCCCCACTCTGAGAGTTAAACCATCCTGATTGTCAGAGTTCCTGCTGCTAATGGAATGTTCCAGATGTATCTGCAGGGGAGAATTTTGACAGGCCTGAATCCCAGACCTGCTGCAGGATGCTCCTGAGAAAAATAACCTTTGCATTTCCCAATTTCACCACAAACACTGGAGAACGGGTAGGAAGTGCTGCATAAATTGTTTGCACCTGGTGAATAGGCCAGCTTGCGGCAAGAGTCCCTGGAAGGGTCATGTGGTTAGGCACGGTACCAGGCAGGAGAAAACAAACAAGAACACGAGAATGGAGAGGGAGCATCTCTGGGTGAGGTTGGCAGAATCCCAATCTCTGTGTGGGCCACCCCAGCTGTGGGTCCTCACAGGAGCTGGGGAACCTGGGAGCTGTGCTCTGTCTGGGAGCGCGCTGCGGCTCTGGCTCAGCGTCCTTGAGGATAAAGAAGGAACATGCCTAACTTTGCCCATTTGCATTTCATATCCATCATCTCGATTTTGCATTCTGGCAACTGTGCAAAATCTAATCCTCACTCTTCTTACTGGTCAAGTGTTCTTACTTCTCCTTTGAGGTACACAAAAGTTGAAAAAGAATTAGAACTTCTTTTAAGGCACATGCATGGTGTTGGGTTGGATGAACCCATCCAAGATCTAGCCCCAACCCCATGACACAGTCCACCCCCCCCTCCCTCAGATTGACCACACAAAAGCAGCTGGACCGGAGCATCTTTACTATTCCAGACTCAGCTCCCCTAAAAGTCCACTGCGTCCTGACTTCTGCTAAGATCCTGCACTCAAAACAAAGTACTGCCACCAAGGTCTCCTCAAAAGCCATTGGGCGTTTTCAAGGTATGTGTACCTGGGCACCTTCCCCCAAGGTGTAAGGTCAGTTACCAATAGGAAAACAGCCTCTTTAATTAAATATTTACTGTGTATATTGTGTACAATTTTAGACTACCTGTATGTGTGTGTGTGTGTGTGTGTGTGTGTGTGTGTGTGTGTGTGTGTGTGTATAGGTAAAATAATATTTGGTGATTTGCATCTTCATTTCACCCATCTTACTGTCCCTGGTGACAGCTGTGCGTGACTCACGCTGGCTCTTCTGACCCAGGTCTTCTTGCTTATCTTTGGAATATAGAAGAGAGGTGAAAAATGTGAATGCAGCCTCTTTTAAAACACATGCTCAGTGTGGCCTCTCCCAGGATGAGGCGTTGGTTGCTCCCATCCCAGGTCTAGTCCCGGCTCTGCTAACATTTCACAAACACTATCTCTTTGAGTCCCCATGAAGTAGGTAGTTTTGTCCTCATTGTACAGACTTGGAGAGGTTGAGCCGCTTGCCAGAGCTGGGGAGTGCCTACTTGGGGCTGAAATCTAGGTCCCCTTAACTAGAAAGCCTTAGCTTAGTATCTTGCAGTGGAGGAGCTCCTGACCCCCACTTCTGATGGGGTGCATCGGAAGTGCTTTGAGTGGGGCTGGGCGCAGTTACTCACACCTGTAATCTCAGCACTTTGGGACGCCGAGGCAGGGGGGTCCCTGAGGTCAGGGGTTCGAGACCAGCCTGGCCAACATGGCAAAATCCCGTCTCTACTAAAAATACAAAAATTAGCTGGGCGTGGTGGTGCACGCCTCTAGTCCTAGCTACTCAGGAGGCTAAGGCATGAGAATTGCTTGAACCTGGGAGGCAGAAGTTGCAGTGAACCGAGATTGCACCACTGCACTCCAGCCTGGGCTACAGAGCGAGTCTTCGTCTCAAAAAAATAAATAAATAAAATAAGTGCTTCGCGTGTCCAGGGCCCCGACTCCGAGGGAAGACCCTCAACCTCTTCACATTACCACTGGACCATTAAAGGGTTAAAACATCTTTGATCTGGAGCCTCAGCTGCTCATCCTTCTGTTTTAAGGGCCTCTGAATCATTAGCCTTTCCAAGCAGCCTCCCTCTGCCGCCTGAGGCAGGTGAAGTGGGAGAGGGGAGCGGCCCGCCTGGGTCCTGAGTCAGCGCTGACTCCCCACGCTGTCCTCCACAGATTAATCACCTCCAATTACAGCTTCTGACTGGGCACGAGTCATTCCCAGCGGCGCCTCCTCGGGCCGACCCTCGCCCCCCTGCAAACAGGCTGCCTATCCGTCCAACATGCTTGCTGTACTTCCCAGAGCCCCAAAAAGGTACCCCGGCAGCAAATGACTCAAGGATGAGGACCCACCCTCTTCCCCCTCACCATCTGCTCTCAGCAACATGAGTCTTCTGGGGGCAAAAAGAAAAGAGGACATGAAACTCCTCCCTTCCAGCAGCCTACAGAGGCCTGTGCACCCTTCCATTAGCAGGTTGGATAATTCTTCGTGGTGTTTCTCCTCAGCAGTGACTAATAAAGCTTGTTCTCATTTCCACTAATCACACATCCTCATAGAGAAGGGTGACACACACTTGGCGTGGCTCTGTGACACCCCTTGGAAAGTGTTCCATGGCCCACCCAGCCTCTTTTCCTCGAGCCCCGCTCTGGCCTCCCTCACACCTGCCTCCCTTCTGCCCCTGCCAATGAAGCCGGGGCCCAGCTGCCTCGGTGGAATTCCTAAGCATCCTGCTCTTGGCTGCTGACCCGGGCACATGGGCACCCAAGGGCATTATGCCATCTCCCTCCTCAGCGGGTATCACACTGGGCTCCCTGCCCTGAGCTGCCAGCCAAGGGAAGGGCACACAGCCCCGTGGGGCACGAGCCGGGCCTCAGTGCCAGGGTACTGAGTGCATTGCTGTAGTATATGGCACAGTTTACCAAGAACTTTCCCGATTCTTGGGGCACGAGCCGGGCCTCAGTGCCAGGGCACTGAGTGCATTGCTGTAGTATATGGCACAGTTTACCAAGAACTTTCCCGACGTTGTTTCATTTGATCTTTACGTAATCAATAGTGCTCACTATACAATCATCCTCTATAGAACATGGTGTTCCCTAGAGGTAAGAAAGCTGAGGCCTGAAACATGCACGTAGCCCACCCACACTCAATTAGTAAGTGGCAATGCGTGACTATTATGCCATAACCCAGCTCTGGCATTAGGGTCAGAAGCCCTCCCCCACAAAAGTCCTCTCTGTATGAGCTTTAGAATTAGGCAGACTCATGGCTGAATGCTATTCTAATTCCACTTTTTATCTAGTGGTAGATACTGTCCTATGCACTTCGCAAACCGTTTCAACTCATTTAACTCCCACCACTGTCCTCTGCGGCGGGAGTTATCAGGATCCTTAATTTGCAGCTTTGAGAGTAGAGGCCGGGGTCCCCTAGCTCATAAGGGCTGCAGCTCTCATCTGACTCTGGCCCAGGGCCGGACTCTTCACCACTCCTCTAAGCTACCTGGGGCTTCTCCAACTTCTAACGGCACGAACTTGGACAAGTCACGGAAGTTTTCTTATCATTCCAATACTCTCATCTTTTCAATGGCAGGGGTGAGACCACCCTCCCCACAGTGCTGTGTGGGGGTTAGATGGGATCGTGAGAACAGAGTATATAAAACACTGAGCTCTGGCCCAGCATGGAGGGAGCACAAGCTAATAGCACACTCGGCCCCCAGGACAAAGCTGCAAGAGGACAGGGGCTGCGAAGGATGGACCGTGTTAGGAGGAAGATTCCCCGTCCCCTAGTCCTAGAGGTCCACAGCAAGGCAGATGCTAGATCCTGGGGACTCTTGGTTGGGGCAGGCACAGGGAAGCACGCCACCTGCCCCACTCCCCGCCCTGTGTCGTATTCATTCCTCTTTGTAAGCATATCTCTCAAATCAACCTGGCCAACCAGTCCCTGAGATCATTCTGATTCTAAAAAGCAAAATGTCTCTAATTAAGGTTCTTACCTATTGGGGACCTTAGTCATCTTTGAAAAATCTGATAAAAACTATAAACCATTGTTTCAGAAAAATTCACATATACCCAGGGACACAGGCATGCTCTTACAAGTTGAGGTGATCACCAGATCACAAAGGGGTCCGTTGGAGCCTAAGTTTATGAGCCTCTTTTCTGTATAATTAGGAAACATCCTTATAATCTTATCACTAGTATCATGGGGAAAATTGCCAAGTCTTTCCTTTCCTTTTCCTCTCCAACTTCATACCTAGGCTCTGCCCTCCCACACACTCCTACACCAGCCCCCGATCCTGGCTTCCCTCACACTGCCCCGGGCCAGGGCCGAAGCTGCAGCGGTGGTGGCAACAGCATCAGCTGTTGCTAAGGAAGCTGAGAATGCAGGGTGGGGGCCGGAGAGTGGGCAGCAACCCAGCAGGGCAGCACCCCCCATGCATGTCTGAGCACCTTGGGCCCTGGAAACGGTGTTCCCAGCTGGCTGCCATGGCAACAGCAGGCTTCGGAGCCATTCATCTCGGTCTGGACAGCTTCCCCTACTCGCACTAGCGCTTTGTCTCCCTAAGTGGCTAACTGAGGTGTGAAAGGGTCTGTGGTGAGTGGACAAAGGAGCACAAAGGGCAAAAGGTGGGTCATGCGCCCCACACTGGGCAGGCACCCTGGGGGGTCTGAGAGGCCAGGGAGGGGGTCTGGGCCAGCTCCCTAACAGAGGGCCTGGCTGCTGGAGAAGCAGCTCAGAACACAGAGATGGCCATGCCTCTCCCAAAGACCTCTGCCTGTGAGCCTCAGCTACTTGCCCAAGAGCCATCCTAGAAAGGAGAAGTACTGGTTACATCCCAGGTAAGCCAGCAGCCAGGTGACACTTGGTCACTTCTAGATGTGGTAACTAACTGGATTTTTCCTCAGGCTGATAGGGTGCGTAAAAAGGTGAGAGACTGGGCACGAATGGGAGGGTTCCTAAGGGTGAGAGATTGGGAGGGAATGACTCCTGGGCCTAATTTAAACAAAGCTAAAAGACAGATGAAGTCAGAGGTGAATGAAGCAGTTAAGGTCTTGCCTTCAGCTCAAGACCACCCATCTGGTTGTAGGTACTGTTTAGCACTATTGCCATCTGAAAGGACTGTCCTTGGAAGCACTGTCCGTGGGACCATTTATTGAGTGGAGATTAAACATTGTACCTATCTCAACGTCATCTTCAAAGTGAGATTAAGTACCTGAGTGAAGTATTGTCCTCTTTTCACAGATGAGGAAATGGAGGCTTCAAGGTCAAACCCCTTGCCCAGAGACATGCAGCAGAAAGTGATGAAGCTGAGATTTGAACTTGCACCTGTCTGCCTGCAAATCCCATCTCTTCCTGCTGTGCCAGAGACAGCAGAAGGGCCCACGGCTGTGTAGATGTGGCCTATTAGCCTCTCAAGTCTAGAGCAAGCCCCTCAGTGTGGGGCCCCTCCCTAGCCGCACTTCCTGCCACACCTGTCCTTCAAGCAGCCGCCTTTCTTTAGAACCCCACGTCTACTGTGGTGATCACTCTGCATAGCTGCTTTAGAAACATATGAAGATAACAGAAGGATCTCATCTGCAACCCAGAGCTCTCTGTGCCTGGTGGTGACTCCCAAGAAGCTCCCATAAGGAAGAGGTCCCTCAAAGAACACACTGAACACAGTGGACCCTCTGCTGCCAAAACAGGCAGGGAAGCATCTCCTGGAGCCTGCTTGGTCAGCTCTGCTCTCAGAAGCTTGGAGGGCAAACGGGGGTGACTGGACCCAGCTGGAATAATGGAAAGAATGGGAACTAGCACTTAGAAGCACCTACTGTGTTCCAGAAATTCTGGTGCATTTATCTGTGTAGCCTTCAAAATAGCTCTGTTGGGTTGATAGTATTTTTGCCCCATGTTATGGTATAAGAAACTGAGTTCAGAGAGGTTAGGTAACTTGAATCAGGCCATAAAGCACTTAAGCCCAAACTTAACTGGCTCCAACATCTCCATCATTTCTATTCTATCCTCCGACCTCCCCGACACTGTCTGCTCCTTAGGGTCTGTGAAAGTCAGGAATCCCCAACTCAGTCTCTTAGCTGGCTGTCCAAGTAGTCCACCTTCCTCCTCAGGGCTCCCTCACCCACACAGCAGATGGGCATCTTTCATCCTGCAGCTAATTTTATTTCTCTTTTCCCATTCTTCTCACCCTCTTGGCTCAGTCCAAGCAGGAGAGCAGGAGTCAGAGCCAGAAGCCAGAACAAGGCTCTCAGCCCATCTCTTTCTCCAAGGGGCAGGCAGGAAAGGAGACAGTGGGATTCCCATCAATGCTGAGTGCCAAGGAGGGGTCATCAGGAAAGCCTGCAGATGGGGTCTCGGTCCCAGGCCTGGCCCCATTGCAGGGTGAACCCTCTCCAAACTTTCCTCTCTGATCTCCAATTCCCCAGGAGAAGCTCTGACATCCACAGCCCTTGCCAGGATCATGGGGAAGGTGGGGTTGGGGAAGCACACACCCCAAGAGGCTATTATCATTCTGTGGGATGGGCTCTCTGTCTCCGTCTGACTTTTCCTCTCCAGGCCAGAAGTAGACCTCAGGCTCAGCCTGGTTTGGGTGCTATGTCCCTCTTTGAGACCAATTCTTGGGAGGTAGTTTGCAGTCATTGGAAGGGCTCAGGATTAGGAGTCAGAAGACTTATGTTCTGTTCCCATTTCTGCCACCAAAAAGCAAGGTGGGTTGGAATAAGACAGTTTGCCTTTTTGGGCCTCAGTTTCCTCTTCTGTAGTAATTGGGCCAACTAGTCCACTCAGATTCTCTAAATTGCTTCTCTGAGCTCTGGAACTTCCTTATATGTATTCCATACCTCCCTGCCCCTACTGACATGCCTTCCAACCCCAACAGCCCAATGTTTCTATCCTATCCAGACCCTGCCAAAATAGAAAGAGTACAAGGCAGTTGGTTTGTTGGTGTTATGACTTCTTTTCTTTTCAGGCAAGAAGTCAGATTTAAATTGTGCCTCAATCAGCACCGAAGCTGGAATGCTCAAGTCTCCTACACAATGGCTTACATAAAAACAGCTCACCTCTCATTTCTCTCTCTCTTTGTTCTGCTCTTTTCCAATCACTCGGTCAAGTAATATCTATTAAGTGGATATGTCTGCAAGGCACTGCGCAGAAATGTAATCCAAAATGACAAGGTCCTTGTCCAAGAGGAACTTAACAATTCCACAAGGATCCAGCACAGATGGGAGCTTTAAAGACAGCCCACTGCCCTCATGCAGGGGGGGAAGATAAAGGATTTTTTTAATGCCTTTTAATGTTTTAAAGTTTCTTTTACCTACTTCAGTTGTTAATTTTATAGTGACATCATGTTTTTGGTGTCTGTCTTTGAGTGTTAAGCCTGTCTTCTGTCTCCTCATCCAGGGAGGAAGTCAAGCTGCTCCAGACATCAGCACTCCACTTCACAAACTCACCACCCATGCTCTCTCCTGTGGGGACCTCAGCTTTGCACCTGGATGTGCCAACCTGGCTCCTGCATTTCCATACCCCAACACAAGAGTCTCAATGCAAGGGTTGTAACATGCCAGCAGTGTCTGTACAAGCAAACGATGGCACTCGTAGCATATGGAGGGCGTGGGGCAGTGGAGCTGTGCCTTCCCCTCTCCTGAGGCCCCTGGGCTTCGAGCAGTCTTCACGCTCCTGAGTTCTTTCTCAGAATTCCCTCCTAAACCTCTTAGCGAGTAAATGCTGCTTGCCATATCCTCTCTTCCTTTAGTCTTGACGCCTAAATACTCCACATCTGCTCCATAAATAATAACTTCTCTAGAGCTCTTTATAATTTACGAAGGGCTTGCACCTGTAGTTTCTCATTTAATCTTCTCAACCATCCTGCGGGACAGGGTTATTATTGCTCCTTCTTTACAGATAAGAACCTGAAGCTCAGGGAGATTTAGTGAGGGGCCCAAAGCCTCACAGCTGGACCCAGCTGAACTAAGCTGGACTTAACCGAGCTCTTTCGGCTTCTATATGAAATTAGAGGGAGAAACTGCTTCTCCCCACTGAGTTCTCTCCTCCCCTAACGTGTCACATCCCCTGCACCTGGTGTTCTGGGAAGCTCACATCTCAAGCTCTCTCCTGGACTCCTTATACTGCACAGAGCCCAGAGCTCCAGACACAACAAGAGGGGGTTCCACAGAAGAAGGGGAATAAAAGAGATAAAAGAGAGCCAAGGGCACCTGCTGCTCACTCCCGACCTGGGGACCAGGCAAAGTGGCCCAGGCCAACGTTAGAGTCCTCTGTGGTGGGGTCAAGGGTTTAAAACACATAGTGTGGTTTCAAGGGTTTCTTAGGGTTGATTTTTTTTTTCCTAGACAAATACAAAGAAAAATGAAGAAAAAATTAGGACAATGTCCCAGGAGCCTCAAGTAAAAACTAGGAAGCAGCTGGTGGTGGAGGAAAAGCCACGCCAGGGAGATAGAAATGGAGTCTCCAGGCCGGCTGAGGCGTGTGTTTAATGGAGGCCGGCTGTGCAGGTAGAGGACGGAAGTGTCGGGAGCCCTCCCTGCAGAAGAGGTGTGTCGACCCCACAGCTGCCAACGTGTCCCAGAATGAGGCCCCTCGTGAGTCTGCAAGGGCTGGAAAGCAAGCCTGCCCCAGGTATGCGTGGGGCGGGGGCTGAGCCTCCAGCGCCCCCAGTGTTCATAAGGAAGAGGTGCGTGGGAGCTCCCTGGGGGCTCAGGCCAGGGTCAGGAGCTGTGGAGAACTGCGACCACCCTGCTCCTGGCTACCTCGAGCCCACGCTGGCTCATTTGGCAGTGAGAAGACAAATGCCAGGTGGGGCTTAGGAGGAGGACGGTGGGGAGCATAGAGAGGTCGGTGGATGAGAAAGACGGGAGGGGACTGGGGCAGAGGAAAGGGCTGGGCCCCCAGGATGAAGGGGAAAGGCAGGCAGGTGATCTGCAGGTGGGAAGGAGAGAGAAGATGGGAGCAGAGAAGAAACCATGAGGCCAGATAACAGGGCAGAGAAAGGAGACGGAGAAGCCACAGGGGCTCGGGGAGTGACGTGACATGTGGGTCACCTGTGAGGGCAAGCACCCCAGTCCTCTCTTCCTAAAGGCTGGTGGAAACAGGGGGTAGAAGGTGCCGGATGCCTGCCACTCATGCCCTCTCCTGCCTTCCCCCGTCTCCCTCATCTCTGTACCCTCCCCTGGGGGCTGAGCCCAGGTTCTGCTCTGCTTCTGAGTCCTCTTGTCCCTCAGTTGCCACTTTCTGCGTTTTTCCAGACTCTTTCTGTCCATTCACCTGCCACAGACAAGGGCTAAAAATTCAGAAGCCAAGTTTCTGATGCCAGCTCTGTTCCTCAAATGCTGGGCCGCACTGGTGGAGTGCCCTCTAGTCTGAACTCCACAGCTGCTTCATTGATACCCCTCCCACGGAGTTGTAAGGGGATAATAGAGCGGATGAAAACGGACTGTAAAAGCACCAAAGGATGAAGACACTTTGGATCCTACGTTTATTTCCAGGACTGAAGCCCTCGGGTTTCTTTAAGAGGAGACGTCCTTGTGCTCGTCCTTGTCCTCGTCCTCCTGTGCACCATGGCTTTTGCTGTGGGCCTGACACACCTTGGGGCTGCCTTGTTTCAGGTCAGAAGAGGAGAACTTGTAGAGTGAGCCATGCTTGGGTGGAAGGTAGGTGGGCTCACCAACATCCTCTACACAATTAGTACAGACTGTGATCTGAGGTGGCGTCCTAGAGCTAGAGGCTAAGAAGTCTCATGCCTGAAGCAGATCTAGGCATTTAACACGCAGAATAAGCTAGGTGGGTTTTCAAGGAGCTGCTGAATATGCATGAGAGGCAGCAAGAGAGAGAGCAGGAGAATGAACATGGGGGAGACGCAGAGAAGCACACAGAGGCATGACTGATAAGGGCAGAGGAGGAAAGAAGGTCTCGGAGACCAGGGCATGAATGTGGTTGCACAGAGACGGGGAGAAGGATGGGGAGAAATGAGGAACAGGAAGAAGATTCCGAGAGAAATAAAGAGGCCGAGAGGAGCTGAGCCAGGCAGCCGGTGGAGCAGGCAGATGGAACAACAGAGACAAAGAACAGAGCCACAGAGTGGGCACACAGCAAGGCCTGGCAGCCAAGCCCTGTGGGTTTGGTGGGAGCAGATGCTTGTATGGGAGCAGCAGCTGATGGCCCCCAGCACGTGCATCCTTGTTGACTCCAGGCCCAGCACAGCCTCCTCGGCAGCCGGCCTTAGCCTGGAGGAGCAACCCTGGTCCAGAGAGGCAGACGAATGGCAGCCCTGCCCCGTGGGGGCTCCGGTTCTTCTCCTCCATCCTCCTCCAGGCTCCGCCCACCTGCTCCGTCTGCCTCCCAGGGCCTCGTGAATCCCAGGGAAGCCATGAGCTGCCACATCACGCCCGGAAGGAAGCGGGCTGCGTTGGAGGGGTGAGTGTGAACCGCTGCAGTGTGCTTAGCTCTTCCTCGGGTGGGAGCATGTGCAGGGGTGTGCACGCTGTGGGAGGGGCGAGAGGGGGAGAAACGTCTGGGCTGCACGGGAACTAGCGCCAAGAGGCTGGGACGAGGCGGGGTGGGGACAGATCCCCGGCAGCACTGCTGGCACAGCTGCCACGCCCAGAGCCCTCTCCACCCCTGGCTGCCTGGATGTGAGCATCTGCAGCTCCTTGCCGCCACCCAAGCCACCAGACTGCCATAACCTCTGAGCGGAAAGGATCTGAGTGGACCCTGGTTTTTGGGTCAGAGGAGCCTTGGGGCTTCCTTGACCTCATTCTCTCCAGCTGCTACCCACAGGCCATTTTCCCATCACTCTACAATAGTCTGGTGTGAGTGGTGCCCCCACCCCAAGAAGCTCAGAAGGGCCAGGGAGAGGGAGGTTTCCACCAGGACCTAGCCTTCGCCCCAGTCCAAAGGCAACTCCCACACTGCCCTCCACACCCCCTCAAGCCCCTCCACAAAGGACATCGTCAGAACACTACAGGGACACCCCGACATCAGGCTCCCCACTGTGCCTGGGGCAGTCCTCGCTGGTCCCACACCCAAGGTCAGGGGTGCCTGCCAGTGGCCCAAAGTGCACAAGAGGCAAGCCCTGGGAGGGAAGAGGGTAGAGGGGAAGCGGGTGGGGAGGACAGTGTCGATTGCAGGCGCAATCCGAGCAAAAGACGGGCACCACAGGAGCCAGATGGGCCAAGAAGAAACAGAAGTTCAGTAGGAAGAGACAGATAAACAGCAGACACCAAGCAAGCAGCCAAGCATATGCTTTGCAAGCAGGCAACACAAGCACCCAGTAGGGTTTGGGGGCTGGGGAGGGTACATGAGCCCACAGGGAGGGGGACATTAGGTTTGCTGTGGGCTGACTCTGCCTGGTTAGAATCAGTGATCTAATCCTCTCCACGGAGCCTCAGAAACATGGAGCTGCAGCCGGTGCTGGCAAGGAAAAGCAGCGTTTGGCAGGGTGGAAGGAAAGAGTGCTTATGCTGGTGCCCGAGAGATTGGTCTCTGGTAGAAGAAACATAGCCCCAGACTTGGAAGCCCGAATAGCCACGTGCTGTCTCCAAGACTCAGAGCAGAGACCCCTAAAGCTGAACCGGATTCACAAGAGGAGCAGAGGACCGCCTCCCGCAAACCCGGGAAGTCCTTGAGCCCTGCAGGTGCCGGCTTTCCCTGCTAATGAAGCCCATCTAGGCTGGAGCCCTCAGTCTGGGTGATGTCATCCTTTTGAGCTTCAGGCAGGCAAGGGGTGGAGCCAGGCTAGAGCTTTGCAGAGTTTGCACGCTCCACCCCTGACTGCTCTGACTTCTGGGCCCTGTCTACCCAGCTCCCTCTTGGCCACGGCTTCCTGGCCAGCCCTGCTGGAAACCGGGAGCTGCTGCAGAGCTGGAGGAGGGAGGGGGTCACCCAGATCACCTCTGCAGAGAGCAGGGCCTGGCCGGGGATGGGCTTCACAGAGGCCCTCTTCCACCCATCCATGCTTGTTCCTACGTTCACTTCAGGGAGCCCTGAGGTTTTGCGGGAACCCAGGGTCCTGGGACCCCAGCCTCAGCCTCTCCCCTCCACCTAGCATGTCCAGAAATGCTCATCTGCAGTACCAAGTACCAGGTGTCCCAGTGGAATTTCTTCTCTGAATACCACTCCGGGGAGGAATAAAACTGAGGGAGATAAGCACCACCCTGGGTTTGTTCGTGCTGAGCTAAAGGAATAAAGGCTCTGCACTGAATTGGAGCCTGTTCTAAGCCCCAAGGCCAGCCAGCCCTCCTGCAGAATGGTGCCTTCACCTCTCACATGCTCCTGCTGGACATAAGCCAGCGCTGTGCCAACTGCTGGCCTCCCTCTGATGCTGGCATTGGCCCCAGCTTCCTGCCTCCCCTCCTTCAGGGCTACCCTAACCCCTACCAGCCACCATGGCTTGAAGCATTGAGGTCTCTGGACTAGATAAAAATGTGGTCTTCCTCTGCCCATCATAGATGTGTAGGTGCTACTGGGGGTTTCCTCTGACAGCCCTATGCCTACCCAGGGTAACACAGGTGCAGGAAGCAGCCCCGGCTGGTCGGGGAAACTCACCACACCACAGGGCCTCTTGTTTGGACTCAGCTGCTTGGCACAGCCCCAGTGCCCAGGAGCAGAGAGGAGCTTTCCCAGGTGCAAGCCCTCAGAAAAGCCTGGGAGCCAAGCCTCTGTGTGCCCACGTGCCCAGGGCAGATGCCCCGCTCAGTGCCAAGGCCCTCTTAGCCCTCCCCAAGCCGTCGGCTCTGTAGCCATATGTCTGGGACAGACAAAAGTGAGGATGAGGGTGACACAGGCGGAGGAAAGGAGCGGGTGAGATTTCTACTGCGATTCATGAAGCCCTGGGCTAGGGCCTCAGCAAGACCGACCGGCACAGGCCTGATTCACAGCAGGAAAATGCTGCCCCGACTTTGCCAGCTCTTGACACACCCTGATAGCCTATAGCATCATGCATATTACACTTTGCAGTCTGCTTTCTTAGATGTTGAATTGTATTCCCACAACATTGCCATAATGGAGATAAGGCAGATAGTATTTTAATCCATTTTATGGATGAGGAAACTGAGGTAGGATTTGAACATCTATTTCTGGAAGGCCTCACAAGGCATGTGAAGGTATACAAAAATAAATGAGCAAAATAGCGTGTTATGAAGCCCAGGCTCCCAGAGGCCTGGTATCACCATCCTTCCCTACATCACACAGTTTCCCATGCTCAACTCAGAATGAAGAGACACTGCGATAGCTAGGAGCAGAGGCTCTCCCCCACGGACAGCTGCTTGAGGAAGGAGTGAGGAAAAGAGAGCAGGCAATTGAGTGATGAAGTGGACTGTCGCCTGGCCTGTGTGCCTGGGACCTGGGCATGGCCCGCATATGCAGACGGCGTGAAGGCTGTTGTTTCTGTGTGCACATGTGTACATGTCATGTAGGATGTGTATTCTGTTTTTAGGCCTGTACATACGTAGATCCATTGTGTGTGCTAGGAAAGGGCATTTCATATGTTCCAGCTAACTGTATCCAGTAACATGTATGGATGGCAAATGCGCGGACCCGAAGGATAGAAAAGGAAGACGAGGATGGTTATGTGGAAACGTGAGCAGGGTCTGTACATGTTTGCTGGATGACTGTAAGAGAAGAATTATACACACGGATTCAAGAATCCGCCTGTGAGGCCGGGCTCGGTGGCTCATGCCTGTAACCCCAGCACTTTGGGAAGCCAAGGCGGGCGGGTCACTTGAGGTCAGGAGTTTGAGACCAGCCGGCCAACGTGGCAAACCTCCATCTCTACTAAAAATACAAAAATTAGCCAGGTGTGGTGGCGCGCGCCTGTAATCCCAGTTACTCTAGAGGCTGAGGGAGGAGAATCTCTTGAACCCAGGAGGCGGAGGTTGCAGTGAGCTGAGATGGCGCCATTGCACTCCAGCCTGGGCGACAAGAGCGAAACTCCGTCTCAAAAAAAAAAAAAAGTGCACGTGAGCATAAGCTTGTGGGTGTGGGTGCACAAGCGTGGACTGTGTATAGCGATGGCTAAGTGTGTAAAGAGCTTGAGTACCAGCTGTAGAAGGGCATTTCCTGGGGGGGTCCCTGCTGAGACGCCAACTCAGGTGCTTCTGTGCCCTTCTTGCAGTGGGGTCCTTACAGGGCCGTCCCACGAGCCTGCTCAGAGCCAGGCAGCCCCGGCCAAGCCCGTGCCACAGTGCAGCAGCTCCTTCACCATCCACGCTCCTCCCAATTCCGCAGAGGACCCGAAACCTCAGTCCCGAGCAGATCAATTGCCGCTGATAACATTTAAATTCTGGCCTGGAGGTGCCGAGGCGGCCCTGGGAAAGAGGAAGGGAAAGGTGGCACGGATTTCAAGGGAGGGACTCGGAGTTAACAGATCTGATCCTTCCGAGCCTGCAGTCTCTAGCCGCGCGCCCCCGCCCCCACCCCCACCGCCAAGCCGAAAACCCAATCCTGGGCCCACCCATTTGCGTGGATGCCACAGCTCGGCCGGAAGGCTTCAGCGTGGGAGGGGGTGGGGGTGACACCAGGGCTGCCCCTTGAGAGCGACACCGGCCTGAACCCCGTCCTCCCCGCGCCCCCCAGCCCCGCCTCGCTGCAGACGGTTCGCCTTGTCCACTCTTCTCGACTCTTCTCGACTCTTCTCCACTCTTCTCGACTCTTCTCCACTCTTCTCGACTCTTCTCCACTCTCCCAACCAGAGGGCCCGGGAGGGGAGCGGGAGGAGGGGCGGTGCAGGGGCGGGTCTCCTCCGAGCAGGGCGGCCCTCAGCACCCCTTCCCGGACGTGCGCCCGGCACGCCCACACTCTCGCACGGAAAAGCCCCACTTCTCCTCAGCGTCTGGGTGCTGGGCCGTGCTGGGCCCTCCCCCGTGGAACTGGGATTTATGAAGCCGTAACCGGCCAGCGCCGCGGCAACCTCCGCTTCATCCTGGAGCCAGGCCGGCCTCCTGCGCCGCGGAGGGGAGGGCGGTGGGCGGGAGCTGGGCGGAGGCGTGGGGCCGGCGGAAGGCGGCGGGGAGCTCTTCCCGGGAAAGGCCAGCACCTGAGGCTGCACTTTCTCCCCGTTTCCCCTCAGGAAAAGACGCACCAGCAGCCTAGAATTCGAGGCACTGCAGAGCCGGAAGGGGCCTCGGCGCTGCTCCCTCCGCCCCCTCATTTCACAAACCGGAAACTGAGACCCAAAGCAAGGAAGGGACTTGGCCAAGGTCAGAGCTCACCTGGGACCACACGAAGATGATAACTTGCTAGGAGTTTTGCAAATGGGTTTGTCTACAGTTTGGTAGAATTAAAACATTGTTTTTAGTTCAGATTTGCAACAGTGGCCGGCTCCCTCTAATCCACAGTGGTGGAGCACTGTGATTGACATTCAGCTGCAAAGCTCTTGCTGGGAAACGCGGTGGCCGAGCCGTCAGCACAGGCGGCAGCTGCCTCCCACACTTAAGACAGGACTTCTAAAGCCACAGTCCCTCAAACGGCAGGCAGGTTTGTGAATGTTTCCGTGTTCTGAACATTTTTCTGCAAAAGGGTTCACAGCTTTAATTGATTTACAAAGAGACGTACACCATGGAAGAGATTGAGAATCATTTCCTTAAAGCAACAAGAATCTAGGCTGGGGAGAAATCAGATTTTAGGAACGAGCTGCTAGGCACCGTAGCAGCATTCAGAGACATGAAAGCATTGGATTGTTTCCTAGATTTAAGAGCATATATTTTGCAACATGAAAGGGCTTCTATGCTCTAGAATGTAAGTTCCTCAAGGATAGGGGTCTAGTCTATCTCTTCACCTAAGGTATCCTTAGATCCTGGATCAGTGCCTGCGCGTAATCACAGGTGCGAACACACATGTGATTAATTTGTTAGTCTGCACAGCACTTCCCTTTCCATGCCCACTCCTGCCTGGTCTCCAGCAGTCGTCAGAATTGCCATCGTTAAGGAAACCCTGATGCAAGAATTGCAAGAATGACTCTGTTTGTTTGTTTGTTTGTTTGTTTGTTTATTAAGACGGAGTCTCGCTCTGTCGCCCAGGCTGGAATGCAGTGGCGCGATCTCGGCTCACTGCAAACTCCACCTACCGGGTTCACGCCATTCTCCTGCCTCAGCCTCCCGAGTAGCTGGGACTACAGGCGCCCGCCTGCGCGCCCGGCTAATTTTTTGTATTTTTAGTAGAGACGGGGTTTCACCGTGTTAGCCAGGATGGTCTCGATCTCCTGACCTCGTGATCTGCCCGCCTCGGCCTCCCAAAGTGCTGGGGTTACAGGCGTGAGCCACCGCGCCCGGCCAAGAATGACTTTGTAAATCAGTGTTGACATTCAGGACCTTTTTCATTTCGTGTTAAAGACTGATCACCCTGGGAAAATCAAGGCAGTCCAGCCAAACCCCAACTCCCAATCAAATGCAGTTTGTATCGAACCCCACGACTGCCCAGCACCTTTGGGAAGCCCATTGCTTTCTATGCAGACGCAGAGCTCCCAGAAAGCACAGGTGGATGTGCTCAGCTTGCCTTGTGACGTGAATGCCTGAAAACAGAACAGGACTAAAAATTCACTGTCTCAGAGCCTGCAGCTTGGGAGTCTGAGTTCTCAGGGACAAGAAGAGAAGAGTTCCCAGTGTGGCAAGGACCAGGCGGACCAGCCTTAGGCCGGGCTCTGGTTCCTCCCCTCTCTGTGGATTCCCTTTGATCCTCCCCTCCTGCCCCACTTTGCAGCCTCCACAGCTTAGCTGCTAAATCACTGGGGATTAAGACGCTAGGGGCCGGAGGGGAGGGCAACTCGTCCTGGGACAGAAAGGGCTCCTTTCCTGGGAGGGGTGAGAGGAAGCTGGGGTTCTCAGGGCCCCTGGCTGGGCCAGCCTTCCTGCCCTCCCCCACCAGCCTCACCCCCGTTAGCTGAACCTCCCGTGGACAGGCAAGCTCAGAGAGGCAGTTGTGCAGCTGCTGCTTCTGTCTGGGGCTAAAAATAGTCTCCTCTCCGCCCATGTCCAGCTCAGGCTGGGCCAGAGCTCCGAAGAGGACTCACAGGCAGTTGGGGGGACAGAAGGTGGGGCCAGAGACAAGTGCCCCCATGGGCAAAGAGTAGGTGAGACGGGGCAGGGAAGGTAGGGCTGGGGCCTGCCTCTCAGCTCTGATCCCCCAGAAACTCCCTTAGGAAGGAAATAGAGTTTCTCATCCCTGTGTTTCTGAGGGGAAAAGGAGACAGAGAAAGGTTGGGCAGGCTGACTTGGGTCACGTACCAATACCTAACGTTTATGAAGTGCTTGTCAGACACTGTTTTAAGCTCTGTAGATGTCAAAGGACCCCATGACGTAGGTATTATTATTCCCTTTGACAGTTGAAGAGATGAAGGCGCAGAGGCATGAACTCCCGTAGCCAGAGAGTGTGAGCTGGACTCTACCTGGAGCAGCCTCGGTGCAGAGCCCATGCCCCCAACCATGTCCGTGGTCGAGGCCCAGCCCAGACAGGGCACAAAGGGGCTGAGGAAGAGGAAGTAAGATGCCAGGGTTGCCATGCAGGAGGGCAACCCCAAGTGAGATGGGCATCGTGGCCTAGGGCCCACCTTCCGGAAGAGCTCATCAGAACTTCGGACACACTGCATGGGCCTAGACCCAGGGCTCGTTGAGCTCCTCCCTCGGATTGGCTTCGAATTTTAGGTGAATCCTCTCTAGCAGCCACATTCACCCTTGCAAGCCTGCACTTTGTCATCTTCTGAAAAGGTGCAGGAACATGATGCCCAGCTGACTCCCAGGGAGCGGGAGCCCCAGAGGCCAGCGGAGCACAGCCGCAGCAGGCAGATCTGTTGGGAAACCACGGGAGTATAGGAGCAGGGCTGGGGGCACCTGAGGGACTGTGGAGCCTGAATTATTGAAACGCTTAGAGTAAAGCAGATTTAGATTTCACAAAGACAGAGGTGAAGGTGGGTGAAGACGGAGGGAAGGATTTAAAGGGAAAGAGAAAGAGGAAAGATAAGAATGAGGGAGAAAGAGGAAGAGAGAAAGAAAAAGAGAAATAGAGTTATCGAAGATGACTGCAAGTCTGGCCTCTCTCAACCCAAGGAGCCAAGGAGGGGAAGGCCGGCCTGAGCAGCAACGTAGACAAGAGCTCAGGAGGGCAGGGACAGAGCCCTGGCTTCAGCAAGAGCGTGGGGAACAGAGGGCAAGGGGGTCCATGCAGCCCAGGATGGCAGGGTGCTCATACACACAGCCTTGGTCCTGTCCCCTCTCCCATTGCCGCTTTTGAGCTCACCTTGTTTAAGGCCAAAGCACACACCATCCTCCCACAGAGCCACTAATGCAATTAACAAAACACATTCATAAATCTTGCATGGCGTCCGGAGCTGTCTCCTCTCCCTAAGCACAAAGGCCAGCTCCAGAGATGCTGTGCAGAGAGCTGTCTGACCTCTCCAGCGTCAGGGCCCCCTGAAAAGTGCAGCATAACCCTTAGTAGGACAGAAAGACCATTGTCTTCTGCCAACCATTACAAAGTGGAGTGGGGCTGGGGTTAGGAAACACAGACAAATCAGAAGAGGCTGAGAAGGCGGAGATGAAAGTGCATAGGTGTTTGCAGGGAGCTGGGGAATAGTTCGTGCCTTCCAAGCTCAACAAGAGAGCATTCAGCAGAGACCAGAGAATCACCACTTTTGGAGGGTGATTTTACCTTGTGAGAACAGAGCACAGGGTGTGTGGGACCCAGGGCATCTTCGGCAATGCGGGCGTGACTTGGCGGGATGTCGGTGTTTGTGTTTGCATGTGTGTGTGCGTGCGTGCATGCTCAGTCTGGAAAACTGGTGACTCACTAAAACACCGAGCTTTCTGATCTGAAGAGCTTATATTCGGCTATTTTTAGCTCGTCTTGTCTCTTGGCCCTTTTTTTCCCCTTGTCTGTTTTCAAATGTAGAGGAGTCTGGAGACCATGAATGCCGTGTGTGTGTGTCTGCTAATTTAGAGCTTGGGCCCAGAGGTGGGTACCCCTGAAGGTGCAGAGATGAAGGCACGTGGGGTGTATGTGTGTACAGCAGGGACACACTGACACAGACAGGGTGCACATGCTCTTATTCTGGCATGTACACACGCGTACCATGCATACGTGCAAGCAGGAGTGAGGCCAGAAACGTCCCTGGAAACTCCGGCCTACACTCTCTTCACGTGGGTTGGTGTACAGCTACCCACTATGCATACTTCACAAGTATAACTGCCTCCCCACCCCAGCCCCTGCCTCACACGACCCAGGTGGGCACACTCTCATGAGGCACATGGCCACAGGCACAGTCTGGGCCTATCTTGGGGAATGGCCCCAGCCCCTGTGCCTTGTTTCTTCTCTGTTCAGCCACTCTTCCAAAAATTATGACTTCTTCTCAAGAAGGCCTTTCTCTGCTGGTTGGCAATAGGAAACACGAAGTGCCAGCTTCTGCACTTGGCTTCTCCTGGGACTCATTCAGCTGATCCCACCTGCCCACCACCATTGGCCGAGACCGCCTCCCCAGTCCAGTGGTCATCCAGCTACAGGGGGTCTGGCAACTGCTTAGAGAGGCCAGGCAGGGGTCAATGCTGTGTGAGCTCCGTTCCTCTAGCCGGGAGAGAGGGAGAAAGGAGAGCGAGCTCGGATTGCCATCTGCCTAGGTGCAGTGTGGGGCAGGCGGGGAGCGGAGCTCGGACTGCCGTCTGCCTAGGTGCAACGTGGGGCAGGCAGGGAGCGGACAGCACTCTTCAAGGCTCTAGAACGCTGGTGGGTTCCTGGACCTTGACTCTGTGTGACAGGACTGTGTATGCAACCCAGTGTCAAGAGCAGAAATGCGCAAATGCTGCCTATGACCAGTGCCTCAGTGATGCGGCACGCCTGGGAAAGGGCACCCACAGCCTCTCTTTCCACACAGCACACATGCTGTGCACTCACGCACAGCAGCACGTGCCTGCATGCACACACTCTTAGAAGCCTGCGTGAGAGAGAACACGAGCCTTCGTTACTCCAGACACCAAAGCAAGCTCTGAGCTGCATCATCCCTCAAGTCTGCAGTTTAGGCATGGCTCAGAGGCCCCAGCCAAGGCGGCCAAAACCCAGCCATGTGTTGCTCCTTAAGCCATGTCTTCTGCTGAGAGTCTGCGTCAGCCCAGAGGAGGGGCCCTCGGTCTCCCTTGCCTGCCGGGAGGCCCTGTGGTTCCTGGTGTCCAGTGGGCTCAGCGTCACGTCCTGGAAGGAGCCACTACCCGCCTACTGCCCCACTGCATTCCACTCCACACACATTTGGGGATCCAGCGCTCTGTGCAAGGCACTCCATGTCATCATGATGAAGGAGGACCAGCCGGAGTCCCCACCCCCAGACCCCTGCCCCAAGATAGGCTGGCACAGAATAAGATGCCTGCACAATTAGCCATTGCAGGACTCGTCACCCAGGGTGTGTGTGGTCATGAGCCACGCAGAAGGGATAATTCTCTCTTCCTCCTGGGGCCTGGGGGCCTTCACAGAGAACAGGACAGGGGCTTTTGCCTGGGCCCTGAATAATGAACAGATCTCCCCAGGCCAAAGAGGAACTTCTCAGGCAGGGAACTGGCCTGCATGAAGGTGTGGGATTGGGAAGCGTGGACAGGGGCTCGTGGGGAGAAATCAGATCTTGCCAGCAGACAGACTGGAGCTCAAGCCTGCCTGACTTGCCTCCGGTTCTGTGGCTCTTGCCTGAAGGAGAAGTGATTTTGAATTATCTACCTCTCTTCTTACCCCACATGGAAGGAAAAAGTCTTTTTATCTTGAAAGATCTGGACTCCTTCTGCCTTCTGAGCATCTGTAAGATGGAGATACTAATAGGGCCTTCCCTATAGAGATATTTTGAAGATTAAATGAGAGACCTCATGGAAAGCTGTTAGCACAGAGCTGAGTAAGTAAGCATTGTCATTAGTTATTATTATCCTATTTTATAGGCTACCACAGTGATTCTCAACCGATTTTACCCCTCAGAGGTCATTTGGCAATGGCTGGAGACATGTTTGGTTGTCACAACTTGCAGGAGTGGGAGGGAGGCTGCTCCCCGCCCCTGGTGGGTAGGGCCAGGGTGCTGCTAAGCACCCACCATGCACAGGGCAGCCCCCACAGCAGAGCAGAGCCCCCCCAGAATGCAGAGAGCACAGAGGCTGAGAAGGCCTGGGCTGGGGGGTTTCACCTTCTCCTGAAGACAGTGCGGTGACCACGATTTTCAAGCAGGGAATGACATCATAAAATCTAAGTTTCAGAAAGAAAAATCTGGCAACATTGTGACATGTCTAGAAAGCTCAGCCAGGGGCACTGCAGACCTGCAGATGAGACCGGGGGGAAGGAGGGCTGGGTCTGCAGCAAGACCAGGAGGCCGCACATTGGCAAGAAGAGAGCAGGAGAACCTGCTGAGGGCTAGAGGAAGGAAGGGACAGGCCTGGGGCCACTGGAGGACCCTAAAGTTTCCAGCGCATGGACCTGAGCAGATGGTAGTGCCGCCTTTCAACAGCATAGGAAGAAAAGACTCCATTTGGGAACTGTGTCCTCCAGGGCCCAGGTTGGGGGAAGCTCCTCCACCAACCTGTACGTGAGCCATGCCCCTCCAGTCCATCTGCTCCCACTCAAGGGGGGACCACCCTTCAAGAGACCCTCACCCAGCCCATCAGTGCCCAAGAGAGGCAGGCATCCAACTGCACCATCTCCCTCTCCTTCCCCATGCAGCTCCCTCTGAATGATGATCAGTGAGGCCCTGCAAGACAGCCTCCCGAGGCCGAGCCACCGAGCTACAGGACGAAGATGATCTTTCTGGGCTCCTGATGTCCAGACCCTGTCTTGTCTTTCAGCATGTTCAGAATACCTGTGGCTGCTGTGGGCAGAGAGGAGGTACCGGGGAAGTCCTGGCAGACTTATCTATCGGCAGAGAGACTGAGTCTCCATGCCACCCCAATTCCCCCTGCCCTTTTGACTGAGCTCTGAACACAAGTTAGAGGAGCTGGGGGAAAGCTCCAAGCAGTCAATACATCAACCAGTGAGCACGTGACATGTCCTGTCTCGTGCTCAGCGCTGGGGAGGACATCCCCACAAATATCACAGCTCAAATTCACTGGTTGGGAAGGCAAGACTCACAGGCAGAGAAGAGTCAAAAAACTATTAAAGAGGCCCCTGGCATAGTCTGAGGAGCCCTGGATAGAGGTAAGACCAGAGTTCTATCCCCAGGCCTCAGGCCTGAAGCAGGTCCCTGTACTTCCAAAAGCTCCAGCTACACCAAGTTATAGACAACTTCTCATGGCCTGGATTGTGGATGGCAGTGGCGCATCTGATTGATGGGTACTGATGCCTGGAGCACTGTGCTGAGGAGGAATCCGAGGCAGCAGCAAGTTTAGTAGGACTGTGATGGCCAACCGGCGAGGCGAGCGGTAGGTGCCACCGGGATGTCATGGGGATGTACCTCCTGCTTATTAACCCTTCTGGTTAAGAGCAACTGACTGGAGCCATTTCTAAGGACTCCTCCAGCTCCCAAATGGGATAATTCTATGATGGAAACGTTACATTTCAAGGCACTGGCTGGAGCAGAATAAGGCAAAGCAGGAAGAGATCTGCATGGGTTGGGCTGATCAGGGAAGGCTTTGGGAAGGAGGCGGCACTTTAGTGCGGCCTCAAGGTGGGGGAGTGTGAGTAGCTGTACCGGAGGTGGGAGGACGTTTATGTGCATAAAACTGGGGCTGAGCATGGGCTGTTCTTGGTACAGGAGGGAGGCGGCTAGCATCGCTGGAATGCGTTGTCTGTGTTTGGGGCAAGTATGATTACATATGGGAGAGCACACTGCCTGAGAGCTTCCCACATTGAAGCCACAAGCAAAGATGACGTTCCATGCATGCTGGCTTCCAGTCCTCACAGCTCGTCTTCAAGGCAAATGCTCTTCCCAGCCTTCCCTAGCATTCTGTGACTTGCTCAGGGCTACCGCTGGCAGGTGCGAATCCTGCATTCAGCCTGGGCAGTGCGGTTCTGATGGCTTCGGGCATAACTTCTCTGCTCTGGTGCCTTCTCTACTCTTAGAAGCTGACCAGTAAGGAAACCCAGCAATGCAGTTGAGACACCATGGCCGGATCTGTGGATTCTAGGGACCAGGAAGAGGCAGGAACAGCTGTAGACTGAGGAAGGAGGGCCTTGCTTGAGCCATCAGTCACACAAACAGATCCAAGCAAAGAACAGGGCAAGGTGGACACAGATCAAAGATGGGCACTAAATGCCACTGGGTTAGGGCTTGCTTTAGACCCCCCCAAGTCCTACATAATCTACTGGAAACAACAAAAAGTGTCCCAACCCTCTGGGAATAGGCAAGAAGGTGTGGGAGGTCATGAAATTCCAGGGACGTGGGGCTCAGCCTGTGAGGATGGGAATAGAGCCTGCCATGGTCTTAACACCAGCCCAGAGGCAGAAGGCAACTGTCTAAATAAAGATCTCATTTCAGACAAAGCTTAACCCTGCCTTTGCCCAGGCCCGCAGCCTCCAGCTGTCTCCACGCTGTCCCTGCCTGGCACCTGGTGGTGCGCTGGGGAACTTTCTCCCTCCTTCACAGCCCTCTCTCCTTCCTTTCTCCTTACTGGGTTCACAGACAGCTCCAGCCTCCACTCAGCTTGGCCTCTCAGTTCGACGGCACGCAGAAGATGCTGCTGTGCGCCGCCCTGCCCCAGGCTCCTGAGCAGGGGAAGGTGCTGTCGTGCGCCGCCCTGCCCCAGGCTCCTGAGCAGGGGAAGGTGCTGTCGTGCGCCGCCCTGCCCCAGGCTCCTGAGCAGGGGAAGGTGCTGTGTCTCGTCTTGCTTTCTTCACCTCTCCCACCACCCTGGTCCCCACCCATCCGGGGATGGATCCGAAACCAGCCCGGGTATGAAACTCTCCGGCCTCTCTCCCAAACATCCTCGTGCCCCTGCTCCCCTTGCTCTGGTCCCACTCCATCTCAAGCCCCCTCTGCAGTCCTCCCTTCTGGTTTCTCCCTCTGGCCTCCGGGAGGCCTCTGGTGCCCGCACAACTTCCTGGCATTGAGGAAGGACCAGAGCTGTAACGTGGGGCTGGAAGGTCCCAGAACCACCAGCTAGTCCTGCCCTGCCAGCCTCTCCTTGTTAAGCTCTCCCTCCTGCTGTTCAGTCTATGCTCGACGACTAGAGGCCTGATTTTGAAACTCTCTTTTGGGGCCACTGGGTCAGGCCAGCCCTCCTCACTGTCAGGAAATGTATCCTCATTTCTTACCTTAATTTCTCAACCGCAGCCGTTCTTTCTTGCTCTGAGAAGTCACCCGGCGTGATGCTGCGGCCATGCTACTCCTCAGCGCTCTGCTTCCCAACCAAAACAATGCTCCTTCTCATCTTTTCCAAAGCTTCCGGCCCCAGCAGTTCTCGGACCTGGGGTAGTTTCCTCCCCGCAAGTAACAAAGGAGGACAAGCCCCAGCTTCTCTAAGATGCCTTCAGCTGCCTGGAAGAGGCCTGTGGAAGGCCCTGCAACTCTCCGCAGACCTCTGGGCATTGCTGCTGCTTCTCAGTGCCCCTCGTCCCCTCAGCCAGGTGAGTCACCATCATCCTCGCTCCTCCCAGACCCGAAACCTCTCCTCTCCCATCCTTCCTTCTCTTTGTATCTCTTTCCGTTTAAACACGCGAACGAACGCGTGTCCACACACGCATATCATTTCGGGCCCTATCTGGAGCTGTCATTGACAGAACTCAAATTGTGATAGGCAAATTGGCTTCAATGTCAGAGACAGGAAACCCAGTATGCATCTCCCGGTGCCTGGAGAGCGAGGAGATAAGAGAGCAGAGATGGGCTGCCTCGGCCAGCAGCACCGGAGCAGGGACGGTAGCCAGGGAAGCAGGTCTTCTGCGGCTCCGGCTCAGGCACCAGAGTCCTGAGTGCTGGGGACCCTGGCTTGATTCTTACCCCCAGCGTGATGTGGGATAACAAAAGGAGGATGGAGCACCTCCGAGATGCACTGAGCCCTTCCCGAGGGCTTCTCTAAGACAACCCAAGTTCTTTCCTAGCGGGAATCAGACATCTACAGCAGGGACCCTTAGCCCCCAGATGCCACATCCTACATGTAGGGCCGGTCACTGCCCTGGCAGTTAGGAGGGGACGGGTGAGAGCTGCTGCCGAAAAGAGGAGCAGCCGTTCCAATGCCATCATACCTCTGCTTGTCCCCGTTACATAAAGCTCCAGCTGACTTGGCGTAATGACTAAGAAAACTTTCCAAACTTTCCGAAGACAGTTGGTGATCCTCTACCCTCCCGGTGACTGGTGAGAACTACCCCCACAGAGAGCCAGCAGAGAGGAAGGCTCCCAGCTCCGGGCCCTGACTCATCACACACACAAACACTCCCCAGCACTCTTTCCCAAAACAGTTCCCCTCCCACCCATCCACCCTCCTACCGGGGCTGGGTGACAAAAATGAACGCCCCAGAGATCTTGCCAAGTTCTGGGCCACGCTCAGCCCAGGGAACACGCAATTCCCCGTAGAATGGGAGGAGCAGGCCCCGCCCCCTCTGGAAGCAAACAATGTCCATTGGAAGGAAACGACCACCTGACTCTACAATGATCACTGTACTGTTTTCCAAATACCTTGGACCACTCTCCCCCAAGAAAGAGTTCAAAGCTCTATAATCATAAAATATTAGAGCTTAAGGCAATCTTAAAGGTCATCTGTAGCGCCTCTCCCCTTCCCTGCTTCCATGCATCTACACGTGGATTCATTTCTTTATCTATCTGTTCATCAGATAGCCACTCAGTTCCTACAGTTTGCCCATGTGCAACGCACGCACTGGAGGCCTCACAGACGCACTGTCTCCTCAAGGCGCTTGTCATCTAGTGGGTGAGAAAGCAAGTGACAAGGCGTTGGAATAAGTAGGACAGGCACTGTGGTAGGAAGAGTGCATGTTCTAGAAGCACCGAGAGGGCACGTCACCCCCACCTTGGGGTAGTGGGGGGAATTCATGGAGACTTACTGGGAGATATTATATATATCTATGTATATGTACATAATAAATATAAAAATGTATTATAAGTAAATATATAAAATATAAACAAAAATATAAAATATATAAATATATATTATATAAAATATACATATATATTTTTTGAGACAGAGTTGGGCTGGAGTGCAGTGGCACAATCTCGGCTCACTGCAACCTCTGCCTCCTGGATTCACGCAATTCTCATGCTTCAGCCTCCTCAGTAGCTGGGACTACAGGCACACACCACCACGCCCAGCTAATTTTTGTATTTTTAGTTGAGATGGGGTTTTGCTGTGTTGACCAGGTTGATCTCGAACTCCTGGCCTCAAGTGATCTGCCTGTCTCAGCCTCCCAAAGTGCTGGGATGACAGGCATGAGCCACTGTGCCCAGCCTGGGAAAAATTATATTTAAGTTGAGCTATAAAAAATAAGGAAATTCCTTTTCAATCAATAAGAGGTCTGCTCATCACTCAGTACGGCTAAAGCATAGTGTCAGGCACACTGCATGATGATGAATCGAATGTAGTGTCCACACATAGAGTTTAACGCCTAGTGAGGGACATACAGTAAAGGTACGCATGACTAGAATATTCTATGCTCCCAATAGAAAGAAAAATGTTCAGGGATGGCCATCCCAAGTGCCCTGACTTAATCATCACACATTATATACATGGATCAGAATATCACATGGTCCCCAAAATATCTACGATGTATGAAAAAACCAGAATATACCTCGAAGCACCAGATAATGCTCCTAAAAGAAGGATCTGTGGAGTCCCAGGGAGGGTTTCAGAGAGGATGAGGGAAGTTCCCAGCTGGAAAGACTTGCAAAAGCCCCATGGAAGAAATCTGAGTTCACCTTCAGGATGGCTAGGATTTAAAGGCACAGAGGGAGAAAGAAGGGCATTCTGAGCAAAAGCCATGCTACCAGCAAAGTGGAAGAACCAGTGCCGTCTGGGGGAAGAAGGATACACCAGTCTGACCGAGGCACACGACAGGCAGTCGGGGCAGACGCGGCGTGAACACAGGCAAAGTCTGAGGACGCTCTGAAATTGAAAGCCAGGCCCTGCAGTTTCTCAAGGTCACAGAGTGAGGAGAAGAGCAGGACTTCCGACGTGAACTGCAGTGCTCCTTCACAGATGACAGATGGCACTTTTCCCCTTGTGATGCTTTGGCCCCTCCCTGCTGGAGGAACCCTGTGGCTGACTCCTCCCCTCCCCAGGGGGTCTCTGGATGCAAAGCAAGGAGACCCCAGGCTAACAATCCAGGCTGTTCTACTCTGGCTTTTGCATTTTTTTTTTTGGATAAGTACGTGGCCAGGCAAGGTGGCTCACACTTGTAATCCCAGTACTTCCAGATGGGGAAGCAGGAAGATCGCTTGAGCCCAGAAGTTTGAGACCAGCCTAAGCAACATAGTGAGACCTCATCCCTACAAAAAATTTTAAAAATTAGCTGGAAGTGGTGGCACACACCTGTGGTCCCAGTTACTTGGGAGGCTGAGGAAGACGGATCGCATGTGCCCAGGAGTTCAGGCTGCAGTGGGCTGTGGTCGTGACACTGCACTCAGCCTGGGTGACAGAGCGAGATCCTGTCTCTAAAACACAATCAATCTATATTTTTAAAACTCTTTTGAAGAGGGCAGCAAAATCCACCCCACCAACTGAACTAGGGTCGCACCCTGGCTCCTAAGCAGCCCAGTGTGAAATATTTGGAACTCTTACGGCTGTTCTTTCTTCTTCCTCATCTCCACACAAATACACTAACCTACGGCTTTCAGTCTTAGCCCTTTATTGCTTTATGTACATGCCCGGCTCAGGGCTTACATCCATCTGGGTATCTCTGCTTAAGACTGCAAGTTCTTAAAATACCGGGATGCTGCCTGTAATCCCAGCACTTTGGGAGGCTGAGGCGAGAGGATCCCTTGAGGCCAGGAGTTCGAGACCAGCCTGTGCAACACAGAAGACACTATCTCTACAAAAAATTAAAAAATTAGCTAGGCATAGTGGCACATGCCTGTGGTCCCAGCTACTCCGGAGATTGAAGCAGGAGGATCACTTGAGTGAGGGAGGTGGAGGCTCCAGTGAGTCGTGATCGTGCCACTGCACTCCAGCCTGGACGACAGAGCGAGACCCTGCCCCCTCGCCAAAAAAAAAATACTGGGATGCTATACACAAAATTGCCTTGAAAACTTGAGCACGGAACACCAAACAGCTAAGCGTGCCGGTTTGGGGAGGGCGGGGGAGGAATAAGGAGCTGCAACGGTAAGAGGCCGCCACACGGTGGCGCAGTGAGGCTGGGAAACGGTGCACCCCGCGCAGGAGGGGGCACTCCCCGTCGCGGCCACCCGGGGTGGGCAGGAGGCGGCGCGGGCTGGCTGGTCTCTCCCGAGAAGGTTCTCTCCCGAGAAGGGTGCGTCTCAGGGCTTGTCAGTGGACCCCTGGAACATGGGGAAGACGCACAGACAAGGGTTTCGCTCTTTGCTCTCCTCTCTCCTTGTCAGACCTCTGTGACCAAGAGAGGCCCAGGGGCACCTGAAGGCCACCACGGTTGTATCCTGCTCTGAGAACCCATCCCTAGGTTGGGAGAGGGAGCAGCCGTGTGCAGGTGGAGATCCTAGCGACAGGAGGAAGTGCCTGCCTGCGTGCGTGCGTGCCTGCGTGCGTGCGTGCCTGCGTACGTGCGTGCGTGCGTGCGCACTTGTCCTTGAGGTGCAGAGACTGGTGAGCAGGGTCAAAGATGCTTTTTTTTCTTAGTCTAATGAGCTCTTGGAAACAAAGCTAATCTCTGGAGGGAAGACACACCCTGGACATTTGCTGCTGGCCTGGAATGGATGTTTTAAGAGCCCATCCTACGAGACGGTTGGAATGCTTTTTTTTCCTTTTTTTTTTTCTTTTTGGTAGAGACAAGGTCTCACTATTACCCAGGCTGGTCTTAAACTCCTGGACTCAAGCGATCCTCCCGTCTCAACTTTCCAAAGTGCTGGGATTACAGACAACAGCCGCCATGCCTGGAGGTTTGAATGCTTCTAAGAAGCACAGGACATTGATGATTACACATTGTATCCGTGTATCAAAATATCACATGTATCCCACATGATAATGTACAATTATCATGTATCGAGTAAAAAAATAAGCACAGGAGAGCTTCCTTTCTGTTCTTATCCAAAACCCTTCCTACACATAGACTGGGCACATCAAAAATGTTCCCACCACAGTCCATATTTGTTACTAAATATACACTCCTGGCCGGGCGCAGTGGCTGACGTGTGTAATCCCAACACTTTGGGAAGCCGAGGCAGCATAGTAGTTCAAGACTGGCCTGAGCAACATGGCAAAACCCCATCTCTACAAAAAATACCAAAAAAAAAAAAAATAATAGCCTGGGGTGATGGCATACACCTGTAGTCCCAACTACTCAGGAGGCTGAGGTGGAAGGATCACTTGAGCCCAGGAGGTCAGGGCTGCAGTGAGCCGAGATCACGCCACTGCTTTCCAGCCTGGGCGACAGAGTAAGACCCTGTCTCAAAAATAAAAAGGAGCCAGGCGCGGTGGCTCACGCCTGTAATCGCAGCACTTTGGGAGGCCGAAGCGGGCGGATCACCAGGTCAGGGGTTCAAGACCATCCTGGCTAACACAGTGAAACACTGTCTCTACTAAAAATACAAAAAAAATTAGACGGGCATGGTGATGGGTGCCTGTGGTCCCAGCTACTCGGGAGGCTGAGGCAGGAGAATGGCATGAACCCGGGAGCGGAGGTTGCAGTGAGCCGAGATCGCGCCACTGCACTCCAGCATGGGGGACAGAGCCAGACTCCATCTCTAAATAAATAAATAGTGGAAAAAAAATTCTACCAGTGTCCTTTCCAGACACTCCTGAACAGCTTTCTGCAAAATGCTGATCATAAGCACGTCTATGCACGTGTTACTGGAAAGGGGTCCCAATCCAGACGCCAAGAGAGGGTTCTTGGATCTCACTCAAGAGAGAATTCGGGGCACGTCCATAAAGTGAAAGCAAATTTATTAAGAAAGGAAAGGAATAAAAGAATGGTTACTCCATAGGTAGAGCAGCTCTGAGGGCTGCTGGTTGCCCATTTTTATGGTTATTTCTTAATGATATGCTAAACAAGAGGTAGATTATTCGTGCCTCCCCTTTTTAGACCATATAGGCTAACTTCCTGACGTTGCCATGGCATTTGTAAACTGTCATGGCGCTGCTGGGAGTGCAGCAGTGAGGACGACCAGAGGTCATTCTCTGCCATCTTGGTTTTGGTGGGTTTGGGCCGGCTTCTTTTCTGAAACCTGTTTTATCAGCAAGGTCTTTACGACCTGTATGTTGTGCCAACCTCTTATCTCATCCTGTGACTCAGAAAGCCTAACCCGTGGGAGTGCAGCCCAGCAGGTCTCAGTTTTTTCACCAAGGCCCCATTCAAGATGGAGTTGCTCTGGTTCAGATGCCTCTGACACACAGATGCCCACAGATCCATCTTCACCTCAGCAATGCCTCTCACACACACAGCCACTGCAACCCTGTGTGTCTCCTCCCGAGAGGGTCCCTCAGACACAGTCGTGTATTTCGCCACTCAGAAAGGCGGGTTCGCCTTCCTACCTATGCACACAGAGGCCAGGAGGACAGACACAGTGCGACACAGAGGCAGGAATAGCAGTTCCATGTGGGCTGGGGCCCCCGCTCCATTTGCCCCTGCGAGGGAGGTTTGTTTCCCGCCTGTGCGTGCTGTTCTGGGCTCAGCATGGAGACGGGGGCGGGGGGGGGGGGGTGGAGGAGGAGGGCGGAGAGCAGCTTCTCAGAGTCAGGCTCCTTCCCAGCTGCGAGGGCAAACAATTCCCAAGAAGAGGATTGGGAATTCTCTGTGAGGGCAGAAGAGTGTGAGGAGAACAGGCTCGGGCGGGGCAGGAAGGATTGCCTGAGAACGTTGAACTTGGCCTTCGCAGGGCAACCAAGAGTCAGAGTTTTCGTTGATGCCAGAAAGAGAAGTTAGGAGTGTGTGGGTCTGTGCGTGTGAAAAAAGGGAGGGAGAGGCAGGAAGGGGACAAGGACAGACATCGAGGTGGAAGTAAGCAATTGAGAACATGCACAGAGTCAGACTACGGGAGCAAAGGGGTAGAAATAAGGAATCTTTAACTTAGAAGCGGAAGATTGGGAAGAAGAATAAACAGCAAGAGGCAGGGGATCCAATCTGGGAAGCGTGCAGAGAGAAAGGGGCCCAGAGCAGAAAGCTTGCAGGTGGAAGGAAGGAGGACAGGCGGGCAGGAAGCCCCAGGCCTGTCCAGAGCCCCGCCACTGCAGGAAGGCACTGAAGGCCGGGAGGGCAGCTCAGCTCATCTGTTACTTACAAGCACAAGCTCCCCCCAATCCCGATTAGCAGGAATTACGTGGCATATGGCTAATCCTCCTGCCACAGTTATTAATACTTTCCAGACACTGCCGAGGGAACCAGGCAGCCTCCTTAGGCCCAAGGCTTCCCCCAGCCTGGCAGGGCCGGCCACCCATGCCTGCTGCAGGGGTGCTGTGGCCCAGAGGAGGGGAGGGGAGTGGCTGGAAAGCTTTCTCTAAGTCCTTCAGGCGACTCTGAATCCTCTGGAAGCACATGCCACAAGCTCTTCCTTTTTCCAAAATCCATGTGTATGTTGTTTGGTTTAAATAGTCACAGAAAACTTGTGATAGAAGGAGAATATATGATATCATTCCCATTAAAAACTGCCAGGCACAGTGGCTCACGCCTGTCATCCCAGCACTTTGGGAGGCGGGTGGATCACCTGAGGTCAGGAGTTTGAGACCAGCCTGGCCAACATGGTGAAACCCTATCTCTACTAAAAATACAAAATTAGTCGGCTGTGGTGGCACGTGCCTGTAGTTCCAGCTACTTGGGAGGCTGAAGCAGGAGAATCGCTTGAACCCCGGAGGTGGAGTTTGCAGTGAGCCGAGATTGCACCATTGCACTCCAGCCTGGGCGACAAGGGAGAAACTCCATCTCAAAAAAAAAAACTTAGGAAGCTGGGAGTGGTGGCGTGCGTTTGTACTCCCACCTACTTGGGAGGCTGAGATGGGAGGATTGCTTGGGCCCGGGAGTTTGAGACCAGCCTGGACAACACAGTGAGACCTCGTCTTTATAAAAAATTTTTTAATTAGCCAGGCATTGTGGCACACAGCTGTAGTCTCAGCTATGAAGAGGCTGAGGTAGGAGAATTGCTTGAGCCCAGGAGGTTGAGGCTGCAGTGAGCCATCACTGTGCCACTGCACCCCAGCCTAAGTGACAAAGCGAGACCCTGTCTCAAAACAAACAAAAACAAACAAACAACAACAACCAGGAAAACAAATCCAAGAGAAGGGAAAGGATTTAATCAAGGACTTCTACTCAATAGCAAAGTCTGGCTGTCCTCATTTCCAGCCTAGCGGATGGAAACTGGAAGCTAACTTGCTGCTCCTGGCTTAGGGAGACATAAAAAGATAAACAGGGGAAGGGGAAGAGAGCAAGAAGGGGAGATGAACTTCTGATAGTGGCTAGTGTGCAGCCAGGTGTCCAGCGAGCACTTAGTGAGTGCTTTGTAATTGATGACTTGCCGGGCTTTGTCTTAGGTGAGGTGCAAAGTCGACCCTGAGATGGTTTGTGAGGAACAAATTGCTCCCGTGGGAAGTAACAGAGGAGTGCAGGGGGCAGGGGGGAAGGGAAAGAAGCCAAACAAGAGGGCCATTTCAGACCCGTCCCAGCCTCAGCCGACCCTGCGGGGGAGCTCTGGGGACAATTACTCCTCAGTTTGTCCCAACTGGAAGCAAGGTAGCTGTGTTTCCGTAGATATTGCAAGGGGGCAGAAATTGCCAGGCATTTGCAGTTCCCTGAGCATGATGGAGAGGTGGCTCTGGTACCCCCAGGCAGTCCTCTGAAGAGACCTGTGGGTGCAGGTCTTTAGAATCAAAGGAAACGGGCTGGGCGCGGTGGCTCACACCTGTAATCTCAGCACTTTGGGAGGCCGAGGTGGGTGGATCACCTGAGGTCAGGAGTTTGCGAACAGCCTGGTCAACATGGTGAAACCCTGTCTCTACTAAAAACACAAAAATTAGCCGGGCATGGTGGTGCACGCCTGTAATCCCAGCACTTTGGGAGGCTGAGGCAGGTGGATCACAAGGTCAGGAGTTCGAGACCAGCCTGGCCAACATGTTGAAAACTCGTCTCTACAAAAATACAAAAATTAGCTGGGCATTGTGGCGAGCACCTGTAATCTCAGCTACTCAGGAGGTTGAGGCAGGAGAATGGCATGAACCCGGGAGGCAGAGCTTGCAGCGAGCCAAGATGGCACTATTGCACTCCAGCCTGGGCCACAGAGGGAGACTCTGTATCAAAAAAAAAAAAAAAAAAAGGGAACAGAAGAGACAGCGCCCCAGCAGGGTCTGCTACAAACATAAAGCAAGTGCTCTCAGACCCTCTCTACTCTACTGACAGGTCATCAACTTCGATTTGTAAAATGTTTCTCCCCTTTAGGCGTTCACAGTCCTCGATTTGTAAAATGTTTCCCTGCTTTAGGAGTTCACAGTCCAGCAGCGAGACAGTGGCATGCTATACCCCTGTGTTCATATAGAATGTGCACAGTGATAGGTGCTAGTTCAGCGATAGAACACAGAACAAGTCATTGAATTCTGGCCGGGTGGGTCAGGGGAGTATAAAGTTGGATGGGACTTGCTCTGTGCCACGCCCTCCCCTGTTAGAAAGCCTTCCATGGCTGGGCGCAGTGGCTCACGCCTGTAATCCCAGCACTTTGGGAGGCCGAGGCGGGCGGATCACCTGAGGTCGGGAGTTCGAGACCATCTTGGTCAACATGGTGAAACTCCGTCTCTACTAACATACAAAAAATTAGCCGGGCGTGGTGGCACATGCCTGTAGTCCCAGCTACTCAGGAGGCTGAAGCAGGAGAATCGCGTGAACCCAGGAGGCGGAGGTTGCAGTGAACTGAGATCGCGCCATTGCACTCCAGCCTGGCAACAGAGCAAGACTCTGTCTCAAAAAAAAAAAAGAAAAGAAAAAGAAAAAAGAAAGGCTTCCATTACGCTCCATCACCCATGTAAAACATTCAAAATAACTTAGCCTAAATATCAAGGCCCCATGCTAGATACCCATCCACCTACTATACGATCTGGAAGTCATATATTTCATTTCTATCCTTTTAAGAATTACCCTTAAGCGTTTAAAATATACCCTTAATTTAAAATATACCCTTTAATTTTGAAAGTTTAAATCTAATTAACCTTTACTGACCTTTCAGTACTCTGAATTTCTTCTAACCCTAGTTGTTCATGTTATCATTGTCTAGTATTTTAGTTTTTTTAACCCTCACAGATAGGTTATTACTATTATTGTCTTGTAGAGTCTATATTGACTTACATATGTTCACCTGCTTCCTACATGTTTTGCTGATCGTTGCTCTTTTATCCCCTTGCTTCCTCTGGGTACAGATTTGCTTTTTTTAAACTTAAGCTTTTCTTTTAAATCATTCATTAGTATTTCTTTCAACAAGTAAAGAGGTGACAAACTCTCTCAAATTTTTTTCCCTTTACTCTTGAATCATCACTTAGCTGATACAGAAACCTGGACTGACTTCTTTTTCACCTTAGCACTTTGAAGCAATTATTTCATTTTGTTCCAGCTTCTATTGTTGTTTCCCAGTGAATAGCCATCTTTTGACTGTCACTAACCTTGAGACTTTTCTTAGTCTTTGAGTTCTGTCTTTCACTGTGTTATGTCTAGCAAAGACCCATGCGGCTAGGTGTGACAAAACAAAATGAGATATCTCTTTATCCTGGGGTATCCTATTTAGAATAGCTTCTTCAAACTAAGAACTCGTGTCTTGGCCAGGCATGGTGGCTCAAGCCTGTAATCCCAGCACTTTGGGAGGCCAAGGCGGGCGGGCCACGAGGTCAGGAGATCGAGACCATCCTGGCTAACATGGTGAAACCCAGTCTCTACTAAAAACACACAAAAATTAGCCGGGCGTGGTGGTGGGCGCCGGTAGTCCCAGCTACTTGGGAGGCTGAGGCAGGAGAATGGCTTGAACCCAGGAGGTGGACCTTGCAGTGAGCCGAGATTGCACCACTACACTCCAGCCTGGGTGACAGAGCAAGACTCCATCTCAAAAACAAAAAACAAACAAAATCCCAAAAGAACTCATGTCTTTCACCAATTCTGGCAAATTCTGAGCCATTCCCTCTTCAATTACTGCCTTTAGACCCACATTTTTATTTTATCCCACTACAACGTGTTTCTATAGCGTACATCTCTTAAATTTGTTTTTTTTTTTTTTAGATGGAGTCTCGCTCTGTTACCCAGGCTGGGGTGCAGTGGCCTGATCTCAGCTCACTGCAACCTCCACCTCCCGAGTTCAAGCAATTCTCTCCTGCCTTAGCCTCCCAAGTAGCTGGGATTACAGGTGTCCTCCACCACGCCCAGCCAATTTTTGTATTTTCAGTAGAGATGAGGATTTCACTACGTTGGTCAGGTGGGTCTCAAACTCCTGACCTCAGATGATCCACCTGCCTCGGCCACCCAAAGTGCAGGGATAACAGGCGTGAGCCACTGCGCCTGGCCAACATTTTTTTTTCTATTTCCATATGTTTACCACTGTGGCTCATCCCGGATAGTTTTCTAAGATCCATCTTCTACTTCACAAGTTTTCTTTCAGGCCACTGTTCAATCTTCTGTTGAGAGGTTTTGGGTTTTGGTTTGGGTTTTCCTGTTTCTCTTTTTCTCATCTGCCTGTTCTCTCCAGGTGTCCTTTTTATATCTCTGTGTTTGCTAGTCCTTGTATCTCTCTGTACTTTGCAAGCCCACTTATCTTATTATCTCTTTTGGATCATTCTGTTATCTCAGAGTTTGGGAGGTGCAATGCCTGTCGTGTAGGTCTGCTGGGTCCCACCTGCCGCATAGGTCTGCTGGGTCCCACCTGTCACATAGATCCGCTGGCTCCCGCGTGTCACATAGATACGCTGGCTCCCGCCTGTCACGTAGATACGCTGGCTCCCGCCTGTCACGTAGATATGCTGGCTCCCACCTGCCGCGTAGCTACGCTGCCTCCCGCCTGTGGTGCGCAATTTCCCCTGTGGTTTGTCACCGGTTAGCTCCTCTTCATCAGAGATTGTTCCATTCTGTGGGGGTCGTTGATGTTCTGGGACATGCTAGGAACAGTTGCACCTTTTGCTTCAAGTGGTTGGTCTAGAGGTTTCCCCAATGTGACCACAGGTTTTACATTAATTTCTGGGCTTGGAGACTTCCACACCATGGGAGACGGTGTAAGTTCACACCCAACACCGGCATGTGACGCAGGCCTGGAGACTCTGTCGCCCAGGCTGGAGTGCAGTGGCATGATCTTGGCTCACTGGAACCTCTGCCTACTGGGTTCAAGTGATTCTCCTGCCTCAGCCTTCCCAGTAACTGGGATTACAGGCATCCACCACCATGCCCGGAGAATTTCTGTATTTTTAGTGGAGACGGGGTTTTGCCATGTTGACCAGGATGGTCTCGAACTCCTGACCTCAAGTGATCCTCCCAAAGTGCTGGGATTACAGGTGTGAGCTACCACATCTGGCTGAGACTTGAGTTTCCCACAGGAAATGGTTTTTCTTCTCTCCCAGAACCTAGGGCAGAAACTGAAGGATGGAGTTTTTTCCTGGCCACCTTCCCCTGAGGGAGCAGGATGTCGGTTCCAAAGTCCTGCTTGGAACGGGCCCTAGGGTCTCTCTGACCCACTGGGTGGGTCAGAGCTGCTCCCCTAACTCTTTCTAGGACCTCCTCCTCCTCCTCATACTATCGTGGCTCTGACTTGCAAATTTATTTTGGCTTTGAATTCCTTCCTGTGTTGGTGACTTGGAGGTTTATTTCTCTATTTCAAGCTCCATGTGCATTTTAATTTTTCTGCCCTCTTATTCAGAATTTCTCTGTACAATGTGGTAGTATGGCAGACTCCATCATTCTGAGGTTTCCTGGATCCCCAAGAAAAAAAATATTGATTTTTCTTCCCATCTCTTCCATGGGAACATGGATTCTTTGAGGGGAAAAATAAAACAAAACAAAACAAAAACAAAAAAACAAAATGAAACAAAACTGTGTCCAAGCTCTCTCTGGTGCTGAGTTCCTAGCTCAGTCCGAGGCACAAACACAACATAAAGTTTGCTAGAAGAACAGTTAAATAGTGTTAGGTGATTATCAAGAGTTACTCCAAGTCTTTCCCCATCTTTAGGAAGAAAATTTTCTCAATTATTCTAAGCACGAAGATATTATTTTATTCCCAAAATGCTTCATAGGTGGTTCTGCAATGCACGCCCTTATGACACCTGTGTGAGTGTTTTTCTTAGCATTCTAACGTGTTTCTTGAACAACACTGTGTGGTACACCCCCCGGGATGCCTGAGATGAGGCCCTTCCTGAACTGGTGGTCCGATTGGAAGATATGATGTGGAAACCATAACTCTGACATGATATGTGTCATAGTAAGCCACGAGTATCTTGGCCAGTGGTGAGGGGTAAAAGAATTTACCAAGGTCGGACATGGTGGCTCACGCCTGTAATCTCAGCACTTTGGGAGGCCGAGGCGGGTGGATCACCCGAGGTTGGGAGTTCAAGACCAGCCTGGCCAACATGTCAAAACCCTGTCTCTACTAAAAATACAAAAATAGCTGGGTGTGGTGGTGCATGCCTGTAATCCCAGCTATTCAGGAGGCTGAGGCAGAAGAATTGCTTGAACCCGGGAGGTGGAGGTTGCAGTGAGCCAAGATCACGGCATTGCACTCTAGCCTGGGCAGCAAGAGCAAAACCCCATCTCGAAAAAAAAAAGAAAAGAAAAAAGAAAGTAGGAAAGTACATTGTACGTTGCCAGGGAGCAGTGGGCAAAACCAGCAGGAGAGAAGCTGACTGCGAAGAGACAAAGGCTGGCTGGGGATTTTTATAGGGTGGTTGTTGGGCGAATTGATAATGCCAAGGTAGCAGTGAGCTAACCTGCATTCTTCTATCAGCTGAGGTGTTTGACAAATTGAGGCATTTGATGACCAGCAGGAAGCCTGTGAGTTCTGCACCTTATCTGCTCAGGAGGGCTGCATGTCCTGGGCCATAAAGAAAGGCAGGCCTATAACTTATCTCCTTCCTCTTTTTGTCTATATGTTCCGGACCATGAGGGAAGGCAGGTCTATAGCTTATCTGCTTCCTCTATCTCTTTGCTTTCTCCTGGTGGTGCCAGCCTGACTCCTTTTCCCTAATTAGGACTCCACAATGTGATAGGGAGCATTGTGTTTGTCGTAGATTCATTCAAGAGGAACATGTTTGTTTGGAAGAAAATGTTATAGGACTATTTGGGAGAGGAACTAAGGCTTCAGGAAGCTTGGGAATGAAAGGAGATGCTCTGAGGCCAGAGTGGCATTTCGCGGGTTGAGCCTGAGGGATAAGGAGGAAGGAAGAGGGTGGAACCCTTGGGAAGAGGGAGGTCATGTGCTTCCTCACGTCGCCAGCGTGGTATCACTTTCCCAAACTGGCATGCTGCATGGTGAAGAATAAAAAGCACCTTGATAGAATTATACTGAGATGCTGAGAAATCCATAATCATAGAGTGATATTTAACAAACCTTTTCCAGGAATTGATAGCTGAAGCCAAAAAACAAAAAAAAAGTAAGCAAAGGTAGTAAAGTTTTAAGTAGCATAATAAAGAAATTGAACTGAATAGGTACATATTTAGAACTCTAAGCCCAAACATTTGAGAATACACACGGCACATTTAAAACAATTAACCATTAGTAAGCCATAATGTCAGGCTCAACAAATACAAAAGCATTGATTTTATATGGACCTTGTTCTCTGACCAAGGCAGTCATTGATGGTAACACAAGCCCAGGCTTCATATATTGAGAAGCTTATAAAGCAGACTTCTAAATGATAAGTGGTCAAGTAGAGATGACAAATGAAATTATAAAATACTTGGGACTTAGTGACAGTGAAGACAGTGTGTATTACAAATTGTGGGATGTAGCTACTGCAGTACTTAGAAAGGATTATAGCTTCAAACATACACATTAGCAAAGGAGGAGATTGAACACAGCATTAGACTCTAGAAGTCTGAACTAGAATCACAGTAAAAATATGGAATTACAATCCAATGCAATGGAGTGTGGGAGAGACGCACCCACAGTGTTACAGAAGCACACAGGAGGTCCACCCAAACCATCCTGGAGGGGACTCTGGGGCCAGGAAGTTCTACCATGAGGATATGATGCTGAAAGGGGTTCCAAGAGGACATGGTGATGTTAGGAAACTGACTAGTGTGAAAGGAAAATAAATCTTGGGACCCCAAAATCACTAAGCTGAAAAGTCAAGCTGGGAACTATCAGGCAAGCCTGCCTCCCGTTTTGTTCCTAAATAAATAGCTATAAAGATATTAAAGATACATACCTCCCTCACAATCTGCCCACAAGGAAATTCCTTGTGGGCCTCAAGGTCTTTACTCTAAAAATAGTTCTGTTGAATTTCACCTTGGCCATGTAAATTGATAGCTCATCTTCACAGGTACAGGATAGAAAGTCATCCCTGTGCTCACCTGAGACAAATGCATATCTGTTTGCTTCTTCTGCTCTATTGTTTATGTAAAAATGCAGATTCACTGAGCTGGACTAAGGCATACATGACTATTCCTCTACGCCTCTCTCACATGTAAGTTGTGATTTCAGTGAAAGGCTGATTAAAGACCCAAAATAATGCAGCCTTTTGTCTCTTATCTACCCATGACCTGGAATCCCCGAGTTGTCCTGCCTTTCTAGACCAAACCAATGGACATCTTACATGTATTGATTGATGTCTGCTGTCTCCCTAAAATGTCTAAAAGCAAGCTGTGCCTGACCACCTTGGGCACCTGTTCTCAGGATCTCTTGCGGGCTGCATCATGGGCCAATGGTAACTTATATTTGGCTCGGGATAAATCTCTTCAAATGTTTTACCGAGTTTGAGTCTTTTCAGCGACACCAGGCTGACGGGGAGGATAATACAGGCAGCAAGGACTGCGTTGGCAACTGCAGTGGCTCGCAAGAACCTGGCAAGTTTTAAGAACCACAGCTGACTCAGCGGAGCTAGATTCAAGGCAGTAGATGAGGGGGTGGTATGAGATGCGGAAGTTGTGATGCTCAGGAACATAGGGTGTGTTTTTTCATCCATGACTTCTTTAGTCGTACTAAGGCAGGGGTCCCCACTCCCCAGGCCGTGGACAGGTAGCTGTTACCAGCTGGGCCGCACAGCGGGAGGTGAGGGGTGGGAAGGAGAGCATGACTGCCTGAGCTCTGCCTCCTGCCAGGTCTGCATTAGTCTCATAGGAGCACAAACCCTTTTGCGAACTGCGCACATGAGGGATCTAAGTTGCACGCTCCTTATGAGCATCTAACTAAAAAGCCTGATGATCTGAGGTGAAACAGCTTCATCCGGAAACACTGCCCCACCCAACCCTTCCGTGGAAAGCTTGTCTTCCACAAAACTGGGCCCTGGTGCCGAAAACGTCGGGGCCTGCTGTACTAAGGGGTGTTAGCTACATGCTGAAGGTGCCAAGAATTTCAAGCAGCACGACGTGAGCAGATGTTAGCTCTGCAGGGCGCAGGAGTCTTATATTCATTCATTCCAGAGATACTTATTGAGCACCTCTTACTGTTCTAGGCCCTAGTCACAGTTTTGAAAAGAAACATCTAGATACAGGAAGACATACCTACAGATCATTTTAACAATCCAGATGAAAAATGAGGGAGCTGATATTGGGCCAGTGGTGGTGGGGGTGGCCACTCCTTCCCTGTGGGGAGTGCACAAGGAGAATCTTGTACCTCCAAGCTCAGCAGAGTTTCCTGTTTCCTTCCTGTGTTCTGTCTTGGGCAGCAGCTGGTGGTAGGCCTGGGGCACAGGGACAGTGCAAACCTAGGGAACAATGCCCGGCTGGAAAACAACATATTGCCTGGAAGATAAATGGACTAAGGTGTGACCTCTGAGTGTAAGGGTTGCAGAAGCATAGGTGCCCTTTGCAGATGTGGGATTCAAGCTCTCTGTCCTTCATGGGGTGTGTGGCCATCCGCACTGGAGTAGGTCTCCACTGAGTGTCTTGAGTGCTTTCAGGATTCTGAGAATCACCCAAGAGGACCAAATACGTCCACTCCTCCTGATCCAAAATTTCATGGGAATATAATTTCATGGCATTAAAGACAAAGTATAGAGTCTTTTTTCTTTTTTTGAGACAGAATCTCGCTCTGTCACCCGAGCTGGAGTGCAGTGGTGTGATCTTGGCTCACTGCAAGCTCTGCCTCCTGGGTTCACGCCATTCTCCTGCCTCAGCCTCCCGAGTAGCTGGGACGACAGGCGCCTGCCACCACGCCCGGCTAATTTTTTGTATTTTTAGTAGAGACGGGGTTTCACCGTGTTATCCAGGATGGTCTGGATCTCCTGACCTCGTGATCCGCCCGCCTCGGCCTCCCAAAGTGCTGGGATTACAGGCCTGAGCCACCACGCCCGGCCTTAACTATAGTCTTATCCAGAGCTCTTATCTGCTTGCTCAAGGGGCATGGTCTTGAATAATTTCTGGGGAAAAGGTTTCCTGTGGAATGACCCTCTTCACGTTAGAAACCTAGGAAATCAAATTATGTCCCCCCATTTCCAGTCCTGGAACAGGATATCCAGAACCTCTTCAGTGGCCACCACTAAAAAGTGTCCTTCCCATCCTGGAAAGCTCTGAGTCACATAAATTGCTCTGTCAAATGCCTGGCCCAGAGCTCTTTGGAAGAGCTTTCCCCATTCCAAAGCCCTGAAACCGAGGGTTGACCCTGGCCGGGACTCTGTGTAAAGTGCAAGATCTCAGCAGCAGAGGAGGGAAAAGAGCGGAGGCCCAGGTCTCTCACTGGTGCCGCCAGGAAGTAAACACTCCATGGTGTAATTTGTGTGAAGAGAAAATTATCTCTAATTGGAGGGCTGGAATAAAAATATCTCCCATCTGTAAACAAAGTAGTTGGAGCATCCTGGAGGCACAGAACTGGAGCACCAGAGTGCTGCAGGTACCCTGTGGGCCACCCCACCCAGATCGTCTCAGCCCCAACCCACAAGCAGCGGGCGCTCCGGGACCTCACCGGAAGCCAGTGAAGGCGGCATACCTGTCCCTGAGGCTCATCAGTGTCCTCAGCCCCGAGGCACAGTCCAGAAAACAGCTTCTCACCTTCTCCCCAGGCCAGGGCAAATATTCAACAAGTCAGGTGAAGAGGGTAAAAAAATGCTGGTCTGTTTTATGTCATCACAGGGATCCCTCCTGGAAGGTGACTGGGGACTGCTGTTTACTGGCTATCTCAGACATCTTTTCTCAGACACCTTTTCTTTGGTGTCTGCAGGGGCACCTGCTTCTCCACATCCTCAAAGAAAGAATTGAGGCAGACACCCTGACACAGGCAGAGTGGGTGATATTCTTCATGGGGCCTGAAGTGAGAAATTCCCAGGAACATCAGCCCTAGGGAAGCGATTCTGTGTCAAGGGCTTTCCTTGTGTTATTGTCCACTGTTGGTTGTCCTGTTGTGTTTTAAGGTGCACCAGTAAAGAGCCCTTGGCTGATAGAGATACCACCAGGATACTTTAACTCCTGCCCTAGCATAAGGGTGTGACTCTCTTTAACTCCTGGCATGTATGATATTTCTACTGAAAGACACACACACACACACACACACACACACACACACGAACACCTAGCCTTCTTTTGGTGAAATGCAAAAGGTTTATTAAATAGCTGCTTATGAAAGCCTCTCTCTAGGAAGCCACTTGACCAAAATCTGCCATTGGTATATAAACTTTTTCAGCAAAGGAGAGAAATGTGCAAATAGATCGAACTGCGGAAGAACTTTTCTTCTTTTGCAGACCACAAGCGGCATATGTTATTGGAGAAGATGGAAGTTTTGTCTGCTACTGTTTCCTTAGAGGGAGGTGGGAGAAGGTTTTCCTATTTAAATAAAATTAAAGAAATACTTTGAAGGAAAAAGCAGGGGATAAGAGTTGAGATAAAATGTGGGATAACATAGTTGAAAATATTGTGAGGAAGATGGGACTTAAAGAGAGGAGAGATGGAGAAACAGAAACATACCCAGGTCTTTGAAAAGCCCTGAAGAAGAATGCTTTAAAGAAGGACTCTGAGGTCAGAGACTTCCATTAGTCAAAGGATCCCACTTCTCTCATGCGATGCGGGTTGACTTCAGATGATTGTTCAGGGCTAGAATAGCATAGTAAAGGAACAGAAGTCATGGATCACATTCCTTTTTTTCTTTTTTTTGAGACATGAGGCATCGGTCAATACATGTAAGGTGTACATTGGTTCTGTCTAGAAAGGTGGGACAACTATAAGTGGGTGGGGTTGGGATTTCAGGTCATAGGCAGATTCAAAGATTATTCTGATAGAAAGGAAGGTCTGGTCTGGCTCTGGGGCAGTGGCTCGCTTCTGTAATCCCAGCACATTGGGAAGTTGAGGCGGGCAAATTACTTGAGCCCAGAAGTTCAAGATCAGCTTGGGCAACATGGTGAGATCCCATCTCTACCAAAAAAAAAAGTAGAAAAATTAGCCAGCTATGGTGGCGCACACCTGTGGTCCCAGCTGCTCAGGAGGCTGAGGTGGGAGGATTGCTTGAGCCTGGAGGTTGAGGCTCAAGCATGAGCCACGATTGTGTGCCACTGCACTCCAGCCTGAGTGACAGGGTAAGACCCTGTCAAACAAACAAACAAACAAAAACAAAAAACAAAACAAAAAAAAAGCAAGCAAGAAAGGAACGTCTGTGTTAGAATAACGGTTGTGGAGACCAAGTTTTTATCATGCAGATGAAGCCTCCAGGTAACAGGCTTCAGAGAGAGAGAGAGAGTCTGTTGTATCAGTCTTTTTTGTTTGTTTGTTTTTAGACGGAGTCTCATTGTGTTGCCCAGGTGGAGTGCAGTGGCACGATCTCAGCTCACTGCAACCTCCGCCTTCTGGGTTCCAGCGATTCTCCTGCCTCAGTCTCCCAAGTAGTTGGAACTACAGGCATGCATCATGATGCCTGGTTAATTTTTTGTATTTTTAGTAGAGACAGGGTTTCACCATGTTGGCCAGGCTGGTCTCAAACTCCTGAACTCAGGTGATTCGCCCACCTTGGCCTCCTAAAGGGCCTGGATTACAGGCCTGAACCACCGCACCTGGCCCTATCAGTCTTAAGATCTGTTTTAATGTTGATGCTGGTCAGTTGGCCTGAATTCCAAAAGGGTGGAGGGTATAATAAGGCATATCCAACTCCCCGATCATGGCTTAAACTAGTTTTTCAGGTTAACTTTGCAGTGCCTTTGGCTGAGAGGAGGGGTCATTTCAGATTGTTGAGGGGCTTAGCTTTTTTTTTTTTTTGAGACAGAGTCTCACTCTGTCACCCAGGCTGAAGTGCAGTGGCGCAATCTTGGCTCACTGCAACTTCCACCTCCCGGGTTCAAGTGATTCTCCTGCCTCAGCCTCCCGAGTAGCTGGGATTACAGGCGCCTGCCACCATGCCTGGCAAATTTTTGTATTTTTAGTAGAGACAGGGTTTCACCATGTTGGTCAGGCTGGTCTCAAACTCCTGACCTCATGGTCTTCCCTCCTTGGTCTGCCAAAGTGCTGAGATTATAGGCGTGAGCCACCACGCCTGGCCAGGGCTTAGCATTTTATTGTTGGTTTACATTCAGTTCCCCGAGCTCTTTTAAGAAGTGCATGTCTCCCTAGTAAGCCACACCTTAGAAATAAGCATATTCAGATGAGTAATGCTGTGATGGAGGCAGAGCCTCCTCAGCCCTGCTCACGGAATGCTTCCAGGACTTTGCTGCTGGCCTTATTGAGCTCTGATTCCCTTCTGCACAGGGTCAGAGCTCTCCAGGGAACAATGAAACCCTAAGGAAGAGCAGACCACTTCACAGCCACGTGTGTCCTACCCCACTCTGCTGCATCCCTAGTTAGACTTCCATTCCAGGAACTGTCTCAGCTGTTGGTAATGACATGCCGACTCCATCTGCAGAGGAAAATCAATGTCTTACAATGAAGCACCTGCCATCCACTCTCCTAGGAACCTCTGCCCCTTATAGAATATTCATGCAGCCCTTTTTTGTAATCTCGGTCTGAGTTTCAAAAGATTCCCTAGCAGGAAGACCATTTAACAGATAGACCATTTTACAACGCAAACACTGAAAATTCCGCAGGAGAAAAGAGGCACTGGTTTTTGAAAACCGTGCTCTGTCCACAGTCAGACACCATCTCACATTTCCAAGTAACCCAAACAGTTCCTTCAGTTAGGTAAATATGCCTGGCCATGTGACCAGGAGCTAAAGGGAATAATAGGGAAAACAGAGGGCAGAAAAAAATGTCAGTGGGCATAAGACGAATTTTCTTCTTTTTAATTTCTCGATTTTGTGCTTGATAAAGGGAAAGAGGCCACCATTATAAAACAACTTTTACACACTTTTACTTGTGATTTAGTGCATGGTGACCTGGAACATAAAGAAGATTTATGAAAGGAAAGACAGAATCATAGTAGGTAATTGAGTTATTTTTTAATTTTTATTCTGTCTTTATAAGATTTTTGAGAAGGTAATCAATTAACATAAAGATCTGAGCAGTTATAAAGATTTACAAAGAAGATTATACAGTGATGGAAACTGAAGCATATTCTTGGCAACAATCTCAATCTATTTCACGTTTCCCGGCTTTTACATATATAAATTTGGTATACATAATATGTAAATATACTTCTATTTTGCATGAAAACTAAAAATACTAAAAAAGTAGCATGAGTATATGAAAAAGTTAAACATTAAAAATATTAGTTGGAAACTGGCTTATTTTACTAACAATTATATTCAGAATTCTGTTGCTAGACTGCTGTTTCTGGGAACATTGGAGGTGTACTTTCTATACTTGCTAAAATACAAGCTTTTCAAGTATTTTCCATAGTATTAAGTGAGACTTTAAATACTCTTGCTTTTTTAGATCTAATTTCTGCTTTAATTTATCCTTCTCTTCATTTTTCCTGTTTGTCCTCATCTTACCTGTTCTTCCCTGGTTTTACTATCTCCCAGTATTCAGAAATCAGAGCAAATAATTAGTCTGCTTTTCTGCAGAATAAACTATTGGGTATGCCATCATGCTTTTGATCTACCACATAAACAAATTATTTTAGCAAGACATCACTTTTATATGCTGTATAATGTATGTATTGCTTATGTTTTAAGCAGATTTCAGCTCTTTTCCTTCCATCAATTTGGAATTGGGGGCCCAAAAGATGTGAAGGCGATAATGCTTCCAAGATAACTGGGCTGCATCCTTATTTGTAAAATAAGAAATACTTTATTTCCCAAATTTTAAAGGAGTGTTCCTTCTCCGACCTGTTGTGATGGATTTATTCTATAGCTATGGAAATATACCCTGCTTCACTCTTGTACATACTTCTTTACTCTCCTCCCGCCAAGTTCATTGAAAGAGAACCCATGTGCCGGTCCAGAGCATCGCTGCATCCGTAAGCAGCTAGACCTCAGCTTCCTCTGTCACCATGGTGCCGGCTCGGCTGGGCCCGGCGGTCGCCATGGTAACTGGGGCGGGTCGCAGGGTCCTGGCAGGCTGGGCGCATGCGCGCGGGGACTACAAGCCGCGCCGCGCTGCCGCTGGCCCCTCAGCAACCCTCGACATGGCGCTGAGGCGGCCACCGCGACTCCGGCTCTGCGCTCGGCTGCCTGACTTCTTCCTGCTGCTGCTTTTCAGGGGTGAGTTTGCGCGTTTCCGCTGTTGGGAGACTAGGGTCTGGGGGCGACGGAAGCAGAGCGGGCCGAAGCTGCTGGAGCCGGTCCGGGCGAGGATAGCGGTCCTGGCTCCGAGGGCTCCCGGGGTCCCGGGCCGGAGGGGCGGCGCGCGCCCGCGTCCCCGCAGCCAGGGCTGGGACTCGGGCCTGGCTAGGGCGGGGGCCCTGGGACGCCCGGCAGTTGGACCGGGGCGGGGAGCTAATTTGGGATGGGGGGCCCGTCCCAGGCAGTGAGTCGGTCCCGGACAGCCGTCGGACCCCGGGGGCGGGCTCTTCTCGGGCGGGGTCCTGTGCTGGGCGGTGGGCTCATCCCCCGGGTGGGCTCCTCCCAGGCGGGGTCCTGTGCTGGGCGGTGGGCTCATCCCCCGGGTGGGCTCCTCCCAGGCGGGGTCCTGTGCTGGGCGGTGGGCTCGTCCCCGGGGTGGACCCCTCCCGGGCGGTGGGCACGGCCCTCTGGAGGGAGCGCGGCAGCTGCGGCGTGGGCGCTGGAACTTGCTGGAAGACCCTGCGCAGCAGTGCTGTGCTCTCCAGAAGGGACGGTGAGCGGGGGACGTAGCTGAGGACCGGCGAGGCAGAGCTCCGAGGCCTGGCGGGCTGCTTGGTCACAGCCCTCTGGGGATCTGCAGTTCATTTGACTCGACACAAAGGAACTGCTTTTCTTTTACAGAAATAAAATGGATATCAATCCAGTACCTTTTTTGTCTCTGGCCTGGCCGAGGAGACCACGCAGACTCTTATCCGGAAATAGCATTCGGGGCATTTGATCAAGACACACTAATAAACTTGATAGTTTTGTGCATTTTCTTTCCCTCTGTTTGGAATTCTCATTAGATCCACATTTTCCTGGACAGTTGTACAGAGGACTAAAATAGCTTTCCTTTAGTGAGCTTGTACTGTCTACTAGGCACTTTGGAGCCATTATCTCGTTTACTCCTTTCAGCAGCTCTGTGAGATAGGTTTCATTAATCCATTTTCAGAGTCAAGTCTAGTCTGCTTTCCAAGGCTGCATTCTAAGTAGTGAAGCCTCAACTTCATATTTACCTAAAGCAGGACACCACACTCTTCCCCTGGCAGCCATCCGCAGGTAACCAGACCAGGACCTTTTTCGGTTCTTAGATTATTTTATTGTTTGAATTGCCACTGTCATCCCATGATGTTTTCCAGAATATACAAATTAAAACACGGAGGGACTGTTTAGGAGTGAAGGTGGACAGATTTTGGAAAACAAAGCATTCCTGTGTTTGGTGCTTTATGCTAATGGGATGCTCGTGATGGGCTGTGACAAAAGATGAGTTTTAGCGTATAGATTATGTACGCTAAGGCAAAGTCTGTATACTTTGCCTGAAAGTGATTCCCAAAACCAAATGCTGTTGGGAGATAAGTGATCAAAGGCTAGCCAGGGGACAAGGGTGTCAGGAATGTCCAGCACCCGCTGTGTTGGTCACACTGACACTGTCCTATTCACAGCCTGGAACAACTCTCTATTGTTGAAAAGATCTGTTCACGTGAAAGTTTGCAGTTTTTGTTGCAGAAGCATTTGGCAGTTTAGCTCAGGAATGAATTTCAACTTGGTAGTTTGTTAATAAAACTAGAAAATGCAAAGAGCTTCACTTACCCTTAACCTCTGATTTCCTTCCCCTAAGGGACTAGTTTTGTGGCTTTTTTGCTGGTAGGGGCTGGGATTCACATGCAGAGCGTAGGAGGAAGAATCAAATTTTGCAAACTAGTTCTAATGACAAATAATCGAGGTAGTAGGATGTATGAATCCACTTTGAAGGCGTGTAGCTATCTTTTTTTTAGTAGGGGCTCTTTTTCCATTATTTGGTTTATGCTTTAAGCTACCCTAAAACTGTTCTTCCAGAAGTCATGACTACTGTGTCCTTTTTATTTTTTATGATTATTCTCAATTGCTATTACTATTTATTTTCATCTTAAAAATTTTGGTTCTTGATATAACAGCAAACATTTCTTTTGTGGTTACCCTTTGCCAGGCTCTGTTACAAGAATTTAATGTTTGCTAATTTATTTAATCTTGATAACTCTAAGAAGTCGTTACTATTGTTGTGCCCTTTTGTGGATGAGGGAACAGAAGTATGGAGAGATTCAGACCCTTGTCGGGAGTGTTATCCTGTGCGTTTTAAATGGGAAATCCTTCATTATTTGTGTTAATCCAATTTTTAGTTATTTGTATTATTCCATTTGACGGTGGAGTTCTTTTAATGGATCAGTTTAAACAGATTATCAAGTTTTCAACACTATGTGGTTTGTATATAAAATATTCTTTTGTTGACTCATGACAGGTGCAGTTCAGCTTTACAAATGTTATGCCACATGGCTTTTTTGAATGATTGTGTACTCATTAGTGTTAGGTTTCCAAATCTTTGATATTCTAGAGAGAAGTGCCTTATTTAGAATTAAAACAGCAACAGTTTTCATTCTTCAGATAAGACAACTTGTGTGCTGAAGCATATCAAAATCTGAAAATCAAAATTTCTGGGAAATTTTTGAAAAAATGTTTAATTCTTTTATTTGCATCTGTTTGGACTCCAGTAACGTTTTTTAGAATGGCATATTCTTTTATGTTCTAATTCTTAATTATCTGGCAGATATAATCATTGTCAGACTTGTGTGTATGTTTTAAAAAAAACAAAGAACACCTGTCTTGAAAGCATGCAGTACTTTATATCAGCTGCTCATTCCCACATGACTTGTTGATGGGCATTTGTTCTTCAGTGCTTCAGGCTAAGGAGACTGAATGGATAAGTACTAGAGATACTTAATCATAAGTAATTGCAGTATTACATTCAGGCAGAATTATCCACACAACCCCTAAGCTCCATGGAACTTGTTCTTAAACTCCATGGGGTGGGTTTAAATCAGTTCTTTTGAAAGCAACCAGACTTTCCTCAAGTATAAGATGGCCACATAATGTAACAGACGCAGCTATGGATTTAGTACATTCGACTAGCAGCTGTTAGAGATGTGGTATTAGCAAATTCCTTCTCCATAAATTCTTTGAATTTTTTAAAAGCACAAATGTAGTAAAAGAAAGGAAAATATGTGTGAATGAAGTTAGGATGTATGGAGTCTGCTGAAGAATACCCTAGTGGTGAAGTTGGATTTTTTTTTTTTTTTGAGACTGAGTTTCTGATGCAGTGGCATGAGCTCAGCTCACTGCAAAACTCACTGCAAAACTCCGCCTCCCAGGTTAAAGCCATTCTCCTGCCTCAGCCTCCCGAGTAGCTGAGATTACAGATGCGTGCCACCTTGCCTGACTAATTTTTTTATTGTTTTTAGTAGACATGGGGTTTCACCATGTTGGCCAGGCTGGTCTTGAACTCCTGACCTCAAGTGACCTGCCCGCCTTGGCCTACCAAAGTGCTGAGATTACAGGCGTGAGCCACCACGCCCAGCTGGATTCTCTTTTAAGATATGTTTATAGTTGGCCGGGTACAGTGGCTCACGCCAGCACTTTGGGAAGCCGAGGTGGGCGGATCACAAGATCAGGAGATCAAGAACATCTTGGCCAACATGATGAAGCCCTGTCTCTACTAAAAATACAAAAATTAGCCGGGCGTGCTGGTGCTTGCCTGTAGTCCCAGCTACTCTGGAGGCTGAGGCAGGAGAATCGCTTGAACCCGGGAGGTGGAGGTTGCAGTGAGCTGAGATTGCGCCACTGCACTCTTGCCTGGGGTACAAGAGTGAAACTCCGTCTTGGGGGAAAAAAAAAGATGTTTATAGTCAGGTGGTGTGAATGTTATGCTGTCAAAGTTGAATGCAAATTTCAGATCTTTGCATGTACTCTCAGAATTCTAGCAGTATATGCAAATAGCTTCACTGGAGTGTAAAGCGATCCCGAAAGAAAGTTTTGGTAAGCACATTCTTTTACACCTAGTTTAGCAAGGACAGTATCCACTGTGGTACTCTATATGGAGAGCTAAAGCCTTAATTGACTGTCTCTCTGCTTCTTGGCATGGCACACAGAAAGCTTCCTGAGAGTTAGCCCTTGTTTCTGATGTCCCAGGAATGCTGTAGTGTTTTGTGTTGGTGTGTTTCTTTTGGTTTTAAGTAGTATTTGTTATGTGTTATATATTACATTTCCCATGAGTAGTTAATACATACAGCAGAGGTTTCAGTGCTGCTTGTATAAAGACATCAAACTATTTAATAGAGTTAGGACTATATGAACATTTTTTCTTACATTATCTTTCATTTGCAGTTTCCCAAGGTTTCTATGGTTCAGCCTTCTTCCTGAAAATTATTGCCAAAATCAAATTCTGCCATAGTCATGCTATCTGCTATGTTTGACAACCTCAGCCCACAGTGATCCTTCCTATCTCTAAATAAGCTTAGATCATAGTCTCTAGTTCAGTTTAGTACAACACCCATTTATTGAGTATCTATGACGTGTCAGGCACTGTTCTGTGTGCTAGGGTTGCAAAATGGGTAAAACATCGCCAGTCCTTAAAGAGCCAGGGTAATTGACTCCGATTTACATTGGGCTTTAGTTGTTAGGTGTCAGTGCATTGTATTTTCTCAATGATAATAAACATTTTGTTGGTAACAGAGGCTGAATTTAATTTTTTTGTATCTTTCCAGAGGTGATTCTAGTAAATATTCAGTTTATCTCACTTTGTCACTTGAAAGTGAGTTAACATTTCTTAAACACTCTCTTTGTGTCGAGGCATTTTTAAAAAAATGTCTTATTTCTAGTGGCCCTAGGAACTTCTGGAAAAGTGTCAGTTTGTACTACAGTAGTTATTCTGGAAGAAAGAGAATGGTAATAATTTATTGACTTGGTTTAATTTCAGAATCTTTCTGCCATCTGCTTTTGTGCAGTTACAAGGTTAAGAAGGAGAAAAAGATGGAGAAATGCTTATGATATCATTTAAGTGACACAAGCTGCAGGTATACTAGTATATACTGTATGATTACGATTACACAAAACATCTATGCTTAGGGGAAAAAACAGGATGAGAATGAACCAGACTGTTGATAGGGGCTGTTTATGAGTGGAAGTGTTACAGCAAATTGTTTTCTGCTTTTCTTTGTTTTTGTTTTCCTGGTTGATTCTTGTATTCCTTTGTCTGTTTTCCAAATGTTCTTTGATGAGGATATTTTTTGTGTAATGAAAAAAGTTGCATCTTGGTTTGGCTTCCAGTAGATACAATAGTGGAATTTTAAATTTGGCACTAGTAATGGGAAAATATAATTTGTTTGTTTAATGTGATAGCATGTGGATTGTGCCTTTTTCTAGCTTCTTAATATCAGCCACATTGGATGAAGGAGTGGCTGACTGGAAGTTCAGTTGCTTGATAATGTATTGTTTGTGACTCATTTGAGAGATTAGTTGCCACTGACTTTTGGGTGGGGGAGTCAGCTGTGGTGTCCTCAGCAAATGGTTAGCTGGAAAACTGAGAGCTGCCGAGATTACCGGCCTCCCCCCTTCTTTTTGAACACACTGACAAAACGATCTGAGTAATGGCCTTTGTTCACCTGTTCAAAGCGAGCCAAAATTTATTGAGCACCTACTCTGTGGCAGCCCCTGGAAGATCTCTGTTTTCTTCCTCTTGAGTGATAAAAATACAGGGTGAAATTGACTTCTGTTGAAACTAGACTCTGAAAGATGTTTCCCGAAGCACTCTGTCAGCTGATGTGCCCCATCACTTCTTCCTGCCCAACATGGACTTCCCTGTTGGATGTCTTTCTCTAAGGAAAATATTTAATGTCTTTAGAATGAAGTGCAGCTGCCTGGAAGCTTAGAGACAATGCAACAAATCCAAAGACAGCTGCTTTTTTTTTTTTTTTTTTTGGCAGGGGTGGGGCATGTTTTTCCTTTAAAGCATCTCTGTCAGGGTACTGAAACTTAATCAGCCAATCCATATTTATTTGGTAGTCTCCATTTTCATGGCAGTAAAGCATTCCATGGGCAAAGCAGGAGAACTTAAGATAATGTCTTCCCTTTACCAGAGGGAACATATAGTTTAGTCAAATAACAGAGCAGCATTTGGGTAAATATTCTGTGGGTTTAGAAGTGAGAGCACTTACTCTCTCTGGGCTGACCTGGTAGAGGAGAATTTCAAAAAGGAGCTGGACTTGTACAGATAATTGACTGACTTAAGTATAGATTTGGGAGGGACAGCGGTGTGGATGGGAAAGTGGAGGAAATAATGTGGGCAAAGGCATGGACTTGGGAATGCACATGTTTTGTTTTGGGATGAGTGAGTTATAATGATTAATAACACCTGCCAATTACTGAAAACTATGTGATAAGCATTGTGCTTATTGCTCTATCTGGGGTCTTAGTGAGCTTGGGCTTCTATGACAGAATACCACAAACAGGGTGGCATAAATAAGACATTTGTTTCACGGGCTCTGGAGCCTCACCTGGGTAATTTTTTGAACATTTTTTTGTAGAAACAAGGTCTTACTATGTTCCCCAGTCTGATCTTGAACTCCTGAGTTTAAGGGATCCTACTGCCTTAGCCTCCCAAAGTGCTGAGATTATGGGCATACACCACCATGCCCTCCCTGAATTTCTTTTCAGTTATTCTACTTGTTATATGTTGTGGTTTGTATACCTGTGAGTTTCTTTCTTTCTTGAGAATTCTCAGTTCTTATCCATTCAAATATCACCTAGCTTGTACCTGCTTAACTTTTTCTTTCTGTGACTGCAATTAAACATGTTTAGTCATTCTGTCCTTCAATACTGTTAACCTCCTTTGTCATTTTTTCATGTTCTTGTCTCTCTGTGCTATTCTGGGTTCTTTATTCATTTTTGTTTTACAGCTAACTTTTTCTGCTTCCAGCTGTATCTAACTTATTATTGATAACCAATCAATACACAGTTTTTCCACCAATTATATTATTCATTTCTAAAATTTTCTTGGTTCTTTTTATAATCAAGTTGTTTTTTGCTTGCTTAATTTTTTTACTCCTTTTCTTTTCTTTTCTTTCTTTTTTTTTTTTTTTTTTTTGAGATGGAGTTTTGCTGTTGTTGCCCAGGCTGGAGTACAATGGTGCAATCTCGGCTCACCGCAACTGCCACCTCCCGGGGTCAAGCAATTCTCCTGCCTCAGCCTCTGGAGTAGCTGGGATTACAGGCGGCCGCCACCACGCCTGGCTAATTTTTGTATTTTTAGTAGAGATGGGGTTTCTCCATGTTGATCAGGCTGGTCTCGAATTCCCGACCTCAGGTGATCCGCCTGCCTCGGCCTCCCAAAGTGCTGGATCACAGGTGTGAGCCACCGCACCTGGCTTACTCCTTTTCAAATTTTTAAAACATTGTGTGCACAGCTGTTTTGTATTCCATATGTGATATTTCAAATATCTGAAGTTCTTAGAGATCTAAATCTGTTGTTATTTCTTATGACTTGTACATATGGTGGTTTCTTTGCTTGTATTATAAATGGATATTTGATTGATATTAATCTGTGAAAATCTAGGCCTAACCTAAGGATACTTTCTCTTTTTTCTATTGGTGTGCACCACCACACTGGGGGAAGTATTTTTTATTTTATTTAATTTTTTTAGAGACGAGGTCTCACTATATTGCCCACACTGAACTCCTGGTCTCAGGTGGTCCTTCGACCTCAGCCTCCCAAATAGCTTTCTTTGCAATCTCACTAACATCTATTGCTTTTTTTTTTTTTTTTTTTTGAGATGGAGTCTTGCTCTGTTTCCAGGCTGGAGTGCAGTGGTGCGATCTCGGCTCACTGCAACCTCTGCCTCTTGGGTTCAAGCGATTCTTCTACCTCAGCCTCCCAAGTAACTGGGATTACAGGCTCCTGCCATCATGCCTGACTAATTTTTGTATTTTTAGTAGAGACAGGGTTTTGCCATGTTGGCCAGGCTGGTCTCGAACTCCTGACCTTAGGTGATCTGCCCACCTTGGCCTCCTAAAGTGCTGGGATTACATGCATGAGGCACTGCACCCGGCCTGTTTTTTGATTATTTAATAGCCATTCTGACTGGTGTGAGATGGCATTTCGTTGTGGTTTGGATTTGCATCTCTCTGATGATGAGCGATGTTGAGCATTTTTTTGTATGTGTGTTGGCCACATACATGTCTTTTGAGAAGTATCTGTTTATGTCTTGCCCACTTTTTAATGGGATTATTTTTTTCTTAAGTTCCTTATAGATTCTGGATATTAGTGTGTCAAGGATGCCTTTTTTTTTTTTTTCTTGAGACAGAGTTTCGCTTTTGTTGCCCAGGCTGGAGTGCAATGGCGTGATCTCGGCTCACTGCAACCTCCGCCTCCTGGGTTCAAGTGATTCTCCTGCTTCAGCCTCCCGAGTAGCTGGGGTTACAGGATCCTGCCACCATGCCTAGCTAATTTTTGTATTTTTAGTAGAGACAGGGTTTCTCCATGTTGGCCAAGCTGGTCTCGAACTCTGGACCTCAGGTGATCCACTCGCCTCAGCCTCCTAAAGTGCAAGCCACCGTGGCTGGCGCCTTTTTTTTTTTTTTTTTTTTTTTGAAACGGAGTTTTGCTCTTTCGCCCATGCTGGAATGCAGTGGAAATCTCGGCTCGGAAATCACTGCAACCTCAAGTGATTCTCCTGCCTCAGCCTCCTGAGTAGCTGGGATTACAGGTGCCCGCCACCATGCCACGCCTGGCTAATTTTTGTATTTTTAGTAGAGACAGTGTTTCACCATGTTGGCCAGGCTGGTCTTGAACTCCTGACCACAGGTGATCCGCCCGCCTCGGCTTCCCAAAGTGCTGAGATTACAGGCGTGAGGCACCGCGCCCGGCCAAGGATGCTTTTTCTTGAGAGTGCAGCCTTCCACTGAGTGACAGTGCCTGTCTCTGGGGTGACTAGCTGTTTCAGGATCCCTGGCATTACTTAAAAATCTCAGGCTCTGCTTTCCTCTTGCCTACCTTTCTGCTGGTCCAAGGGCTCAGTGTCCCCACTGGAGTGTTTTTTTATTTGTTTGTTTTTAAGCTGGAGTCTCGCTCTGTTGCCCAGGCTGGAGGGCAGTGGCATGATCTCGGCCCACTGCAACCACCACCTTCCAAGTTCAAGCGATTCTCCCGCCTCAGCCTCCTGAGTAGCTGGGATTACAGGCATGTGCCACCACACCCGGCTAATTTTTGTATTTTTAGTAGAGACGGGGTATCGCCATGTTGGCCAGGCTAGTCTCAAACTCCTGACCTCAGGTGATCCACCTGCCTTGATCTCCCAAAATGCTGGGATTACAGGTGTGAGCCACCGCACCTGGCCCACTGAAGTGTTAAAATGACCCTTTGCTCTCAGTTTAACACTCCTACCCATCTTTCTGCTCTCTGGTTTTAGCCTACAGCTATATTGGTTTGTCCTTTTAAAGATTTCCCCGACTTCCTTGTGAGACATGGAATAAAAACTATGACTTATGTGAGATCTCGTTGTTGGAGCAGAAGGGCCCTCCAGGGCATCTAATCAGCTACACTTGTGAAAACAGGAATTGGAGCTTTACTTCACCTGTTTCCCCTCTCTTAATGGAAGAGTCACACACCCTTCTTTAAGTGTTCTTGTTATTAGGGTAATGTTTTTGTTTTCCTTTTTTAAATACAAAATTATGGGCCGAGCACAGTGGCTCACGCCTGTAATCCCAGCACTTTGGGAGGCCAAGGCAGGTGGATCACCTGAGGTCGGGAGTTCGAGACCAGCCTGACCAACATGGAGAAACCCTGTCTCTACTAAAAATAAAAAAATTAGCCTGGTATGGTGACATGCGCCTGTAATCCCAGCTGCTTGGGAGGCTGAGGCAGGAGAATTGCTTGAACCTGGGAGGTGGAGGTTGTGGTGAGCCAAGATCACGCCATTGTACTCCAGCCTGGGCAGTAAGAGCGAAACTCTGTTACAAAACAAAACAGAATTATGAACTTAAATATTTGCTTTTTTTTTCATCGCATACACCCCCAGGAAGTTCTGATATTCTTGAGGGTTGGGGTTGTATGCCTCTCCCTAAGAATCACTGCTTTAAGGATGGCGCTCTGTTATTTAAAAAATATACCAAACCCTACAACTATAATCTCTGTCCTTGAATTAGTTTGTCTGAAAAGCAAACATCTATCATTAACTTAAACTTTGGAGAATTATAGCTATTCCACACTAGACAGCCACCTGAAACAGCACCTACTTAGTCTACTAGTAACAGCTATAGATGAAGACATTCAGGGACAAAATACAAAGGTAACTTTACCGAGCTTTCCAGCTGAAATCTGGATTCCGTTCTCCACAGGATGAAGTGCTGGTTTACTGAAAGGTGCCGTCTGATGTAATGTGTGGACAAAAACCACCCACTGCATCTCTGGAAGGCTCCGTTGTTTGCAGCCTTTCAGATAGTTTTCTGGGTGAAAAAAAAAAGCACTGTATCGTGGGTGTTAGGCATTTTGGATTCATTTCCTAGCTTTGCATGTGATTCATTTTTTAGACCTTGGGGAAATAATATTGGTTGTAATCCAAATCACTTGAAAGTAATTTAAACCCCACCTCTCTCACACTACCACCAAAACATCCACATTTCTTTCCCTTTCTTATTATATAACCCACCTTAGATATATGAGTTTTAGATCCAAAGGAGTGACTTTGTAGGCATATAATTTGTAACTGATTAATTGAATTAGTTCATATTTGTTAATTATAATTGCATTTGAAGGTTTTGAAAATGTAGTCAACAGAAATATCTTCCTCTTCTGAAAATTTAGGTGTGTTTTGTAGCCAGGTAAACTTGGTTTGAAGCCTTCCTCTATCGAGAGAGGTTGGAAAAATTTATTCAGAACCCTCGTTTTTGTTTGTTTGTTTTGTTTTGTTCTTTTTTTTGTTTTTTAAATCTACAGCTTTACTTACTAGATCTAGTGTTTTAAGAATTCCTGTGTTTGTTTACCATGAAGAAAAAATGAATAACCAATTGGTTGGGTTGTTATTTTTAATTCAATCTGATTTCTAAGCATCAGATATGAAGTTTTCACTCTGACCATACTTGGTCTAGCTGATAAGTCCACTGGTGATAAAGAATGAGCTTAGAACCTTTGCTGTGAATCACTAAAGCAGTAGCTGAGTAAAGAAAAATTCTCAATCTTTTATTTGCCAGACACTGTTTTAGACCTTGGGGTAACGTCAGTGAAATAGCTTAGGTTTTGACTACTTCATAGGAAAAGATGAAATCTATGGACTCCTCCAAAAAGTGCTTTTATGCATGATATGGTTTGGCTCTGTGTCCCCACCCAAATCTTGTAGCTCCCATAATTTCCTCATGTTGTGGGAGGGACCCAGTGGGAGATAATTGAATCATGGGGTGGGTCTTTCCCATGCTGTTCTTGTGATCGTTAGTAAGTCTCTTGAGATCTGATCGGTTTAAAAAGGGGAGTTTTCCTGCACAAGCTCTCTTCTCTTGTCTGTCGCCATATGAGACATGCCTTTTACCTTCTGCCGTGATTGTGAGGCCTCCCCAACCACGTGGAACTGTTTAAGTCTAATAAACCTCTTTCTTTTGTAAATTGCCCAGTCTCGGGTATGTCTTTATCAGCAGCATGAAAATAGATTAAAAGAGTAAACTGGTACCAGTAGAGTGGGGCGCTACTGAAAATACCTGAAAATGTGGAAGAGACTTTGGAACTGGGTAATAGGCAGAGGTTGGAACAGTTTGGAGGGCTCAGAAGAAGACAAGAAAATGTGGGAAAGTTTGGAACTCGGTAGAGACTTGTTGAATGGTTTTTACCAAAATGCTGATATTGATATGGATAATGAAGTCCAGGCTGGGGTGGTCTCAGATGGAGATTAGGAACTTGTTGGGAACTGGAGTAAAGGTGACTCTTGGTATATTTTAGCTAAGAGTCTGGTGGCATTTTGCCCCTGCCCTAGAGATTTGTGCAACTTTGAACTTGAGAGAGGTGATTTAGGGTATCTAGCGGAAGAAATTTCTAAGCAGGAAAACATTCAAGAGTTGACTTGGGTGCTGTTAAAGGCATTCAGTTTTATAAGAGAAGCAGAGCATAAAAGTTCAGAAAATTTGCAGCTGGACAATGTGATATTAAAGAAAATCTTGTTTTCCGAAGAGAAATTCAAGCTGGCTGCAGAAATTTGCATAAGTAACAAGGAGCCAAATGTTAATCCCCAAGACAATGGGGAAAATGTCTTCAGGGCATGTCAGAGGTCTTCACAGCCACCCCTCCCATCACAGGCCTGGAGGCCTAGGAGGAAAAAGTGGTTTCATGGGCCGGGCCCAGGGTCCCTGTGCTGTATGCTGCCTATAGACTTGGTGCCCTGCCTTCCAGCCACTCTAGCCATGGCTGAAAGGGGCCAGCATAGAGCTGAGGCCATGGCTTCAGAGGGTGCAAGCCCCAAGCCTTGCAGCTTCCACGTGGTGTTGAGCCTGCGAGTGCACAGAAGGTCAAGAATTGAGGTTTGGGAACCTTCACCTAGATTTCAGAGGATGTATGAAAATGCCTGGATGTCCAGGCAGAAGTTTGCTGCAGGGGTGGGGCTCTCATAGAGATCATCTGCTAGGGCAGTGCAGAAGGGAAATGTGGGGTCAGATCCCCTACACAGAGTCCCTACTGGGGTACTGCCTAGTGGAGCTGTGAGAAGAGGGCCACCATCCTCCAGACCCCAGAATGATAGATCCACTGACAGCTTGCACTGTGCACCTGGAAAAGCCACAGACACTGAACACCAGCCCGTGAGAGCAGCGGGGAGCAAGGCTGTATCCTGCAAAAACCACAGGTGGGTAGCTGCCCAAGACCATGGGAACCCACCTCTTTTATCAGTGTGACCTGGATATGAGACTTGGAGTCAAAGGAGATCATTTTGGAGCTTTAAGATTTGACTGCCTTGTTGGATTTCAGACTTGCATGGGGCCTATCGCCCCTTTGTCTTGGCCAATTTCTCCCAATCATTTTGGAGCTTTAAGACTTGACTGCCTTGTTGGATTTCGGACTTGCATGGGGCCTATAGCCCCTTTGTCTTGGCCAATTTCTCCCATTTGGAATGGCTTTATTTACCTAATGCCTATACCACATTGTATCTGGGAAGTAACTAACTTGCTTTTGATTTTACAGGTTCATAGGCAGAAGGGACTTGCTTTGTCTCAGATGAGACTTTGGACTGTGGACTTTTGAGTTAATGCTGAAATGAGCTAAACTTTTGGGGGACTGTTGGGAAGGTATGATTGGTTTTGAAATGTGAGGACATGAGATTTGGGAGGGGCCAGGGGTGGAATGATATGGTTTGGCTCTGTGTTCCCACCCAAATCTCATCTTGTAGCTCCCATAATTTCCTTGTAATGTGGGGGGGAACCGATGGGAGATAATGGAATCATGGGGTGGGTCTTTCTTGTGCTGTTCTCATGATAGTGAATCAGTTTTATGAGATCTGATGGTTTCAAAAAGGGAAGTTTCCCTATACAAGCTCTTCTCTTGTCTGCCGCCGTGTGAGATATGCCTTTCACCTTCTGCCATGGTTATGAGGCCTTCCTAGCCATGTGGAACTGTAACTATGATAAACCTATTTCTTTTGCAAATTGCCCAGTCTCGGGTATGTCTTTATCAGCAGCACGAAAATGGACTAATACAATGCATATACATGAAAAGTTTTATATACTATTTTGGGGGATTTATAACCCCCCCAGAAGACCATTTATGCACCACCTCAGGTTGAGAAGCCTGCTTTAGGGCCAGGATCCCTATAGAGGACACATATTTTTAGAGTGTCTGCTGAAATAGATGCTAACTGCATGTAAACTTCAAGAGTGGTATGCAAAAGCATTATGTTATTCTCTTATTTATTCTTTTCATGAAGTCTCTTGAAGCCTGACTTTTCTATTTTATGGATGATGACTATTAGTGTCAAACATCTGGTCATTTTCTATGTATATTTCCAGCTTAAGTTACTCTCTAGAGGTAGGTCAGAGATGAGACTTTGATTTAAATTGAAAACAGATTATGCATGTAATTTTAGAGATGCTTACTTCTGTGATTTTCACAGTGTTTCATCCTGTTAGTACAGCTTGTGCAGACTTAAGGCATATGAAAAATAGGACAAAATGCTGAGATGAATTGGGTGGAATTCCTCTGTCATCTACCTCCGGTGTCCATTTACAGCAGATCGCTCCCTCCCTTTCCCTATTTCTCCCTCACTCTTTCTCTCTCCAACACAGGCAATAGTGGTGAGAGAAGGTTTTTATAACATTGGATGAGGGATTTGGACTTTATGGAAGCCAGAACAAATATTTTCTCCTTTACTACCCTGGGGCTAGTATCCCACATGCTGTTTGCAAATTGCAAAAAACATTCCTTCAAGTGAGTTTGGAGTCAGGTAACTTTTTGAGGAGGAGTGTTTTTGTTTTGCTCTCTCCTGAACTCACAGATTTTACTCTGTGTGCGTTTCTTGTCAAGTACATTTCCTACATGCAGAGTAAGTAAAATCTGTTAAAACTTTGGTTGTCATTATTCTAATGTGTGAACAGCATCTTTTAGCTCACATTAAAAAAAAACACCAAAAAACCTCTTCTAATGAAACCTTGAGGAAGAAAATTAGCTGGAGTTTAGAGGCTCTGATTTTAAGCCTCCATGATGGGTCCTTTTCTATACCTCCTCTGTAGTGGAGTAAGGATGTGACATGCTTGGGGTAAAACCTCAGTGTCCAGTGGAAATCACCTTACCATCATGGCAGAAATCGCTGGATTTGGCTTTCCAGGTGACAGAAATGGGGCACTTCTTTGCATGTTCTTTGCATCTGCCCTTTCATAGAGAATTGGGGAGATGGAATTGGACTCTAAAGAAATATTACCTTTTTTTCTCTTTTTTCTATGTAAAAGAAAGCTTATGGCTACATAATAAGGAGAAAATTGGTCATAAGACTTTAATTCATTTTTCTACTGGGGGATCACAGGATTTGTAGCATGGTCTTTGGCTCTGTAGAATTATTCTGTCACTGTATTCTGAGTAACCCTGAGCATTGCCATTTTTCTTCTTTTGTTATCATGGCCTGTCTACCTCAAATGCAGGTCATGATCTTGTCTTTCTGTTCATCTCTTAACTCATTCCCCAACATCCAGCTTCATATACCTATCTGTAAAGCCTTTTTAATGGATCTCTTCACTGAGGTGATCTCTTCCTCTTCTGAATTCCTATCATGAAGGAGCATAGCTAGACCGAGGTTTGAATCTCATCTCCGCTATGTGATTGTTGAAGTCAATTTCCTTATCTATAAAAGAGTAGTAATAGCGTAAAGTAGCTTTGTGGGGTTGTTTTACAAAATACTGACTATATATAAAGCTCCTATCAAAGCATCTAAAAGTAACAAAAATAACACAAATTAAAATTAATACAGTCAAATTAATTAATTCATGTGAAGTGCTTAGCAGAGTACCTGTCATAGTAGTAAGCTCTCAGTGTTAGGTTTTGTTTTTCATCAATAAGTGGGAGAGATTTGCTGTTACTAACTGTGCTTGTTCCTGCCAGTACTTCCATTACTACTATGTTGCAGTTCATTTGCTTCTTAATTATTCAGAGGCAGATTTAAAGGGAAGCTCATCTAACCAGTTTTAGAGCCCCTCGCTTACAAAGGAACCACTTACAAGGCCCTGGATTTCACCTAGCAGTGTGTCCTCAAATTTTCAAAATAAGATGCTTTAGCTACGGTCAGTTAAGATGGTTCTCTTCTTCCACTCTTCTTCCCTCTGTCATACTTCTCTTTATGTTGGGTACTACTAAATTGCCACTGGCATTTTTCCCAGCCAAGGGAACTTGAATTGGGTACATATTCAGTTTGGGTTAGTGGGATCACTTAGGTGGTCCACAGCCACTGTTGTGGGTAGTTGTTCTTGCTGGGCATCTCAGTATTGGAATGGCTGCCAGGAATACTCTGCCATCTTATTTGACTCACCTAGGTTTGTAACACGAATTTGTAGGGCCTACCGTGAATGCTAGTGTAAGCCCCTGTAATGCCATGGCAGTGTGGATGTGGTTGAAAAACCAGGTTATGAGTTTTCTCATGTCAAAGGGTATTTAGGATTAGTCAAACTACAAGAAAACTTGAAATGCCCCCAGATTTAACAGTGGTCCTTAAAACTCTGCATGATTTGCAATAATGAATTATGAAGTAGAAAGAAACCATTCCAAACTATTAATATTAAATTTTAAAATTAACCATGCTAAAGGGAAGTCTTAACTATTATTTCCTAGGCAGATTACAAAATCATGGGCATATGATGAGGTGATCAAAGATCCTAAATATGTAGCAAAGATTATAGAGACTAAGGAATTAATAAACATATTGTTATTTTTCTAAATTTTGTTTTGTGTTGCCAGCTTTTAAAATTTGTAATATTTTTGTGATTTCTGTTCTCATTCTTAACAAACATTCTTTGTACCTAATTTCATATTCATAACTTTATGTTTGTTTTCCTACTGGGGGCTCCACTATGACTACCCCAGTCATAGTCTTCCTTGAATCATATCATTTGTTGTTGTATTGACCTACTAATTTAAATCTTTAATGGCAATATGCACTTCCTCTGTGTGTATCTTGGCTCTAAGTAGTCTGCGACTTGAGGACGGGAAGCTTGTCTTCTGTGTAGCGTAATATTTGGAACATCATATACATACAAATATTCATTGATAAGAGAACATCACAGTGTAAGGAGGTGAGTTTCTATTCTTTAGTTGTGGGTTTGGGAGTGGGGCAGGTACTTCACTAGCTATTTTGGAAGGGGCTGACAAGTGTTTCTGTTCAAACGTATTATCGCCTTAACAGATGAGAAGCCATGGATGAGTTTGTATGTTTCTTTATCTTTATTTTAAAATAATTTGGAGTTAGAAGACCTGGGTTCTGCTTTGATTGCTGATACTTTGTAGTTTTGAGGTTGTAATAATCTCCTCACATATTTGAGCCCTATCGTATTAATCTGTAGAGAGGTGATTGTAATTCCCACTTTACAGAATCATTACAAGGACCAAGTAAGATTGTGTGTGTAAACAGAATTTTAAGTTATAAAATATTGTGCAAATATAAAATGTTATTCTCTGCTTTGCTTTATTCCTTCTGAGTTCTGAAGTATCATGAGTCCTCTGGTTCTTCAAAACTATAGGTTACAATTCTAATTTACAATAACCTTCTCTTAAAAAAGCTCCCTTTATGGCTTAGTTAGATGAGATAGCAAGTTTTAAAATCTATTTTCCTATATTGGAAAAATATTTTATCTAGAGGACAGACGAGTATCCTGGATTTTTTTTTTAAAGAAAACAAAAATCTGGTTTTAAGTTTCATGAGTAAAGAAGAAAAATTTCTCTTTGACATTCTTGGATTTAAAAAGTGGTTCAGTGATATTTGTAGAAAAGATTAGACCTCCTATGCCTAGGGGAAATTTTCATGCCTGAACTAGGAAACTTTGAATAATAAGAGGTTTTAGTGGAAATTCCAGCATATTTTTAAGTAAAGGAACTGCCAGTACAAATCAGTGAGTTTACATACAAAATAAACAGCTTATTAAATAAATAGCTATTAAGAATGAATGAGTTCAGGACAAGAAAATGCCACGTAAATAGATAGGGCTCCATGTTCCATAGGCTGTTTCCACCTAAGAGGTTTTCTTATTTCAAGTTTTAAAAAGTGTGTGAGTGGTTTTTTTTGTTGTTGTTGTTGTTTTGTTTTTTGATGCGGGGTCTTGCTCTGTCTCCCAAGCTGGAGAACACGGTTCGCTGCAGCCTTGAACTCCTGGGGTTCAAGCAATCCTTCTGTCTCAACTTTCCATGTAGCTGGGACCACAGGGATGTACCACCATGCCCAGCTAATTTTTTAATTTTTTGTGGAGATGAGGTCTCACTTTGTTGCCCAGGCTGGTCTCAAACCCATGGGCTCAAGCGATCCTCCTCCCTCAGTCTCCCAGAGTACTGGGATTACAGGTGTGAGCCACCACACCTGGCCAAGATTTTAGTATTGTCTTTTCCCAAACACGCTTAGTGAAATGAAGCAACAGAAATGTAATGTCCTGAGATTATTGTGCCATGAAGTATTACAATGAAGGAGATACACACACACGCACACACACACACTTTTTTTGCATATTAGGAAAAAGTAGGGAAGAGTATGGAAGAAAAGGAAAACACTGTAAATCAACAAATAAAGTATTTCTGTTTAAGAATCAGAGAGTATATATTTTTCAAGAAATGCTGAAAGAAACCATATGCTTAGGCATTAAAACAAAGCATTATGGACATAAAATCATGACCTCCCACCTCTCTCTTGTGGATTATATTCATATTCATTTGAAAGTGTTAGTTGAAGTCCTTAGAATCTGGAAGAATTTATTATTGCTTGAAAGTTAGTGGCACTCATTGGAGAGCAAAATCTTGGACTCTGCCTTGTTACACACCTAGCTATATAAGGTACTTTTTAAAAACCTTTCTCTTCTTACGTATACAGGTTGTTGGTGTTAGACTTCTCTGGAAGAAAGAACTGTCTTAGAGGCCAAATCTAGTCACTCAGTAACTGGGCTGATGATCAGGGGACCCAGGTTTTGCCATGGATTTACACTATGCTCTCAGCAAGTTACTTAATCCCTTTATGTTAAGTTTTCTACCCATAAAGCAAATACCTAACCCTCTTAATTCGCATGGACATATAGGTTCTAGAATCTTAGAGCTTAAAGGTATTCTGTAAACCAGTGTTTATCAACTTTGGTACTGTTGATATTTGGAGTGGATAATTTTTTGTTATGGAGGCTGTCTTGTGCATTGTAGGATGTTTAGTAACATCTCTGGCCTCTAAATACAAGTGGCAATATCCCAGTTATGGCAGCCAAAGATGACTGCAGGCATTTCCAGATGCCCCATGGGTGGCAGTATCCCAGTTGGGAACCACTGCTGTAAGACAGGATTCAGCAAGAGGTAGCTGATGCCCAGGGATGTTCAATGCCTGCTTTAGAATACATCACTGTTAAGTGCTGGGACCAGGACTAGAACTCAACTTTATTAATATACTGCCAACCCATTTATCCAGCTTTCCCCTTAAATTCACAGTTTCATTCCATTCCAAAAGCAGTGGCATATGTTTAAAATTTCGACACCAAAACAAAAATTGACAAATTCTCTACATTTACCAATGATGTATTACCCACTTGCTTCCATTTTACCACCCCCGAAGCTCTTATCATACCTTGCTAAAGAAGCATTGCTTTCCTTATCCTTAAATGCTTACGAAATGCTTGGGCAACATTTTTTTTTTTATTTTTTATTTTTTTAAATTTTAGGTTTGGCTTCATTGTATCTGTATCAATCCCAAAAGGTAGAAAACCAAGTATAGAAGGTTATATTCTTTAAGGAAAAAACGGAATACAAAATCTATTTTACATGTACATCCTTTTCTATATACTTAAGTTGTACAACCAATTCTAATGACAAGATGCATTTAAATTTGTGTTCTGGAATAAATTGCTAAAATCATTAACCTCTGAACATTAAATCACTAGCAATAGAACAATATATAAATAACAGTTTTAAGACACGGATTTGTGAATATGTCATTGCCACAAAGACAGTAAAATGTCACTTAATTGGGCTTGGTCTGCACATTAACACACCTAATTACTTATGGTTTATATATATCACATCTGTGTTTGTTTATTTTTTGAGATGGAGTCTCACTCTGTCACCCCTGCTGGAGTGCAGTGGAGCAATCTCAGCTCACTGCAACCTCCGCCTCCCAGGTTCAAGCGATTCTCCTGCCTCAGCTTCCCAAGTAGCTGGGACTACAGGCACTTGCCACCACGTTGGGCAACATTTATTAAGGGCAGTCGGAATGGATGGTTTGGGAGGTGTCAGTTCACCATTATAAGCCATATAGGTGATTGTAAGTTGGATATGATCTGTGGGACATTGAGAACTATGGAATTCCATGCTAGTGAAGAGCACTAGAGGATCTCGAATTGAATGTCTGTTTATCAAATAAATCAACATGCTGCCTTAGGTGTATGCTGAACCTCCTTGTGTCTCCCATTCTTTCTTTATATACTTTCCAGTTCGTGGTTTTTAATAAAGGCAAATTCTGCACACATACTAAGCAGCACTTAGGATATTTTGTTTGGTTGTTTAATTCCATATCTGATGTTTCATTATCATATCCTAGGTTTTCTTTTTCTTTTTTTTATTATACTTTAAGTTTTAGGGTACATGTGCACAGCATGCAGGTTAGTTACATATGTATACATGTGCCATGTTGGTGTGCTGCACCCAGTAACTCGTCATTTAACATTAGATATATCTCCAAATGCTATCCCCCCATCCCTGTACCCCACAACAGGCCCCGGTGTTTGATGTTCCCCTTCCTGTGTCCCTGTGTTCTCATTGTTCAATTCCCACCTATGAGTGAGAACATGTGGTGTTTGGTTTTTTGTCCTTGTGATAGTTTGCTGAGAATGATGGTTTCCAGCTTCATCCATGTCCCCACAAAGGACATGAACTCATCATTTTTTATGGCTGCATAGTATTCCATGATGTATATGTGCCACATTTTCTTAATCCAGTCTATCATTGGTGGACATTTGGGTTGGTTCCAAGTCTTTGCTATTGTGAATAGTGTCGCAGTAAACATACGTGTGCATGTGTCTTTATAGCAGCATGATTTATAATCCTTTGGGTATATACCCAGTAATGGGATGGCTGGGTCAAATGGTATTTCTAGTTCTAGATCCCTGAGGAATCGCCACACTGACTTCCACAATGATTGAACTAGTTTACAGTCCCACCAACAGTGTAAAAATGTTCCTATTTCTCCACATCCTCTCCAGCACCTGTTGTTTCCTGACTTTTTAATGATCGCCATTCTAACTGGTGTGAGATGGTATCTCACTGTGGTTTTGATTTGCATTTGTCTGATGGCCAGTGATGATGAGCATTTTTTCATGTGTCTTTTGGCTGCATAAATGTCTTCTTTTGAGAAGTGTCTGTTCATGTCCTTTGCCCACTTTTTGATGGGGTTGTTTGTTTTTTTCTTTTTTGTTGGAGTTCATTGTAGATTCTGGATATTAGCCCTTTGTCAGATGAGTAGATTGCAAAAATTTTCTCCCATTCTGTAGGTTGCCTGTTCACTGTGATGGTAGTTTCTTTTGCTGTGCAGAAGCTCTTTAGTTTAATTAGATCCCATTTGTCAATTTTAGCTTTTGTTGCCATTGCTTTTGGTGTTTTAGACATGAAGTCCTTGCCCATGCCTATGTGCTGAATGGTATTGCCTAGGTTTTCTTCTAGGGTTTTTTTCAATATATGGAAATTCACATTTCGCTTGGGAACATGAAGGAGAAGATATACAAAAGGAAAACTAGATGAGAACAAACAAGCTGAGTAAAAGTAGTTGTCAGAAAATAAACTGAATGATAGGTAGGAAAGCTTCAAACTATTAAGTAAATGCTGTGCTTTAAAGTTAGGGTTAGTAGCCTGAACATCTGGATCCTGGAGTGCTTTCAAGCTCTTTGCTGAGAACATTTCTAGATTTCAGTGTTGTCTGGTTAGCAGAATCTTTTCTCGGACAGCCATGTAACAAAGTTGTCTATCTTTTGAAAACTCCAAACTACTAAAGTGTTGGAAACCTGAAATGCTTTGCTTTGAAGGTAAGATGATTAAAAAAAAATCTATTGAAATATTTGAACTCAGGTATAATTGACTTGTTATGTAATAAGATTCTGAACATGTATACATACACAATATGAAAGAATTTCAAGTCCCAAACTTGAGTTTGCAAATGAAGACAGACATTTAGAGTAACTATGCACCATGGTTAGGTTTACTTGCTGTTTTTCTATTCCTCCTGTTAAGTACATTGTAAACTACCTTAAGCTAATGTATTGGCTGGCTAAGATTCCTACAGGGTTCATTCTTTTCATTGGGCATCAATAGTGTCAGTGGTATTTTCCATTTGAAATGTGATGGAACTGAGAGACACTGTGGATTGGCTTAGAACTGAACCACAGTTAAAAGTGGTCATCTGAGGACCAGCCTGGGCAACACAGTGAGACCCCCATCTCTATAAAAAATAAAAATAAGGGCTGGGCGTGGTGGCTCATGCCTGTAATCTCAGCACTTTGGGAGGCCGAGGTGGGTGGATCATGAGGTCAGGAGATTGAGACCATACTGGCTAACACTGTGAAACCCTGTCTCTACTAAAAATTAAAAAAATTAGCCAGGTGTGGTGGCACGCGCCTGTAGTCCCAGCTACTCAGGAGGCTGAGGCAGGAGAATCGCTTCCCAGAACCTGGGAGGTGGAGGTTGCAGTGAGCCGAGATCGTCCCACTGCACTCCAACCTGGGTGACAGAGCAAGACTCCATCTCTAAATAAATAGATAGATAGATGGATAGATAGATAGATAGATAGGCATGGTAAGCCCAGAAGTTAGAGGCTACAGTGAGCTACGATTGTGTCACTGCACTCCAGCTTGGGTGACAGAGTAAAACCCCGTGTCAAAAAAAAAAAAAATTGTTGTCATCTGAGTTACAGCTTTGGTAGTGGGTGAAGTGGAGGGGCAGAGACAAGTTATCACTTAGAATTTATAGCCGACTAAGTCTGGATCAAGGATGTATCATGCAAATAAATGTGTGCAATGGATGGAAAAGTTGCCTGAGGCAAGGGAAGAAGGGAGCTACTCCAGTGCTGTGTTTGGGGGTGTGGGTTTTTTTTTTTTTTTCTTTAACTGTAGGAATTTATGGATAGTATAAATTTGGGAAGCTTGAAAAGTGTGCATAAAAATATTTATAATCTTACTATCAGGGCAGTATTGCAACAATTCAGTATTTGTAATATATCTACTTCTAGTCATTTCTGTACATTTTAAAAAATAATTGAGTTCGTACTCTAAATATAATTAAGTATACTACTCTTTTCATCCCCTTTCGCAGAATTCTTTAGGGGCTTTCTGTTGCTCTTGGTGCAAAGCCGAAAGCCTTGAGCTTCTTATGACTGCTCTGATTTTCCCTCCCTGCAGTGGCCTCTTGCTCAGTGTAGTTCTGCTCCCTTGGCTCACTTTCATTTTCCCACACATGCCCAGAGCTGTTGCGTGTGCTGCCCGTTGTGTGTGATGCGCTCTGCAGCCACCTTGTTGCCTGGCGGAGCCCTCCTTATTCATCATGTTCCACCTTAAACGTCACTTCCTGAGGGAAGCTTCTCCTGAACCCTCCTTATTCATCATGTTCCACCTTAAACGTCACTTCCTGAGGGAAGCTTCTCCTGAACCCTCCTTATTCATCATGTTCCACCTTAAACGTCACTTCCTGAGGGAAGCTTCTCCTGAACCCTCCTTATTCATCATGTTCCACCTTAAACGTCACTTCCTGAGGGAAGCTTCTCCTGAGCCCTCTTTATTCATCATGTTCCACCTTACATCTTATTCATCATTTTCCATCTTACATGTCACTTCCTGAGGGAAGCTTCTCCTGAACCCTCCTTATTCATCATGTTCCACCTTACATCTTATTCATCATGTTCCATCTTACATGTCACTTCCTGAGGGAAGCTTCTCCTGAGCCCTCCTTATTCATCATGTTCCACCTTACATGTCACTTCCTGAGGGAAGCGTCTCCTGAACCCTCCTTATTCATCATGTTCCACCTTACATCTTATTCATCATGTTCCATCTTACATGTCACTTCCTGAGGGAAGCTTCTCCTGAGCCCTCCTTATTCATCATGTTCCACCTTACATGTCACTTCCTGAGGGAAGCTTCTCCTGAACCCTCCTTATTCATCATGTTCCACCTTACATCTTATTCATCATGTTCCATCTTACATGTCACTCCCTGAGAGAAGCTTCTCCTCAGCCCTCCTTATTCATCATGTTCCACCTTACATGTCACTTCCTGAGGGAAGCTTCTCCTGAACCCTCCTTATTCATCATGTTCCACCTTACATCTTATTCGTCATGTTCCATCTTACATGTCACTTCCTGAGGGAAGCTTCTCCTGAGCCCTCTTTATTCATCATGTTCTATCTTACATGTCACTTCCTGAGGGAAGCTTCTCCTGAACCCTCCTTATTCATCATGTTCCACCTTACATCTTATTCATCATGTTCCGTCTTACATGTCACTTCCTGAGGGAAGCTTCTCCTGAAACCTCCTTATTCGTCATGTTCCACCTTACATCTTATTCATCTTGTTCCATCTTACATGTCACTCCCTGAGGGAAGCTTCTCCTGAGCCCTCCTTATTCATGTTCCACCTTACATCTTATTCATCATGTTCCATCTTACATGTCACTCCCTGAGGGAAGCTTCTCCTGAAACCTCCTTATTCGTCATGTTCCACCTTACATCTTATTCATCATGTTCCATCTTACATGTCACTCCCTGAGGGAAGCTTCTCCTGAGCCCTCCTTATTCATCATGTTCCACCTTACATGTCACTTCCTGAGGGAAGCGTGTCCTGAACCCTCCTTATTCATCATGTTCCACCTTACATCTTATTCGTCATGTTCCATCTTACATGTCACTTCCTGAGGGAAGCTTCTCCTGAGCCCTCCTTATTCATCATGTTCCACCTTACATGTCACTTCCTGAGGGAAGCTTCTCCTGAACCCTCCTTATTCATCATGTTCCACCTTACACGTCACTTCCTGAGGGAAGCTTCTCCTGAACCCTCCTTATTCATCATGTTCCACCTTACATCTTATTCATCATGTTCCATCTTACATGTCACTTCCTGAGGGAAGCTTCTCCTGAACCCTCCTTATTCATCATGTTCCACCTTACATGTCACTTCCTGAGGGAAGCTTCTCCTGAACCCTCCTTATTCATCATGTTCCACCTTAAATGTCACTTCCTGAGGAAAGCTTCTCCTGAACCCTCCTTATTCATCATGTTCCACCTTACATGTCACTTCCTGAGGGAAGCTTCTCCTGAACCCTCCTTATTCATCATGTTCCACCTTAAACGTCACTTCCTGAGGGAAGCTTCTCCTGAACCCTCCTTATTCATCATGTTCCACCTTACATGTCACTTCCTGAGGGAAACTTCTCCTGAACCCTCCTTATTCATCATGTTCCACCTTACATGTCACTTCCTGAGGGAAGCTTCTCCTGAACCCTCCTTATTCATCATGTTCCACCTTAAACGTCACTTCCTGAGGGAAGCTTCTCCTGAACCCTCCTTATTCATCATGTTCCACCTTACATCTTATTCATCATGTTCCATCTTACATGTCACTTCCTGAGGGAAGCTTCTCCTGAACCCTCCTTATTCATCATGTTCCACCTTAAATGTGACTTCCTGAGGAAAGCTTCTCCTGAACCCTCCTTATTCATCATGTTCCACCTTACATGTGACTTCCTGAGGGAAACTTCTCCTGAACCCTCCTTATTCATCATGTTCCACCTTACATGTCACTTCCTGAGGGAAGCTTCTCCTGAGCCCTCCTTATTCATCATGTTCCACCTTACATGTCACTTCCTGAGGGAAGCTTCTCCTGAACCCTCCTTATTCATCATGTTCCACCTTAAATGTCACTTCCTGAGGGAAGCATCTCCTGATCTCTCAGATTCACACCCCCATTATACACTTTCGTGGCCCCTATACTTTTATAGTATTTATTGCAATTGCAATTAATTATATATGTAGAATTAGAATGTTGTTTGTGTGTGTTGTTTATTTGTGTATTATTAGAAGGCAGGGACCATGACAGTAGGAATTGTTCACTGCATTTCTTGGCCCAAATATAGTACGTGCTAGATGCTCAATAATGTTCGACATTTGTTGAATAAATGACTGAATATATTAATAAATGAGGAAATAGGCAGCAGTCTGCTTCCTTCATATGTAACACGTATGTTAAAAGATATGCTTGGTAGTGAATTCTGAAAGTCTAATGTAGTGAATGAAAGTGTAATATTGGGTTCTTTTCTTCATGTGCTGTGTTAAATTTAGTTAAATTTCAGTAATGAATCTTAGAAAACTGTCAGCATTAGGTCTGTCAAACAAATGTGAGAGGCAGAAAAGTTCGAAGAGAGAAAGTAAACCAGCATTGTTTCCCCACTTACTGAAAATAGGTTTTGTAACAGAATGGTGCAGTCTAAATGAAGAAATACACCTGTTAGGAATACCTTCTAAAGATCTGTTTGCATGTACTAATGCAAATATGGAAAACTCTTTTTTTTTTATTGGCACATGAAGTCTTTTGACTAAGATTTGTTCTAATAGGCCCAGCGCAGTGGCTCACGCCTATAATCCCAGCACTTTGGGAGGCTGAGGCAGGCAGATCACGAGGTCAGGAGATCGAGACCATCCTGGCCAACATGGTGAAACCCCATTTCTACTAAAAATACAAAAAATTAACTGGTTGTGGTGGCACATGCCTATAATCCCAACTATTCAGGAGGCTCAGGCAGGAGAATCACTTGAACCTGGGAGTCGGAGGTTGTAGTGAGCCGAGATCGCGCCACTGCACTCCAGCCTGGCGACAGAATGAGACTCTGTCAAAAAAAAAAAAAAGATTTGTTCTAATATTAAATACAAAATCAAGCAAATCAAATAGAAACAAAAGAGTCTAGGTTAAAGCACTACGGAAGTACTCAGTTACGAGTGTGCTGTTAACTTGCTACATGACCACTTACTAAATAGGGGCTACTTTTTCGCCATCTTAGGAAGAAACTGAGTATACCAGACATCTTAAACATAACAAACATCTTAAATGTTGTCATCTAAGATTCAGACAGGTTTCTAAATGTTTTTGTCCTTGACTTGCAAACACTCAGTGGACACATACAGCCCTCTAACCCACTGTGTCTCAAATGTTGATGTACATGATGTCAGTTGCCATGCATTTTATTTATTTATTTGTTTTTTTGAGATGGAGCCTTACTCTCACCCAGGCTAGAGTGCAGTAGTGCGATCTTGGCCCATTGCAACCTCCACCTCCTGGGTTCAGGTGATTCTCATGCCTCATCCTCCCAAGTAGCTGGGATGACAGGTGCGCGCCACTACACCTGCCTGAGTTTTGTATTTTTAGTAGAGACGGGGTTTCTCCATGTTGCCCAGTCTCTGGTCTCGAACTCCTGGCTTCAAGTGATCCTCCTGCCTCGGCCTGGGATTACAGGCGTGAGCCACCACACCCAGCCCGTGTAGAAGGCATTTATGTAATGAACTGACATCCTTGGAGTGAGCTTTCAGTTTAGTATAAATAGGTAAGGGTTTGGATTCTCTGATCATCTTCTTGGTCTGTTCACTTCCATCCAGAAGGCCTGGGTCTGGATTGGCACCATGGATCTGGTTGAGACAAACAATAAGGCAAGGGCTTGTATGTTCTTTCTTTCACTTTATCGTACTTCATAGCCAGTACATAGTAGTGTTTTATTATGTTATGTTATTTCCTCTATTTTAATTTCTTCTCAAATCCAGGGGCCAGTTGTTTGGGCAGATGTTTACTAGGGACTCTAATCACCTGCTCTTCACCCAAGGAAAGGCAGTCTCTGAAGTCTCATTTCTATTATCTAAAAGCTAGTTCTGCATTTTCCCTTCCTGCAAGCAAGGAATGGTTTTCTTTTGACGTTTCCAGCTATGGTTTGCTTTGAACTGACTTCTTTGTTGTATTGGGGTGTGTGCTCAGTTAATGAGTAATGAACACGATTGGATTCTTCTTTCCTTGGGTAGATACTGGCCAGAATTATTCTTTACCTATGCTGTACCAGTTAATAAAGGACTCCTCAGTTTGTGCTTTCTCATAATTCACCAAATCTAGCAAATCTAGTATCTTTAATTTGGTTTATTATTACCATTAAATATTAGCTGTATGCCCACATTTTGCTAACATGTGGCACTTTGTAGAACTGTTAGGGGACTACCCAGAGAGAGTGCAGTGGTGGTGTGTTTTGGGGTTGTGGAAGAGGGCTGGAATGTAGTCACTGCCCTCCAGAAGTCCCTTTGTCATATATAATACAGAAAAGCCTTTTTCTTGTCCCCTCCACACCCCATCCCCCGCATCCCATCAAGCTGCTTAGGGTGAGGGGAAACACCATGAGAGAGGAATGGCAATAGTGAATGTGTTTTGATTACTCTTTACCATCCTCTTCCCTCAATAGTTTGAACTTTCCTTAGAAACAATTTCTAAGAGGGAATTTCTTAAGTGAGTACTAGGAAAGTTGGCAAATTTTGGAAACAGTGTTTAGTGTCTGTGGTTGCTGTTCTGCATTTCAGGGCGCCTTGCCTACAGATTAATCCCAGCTGGCCACTCTTCTACAGCACTTGCTCAGGAACAGGTTGTATTGACTCCTTCATTTGAGATTCGGTGAAATTCGCAAGTACCTCTGGAATCATTTGATGAACCTCTTTGGAGCATTAGTGATGCAACTTAATGTCTTTGGCAGGGACATTTCTTCTCACATCTTATTGATACTGGGTTTGAGGAGCAGGCTGACTTCTGGTTGTGTAGTCAGCTCTCGGTTTTTTTCTACTAATGGAGAAGGGAGGCATTATAGGGAATGGAAAATTCAAGTTGCAAAGCATTAAAAACAATTTAAAATTATGTTTCATTTAAACTAACAATTGCTGTATTTCTGACCAAATAATGTTTACTTCAGGATAATGTTTTCTTGATTTATTTTTATATTACAAGTTGCCACTTTATAAATTCTACAGATCATGGAAAGTAGTTTAAAAGAGTGATCTTCAGATTTTTAAATTTAAAGTCTATTCTTAATTTTCTTTTATATATATGTATATATATATTTATATACACACACTTTGCACTGTAAGATATTGAGTTTATGACATTAAGGACTCTGGCCCTTCAGTTCTTGAAAATTTAGTGCTTATAAAATTGTGAGGACTATATTCTAATCATTTTCAGTCAGTGAAAAACCTATATACTTTATGAAGCACGCAGGAAACATCTCCTTTTCTGCTTAGTTCCCCTAAAAATGTGGATCAGATCCATCTCCTGGGCCTAGTCAGTATTGATTGAGTGTATACCCAGGGCATCGTGCTAAAGTGTCACCCAAGCTCTGCTCTCCAGGGGAAGAAGAGCTAGCCATTCCTTTTACTGTGCATGCATATGTATATAGCTCACCTATATCCAGAAAACTTAGTTTACAAATGGACTGCTTTTTAGGGAAGGAGTGGACACAAAAGTTCAACTTCAGAGAGGAAAACTAAGAGCAATGCCAAATTAACTGAAATCTTCTGTTTTGAAAGAGGTCTTTTAATTTAAAAAAAGCTAGTTCTTGGAAAAAGCACAATAATCAAAACCAAATGTACCTCATTAGAAAGTTCACGTGAGATAATTTGGGATTTGCAAAATTAGTTTTAATCAATTGTGAAGGACAGCAAGACTATTTCTACCTGTGCCAGGTAGAAATAGTATGTATCTAAAGTCAGAACCATTAGTGTCGGGGCAAGTATAGATACTCATTCTCTGTAGTTGGGTCAGTTGTCTTCCTTATATGTTCGCCTTAGCTAAAATGGCAGAGAGAAATCCTTGTTGCATCATAACAAGGACATTGTCAAAGTACACTGAACTCATGAATTAGACAAATAGCAGCATTGTATCTTCTTTTTCTGGGCCTGATTTTGAGGTATACTGCACTTCCTAAGGGTGATTTCAGAGCTAGCTTGCAGGTGGAGCTCCACCTGCTGATACTTGTGAGGGATAGCTCAGTAAGCACTCCTTCAGCTAGCATGTTTCCCACTAACATTCACACTGATACTCCAGCCTAGAGAAAGACCTTTGGGTTACACCAGTCTCCAGAAAGCCTTCATTTAAATGCAACTAGGGAGAGGCGTGGTGGCTCACCACCTGTAGTCCCAGCACCTTGGGAGGCCAAGGTGGGCAGATTGCTTGAGCCCAGGAGTTCAAGACCAGCCTGGGAAATATGATGAAATCCCATCTCTGCAAAAAATACAAAAATTAGCCATGTGTGGTGGTGCATGCCTGTAGTCCTTGTATGCTTGGGAGGCTGAAGTGGGAGGATTACCTGAGCCTGGGGTTTCGAGGCTGCAGTGAGCTGTGATCATGCCACTGTACTCCAGCCTCAGTGACAGGGTGAGACCCTATTTCAAAAAATAAAAATAAAAATAATACTACCAGGTTGCATGGGGGAGGAATGAGGTAATTGTAAAATGAAGGTTTCAGGGAAAAGCCTGGGCAAGCAGCTCTTGGCCTGGGAAAGGCAGGCCCAGGAACAGATTTCAGAGTTGTCCCAACAAGTTGGGTGAAATCTGTTTCTATTTGCTTCATTTTCTTTTTCTCTCCTACTCCTCACTACTTAGAAGGGGATTTGAGGGACCCATTTAGATCCTTTTCTCACTGTCTCGCCCTCTCTCTGATGGTGGTATTGAGGATAAGACAGTATTTGTCATCTGTAATTAACTGTACTGCATTTGTAAGGCAAGTTGTGCTGTACTTGATTTTTATGTTTCTTTCAAGATTTCTGCCCTTTGCCTCCTGTATTTTTCTATTTATTTGTTTATTTATTTAGGGACAGAATCTCGCTCTGTCACCCGCCCAGGCTGGAGTGCAATGGTGCGATCTTGGGTCACTGCAACCTCCACCTCTTGGTCTCAAGCAATTCTTCTGCCTCAGCCTCCTGAGTAGCTGGGATTACAGGTGTGCGCCACCACGCCTGGCTAATTTTTGAATTTTTAGTAGAGACGGGGTTTCACCATGTTGGTCAGGCTGGTCTCGAACTCCAGACCTCGTCATCCGCCTGCCTTGGCCTCCCAAAGTGCTGGGATTACAGGCGTGAGCCACCGCGCCCGGCTTGCTTCCTTTATTTTTCTAACCTCATCATTTTCTGCTTTGCTCAGTGGAGATTTTCCAATAATGTCACCCAAAATATACTTTTAAGTCAATGTGTGCTATTTTTTAAGTCACTTCTGACTTTAATGTTAGACCTCTCCTTTGATGAAAGTTAAATCTCATGACATGGGAGAGTGACATTATATCTTTAATTAAGATGTTAAATTCTTCTCAAATTCTGTTTCTGATTAGAAAAGTACTTTGAGGTGAATCCCCCTTTCCTCCTTAAAAAAAAAATAGTGGTCAGTTCCTATCTCTAGGTCTTCAGTGAAATGATCCCATTTTTCTGATCCAAACAAGTTTCTGTGGCTCATCTGCTCTGCAGAGCCCTGTGTCTTCTGAGGAACGATTGCTTTCTGCATAACATACAGTGTTCTTTGCTGCTTTCCACCCACAGAGCCTTTCTTGCTGAGGAGGAGGTGTGATATAGGAAAATTATGAGGGCTTTTCAAACTCGCTTGCATTGATGGCCCAGATGGTGAGGAAAATCCCTTGGGGAGCTAAAAATTGAATGGGTTATAGCAGATTTTTAAAATCCCTAATTAGACTCTCCTTCTCTTTAAGACCACTTTTGAGTTACCACTGTATTTATATATCTGAGTCCTGTTTCCCAACTGCTAGTGAGCTCCTTGAGGGCATCCTTGGGTCTGTACACCACTGAAATCTCAGCACCTAGAAAGCAGTTCTCTAATAGTGGCTGATACCATGTGAATGCATTCTCTGCGTCAGGTCCTGTACTCAGCACTTTACGTATGCTCTCTTACTCTTACAACTGGAGGAGAAAGGTATTATAATTATCCCCATCGTATGGATGAGAAAACAGAAAGATTGGTGAACATCCAAGCCAGAAACACTTGATAAGCAGTAGAGATAGACTTCAAACTCAGATGTTCTAGAGTTTCAGCTCTTAACCACTATATTATACTGCTTCCTTACTAGACAAACACTTAGTTTTAAAGTAAATATTTTTTGAGTAAAAAAGTGAATGAAGTAAAGTTAACTAAAGTTAATTTCCTGAAATCACAGTGATGTTTATGTCTTCTTTCAATAAACCATTCTCGGTATAAGTGGTCAGCCAGGATACATGTTGCTGTGCCTGGTGCTCCTTGTAACTCAGGAAGATATTGCCCCATTCTAAACAGCCAGCATGGGGTAACAGTGTAAGCACTGTGAACATTTCTTCTCTGTTCTTACCCATCTTCAAACAGAAACAACCAGGAGCAGTTTAACAGTGATACTTGAGTTATGAACTTCATACATATTGCTTAATTGTAATGGCAAATTAATGTGTTAACATTTATAGAATGGTACTGTCATTGAAGTTTGAATTTAAATGTGGGTTTTAACCCAGTTCTATAATAATTGCTGTGCTCTGGGAAACACTGAATCTTTTCAAGGAGGACAGCTATTTAACTATAAGTAGAGTCATTTGAAATGCAGAAGACCAGAATATTTATTCAAAGAGTGGTAGCAAAGAAGTGAGATGAGAACTGAGGTGGAGTGTTCTTTCCATCCTAGTGGAGAGAACACAGAGCTGTGAGTCAGGGTATCTGGAATCTAAGCATGTCTCCAGGCTTAAGTTTCTATTGTGAGTTTAGCTAAGGCATTCCTGTTGATAATACTATTGCTCTAATACCAAAAAGTGTCCACTAGAAAATAGAGTAACCTTTGTGCCTTTGTAATGATAGTGTTCTTTTGGTATAATACTCTACTACCACAAGTATTGCCTTTTATCATCTTAAAAACAAATCTGATCATATTTCTCCCCTTATTTATTCTTTTTCCTCCAGTTTTTATCGAGTGCTAGCTATGTGCCAGGAATTTATAAGTCCTTTATGTGTGATAACTCATTTATAAGCTCATGCCTGTAATCCTAGTATTTTGGGGGGCTGAGGTGAGAGGATTGCCTGAGGTCAGGAGTTTGAGACTAGCTTGGGCAAGATAGCAAGACCGCATTTTTACAAAAAATTTAAAAATTAGGTGTGGGGTACACATCTGTATTCCCAAGAGTCTGAGGTGGGAGAATTGCTTGAGCACAGGAGTTTGAGGCTACAGGGAGTTGTGATCATGCCACTGCAATCCAGCCTGGGTGACAAAGTGAGACCCTGTCTGTAAAAATTATAGTAACCTATTTAATTATCTCAGCCACCTTACGAAGTAGGCACTAATTTAGACATTTCATAGATGAGAAAACTGAGGCACAGTAACATACCCAACGTAGCATGGTAAGGGATGGAGTTCATATAAAACCCAGACAGTTCAGCAGTATTCGCTGTCCTGCAGCCTCCGCTGCTGATAACCCAGGCAAACAGGGTCTGGAGTGGACCTCCAGCAAACTCCAACAGACTTGCAGCTGAGGGTCCTGACTGTTAGAAGGAAAACTAACAAACAGAAAGGACATCCACACCAAAACCCCATCTGTATGTCACCATCATCGAGGACCAAAGGTAGATAAAACCACAAAGATGGGGAAAAAACAGAGCAGAAAAGCTGAAAATTCTAAAAATCAGAGCGCTTCTCCCCCTCCAAAGGACCGCAGCTCCTCACCAGCAACGGAACAAAGCTGGACACAGAATGACTTTGATGAGTTGAGAGAAGAAGGCTTCAGAGAATCAGACTTCTCCGAGCTAAAGGAGGAAGTTCGAACCCATCGCAAAGAAGCTAAAAACCTTGAAAAAAGATTAGACAAATGGCTAACTAGAGTAACCAGTGTAGAGAAGTCCTTAAATGACCTGATGGAGCTGAAAACCATGGCATGAGAACTACGTGACGAATGCACAAGCTTTAGTAGCTGATTCAATCAACTGGAAGAAAGGGTATCAGTGATTGAAGATCAAATGAATGAAATGAAGCGAGAAGAGAAGTTTAGAGAAAAAAGTAAAAAGAAACAAACACAACCTCCAAGAAATATGGGACTATGTGAAAAGACCAAATCTATGTCTGATTGGTGTACCTGAAAGTGATGGGGAGAATGGAACCAAGTTGGAAAACACTCTGCAGGATATTATCCAGGAGAACTTCCCCAACCTAGCAAGGCAGGCCAACATTCAAATTCAGGAAATACAGACAATGCCACAAAGATACTCCTCGAGAAGAGCAACTCCAAGACACATAATTGCCAGATTCACCAAAGTTGAAATGAAGGAAAAAATGTTAAGGGCAGCCAGAGAGAAAGGTCAGGTTATCCACAAAGTGAAGCCCATCAGACTAACAGTGGATTTCTCGGCAGAAACTCCGCAAACCAGAAGAGAGTGGGGGCCAATATTCAACATTCTTAAAGAAAAGAATTTTCAACCCAGAATTTCATATCCAGCCAAACTAAGCTTCATAAGTGAAGGAGAAATAAAATCCTTTAGAGACAAGCAAATGCTGAGAGATTTTGTCACCACCAGGCCTGCCCTACAAGAGCTCCTGAAGGAAGCACTAAACATGGAAAGGAACAACCAGTACCAGCCACTGCAAAAACATGCCAAATTGTAAAGACCATCGATGCTAGGAAGAAACTGCATCAACTAATGAGTAAAATAACCAGCTAACATCATAATGACAGGATCAAATTCACACATAACAATATTAACCTTAAATGTAAATGGGCTAAATGCTCCAATTAAAAGACACAGTCTGGCAAATTGGATAAAGAGTCAAGACCCATCAGTGTGCTGTATTCAGGAGACCCATATCATGTGCGGAGACACACATAGGCTTAAAATAAAGGGATGGAGAAAGATCTACCAAGCAAGTGGAAAACAAAAAAAAGGCAGGGGTTGCAATCCTAGTCTCTGATAAAACAGACTTTAAACCAACAAAGATGAAAAGAGACAAGGCCATTACATAATGGTAAAGGGATCAATTCAACAAGAATAGCTAACTATCCTAAATATATATGCACTCAATACAGGAGCACCCAGATTCATAAAGCAAGTCCTTAGGGACCTACAAAGAGACTTAGACTCCCACACAATAATAATGGGAGACTTTAACACCCCACTGTCAACATTAGACAGATCAACGAGACAAAGTTAACAAGGATATCCAGGAATTGAACTCAGCTCTGCACCAAGCGGACATAATAGACATCTACAGAACTCTCCACCCCAAATCAACAGAATATACATTCTTCTCAGCATCACATCGCACTTATTCCAAAATTGACCACATACTTGGAAGTAAAGCACTCCTCAGCAAATGTAAAATAACAGAAATTATAACAAACTTGTCTCAGACCACAGTGCAATCAAACTAGAACTCAGGATTAAGAAACTCACTCAAAACCACTTGACTACATGGAAACTGAACAACCTGCTCCTGAATGACTACTGGGTACATAACAAAATGAAGGCAGAAATAAAGATGTTATTTGAAACCAATGAGAACAAAGACACAACATACCAGAATCTCTGGGACACATTTAAAGTAGTGTGTAGAGGGAAATTTATAGCACTAAATGCCCACAAGAGAAAGCAGGAAAGATCTAAAATTGACGCCCTAACATCACAATTAAAAGAACTAGAGAAGCAAGAGAAAACAAATTCAAAAGCTAGCAGAAGGCAAGAAATAACTAAGATCAGAGCAGAATGGAAGGAAATAGAGATACAAAAAACCCTTCAAAAAAATCAATGAATCCAGGAGCTGGGTTTTTGAAAAGATCAACAAAATTGATAGACCGCTAGCAAGACTAATAAGAAAAGAGAGAAGAATCAAATAGATGCAATAAAAAATGATAAAGGAGATATCGCCACCGATCCTACAGAAATACAAACTACCATCAGAGAATACTATAAACACCTCTATGCAAATAAACTAGAAAATCTAGAAGAAATGGATAAATTCCTGGACACATACACCCTCCCAAGACTAAACTAGGAAGAAGTTGAATCCCTGAATAGACCAATAACAGGCTCTGAAATTGAGGCAATAATTAATAGCCTACCAACCAAAAAAAAGCCCAGGGCCAGATGGATTCACAGCCGAATTCTACCAGAGGTACAAGCAGGAGCTGGTACCATTCCTTCTGAAACTATTCCAATCAATAGAAAAAGAGGGAATCCTCCCTAACTCATTTTATGAGGCCAGGATCATCGTGATACCAAAGCCTGGCAGAGACACAAAAAAAGAGAATTTTAGACCAATATCCCTGATCAACATCGATGCAAAAATCCTCAATAAAATACTGGCAAACCAAATCCAGCAGCACATCAAAAAGCTTATCCACCATAATCAAGTGGGCTTCATCCCTGGGATGTAAGGCTGGTTCAACATACGCAAATCAATAAACATCATCCGGCATATAAACAGAACCAAAGACAAAAACCACATGATTATCTCAATAGATGCAGAAAAGGCCTTTGACAAAATTCAACAGCCCTTCATGCTAAAAACTCTCAATAAATTAGGTATTGATGGGACGTATCTCAAAATAATAAGAGTTATTTATGACAAACCCACAGCCAATATCATACCGAATGGGCAAAATCTGGAAGCATTCCCTTTGAAAACTGGCACAAGATGGATGCCCTCTCTCACCACTCCTATTCAACATAGTGTTGGAAGTTCTGGCCAGGGCAATCAGGCAGGAGAAAGAAATAAAGGGTATTCAATTAGGAAAAGAGGAAGTCAAATTGTCCCTGTTTGTAGATGACATGATTGTATATTTAGAAAACCCCATCATCTCAGCCCAAAATCTCCTTAAGCTAATAAGCAACTTCAGCAAAATCTCAGGATACAAAATCAATGTCCAGACATCACAAGCATTCTTATATACCAATAATAGACAAACAGCCAAATCATGAGTGAACTCCCATTCGCAATTGCTTCAAAGAGAATAAAATACCTAGGAATCCAACTTACAAGGGATGTGAAGGACCTCTTCAAGGAGAACTAGAAACCACTGCTCAACGAAATAAAAGAGGACACAAACAAATGGAAGAACATTCCATGCTCATGGGTAGGAAGAATCAATATCGTGAAAATGGCCATACCGCCGAAGGTAATTTATAGATTCAATGCCATCCCCATCAAGCTACCAATGACTTTCTTCACAGAATTGGAAAAAACTACTTTAAAGTTCCTATGGAACCAAAAAAGAGCCCACATTGCCAAGTCAATAATAAGCCAAAAGAACAAAGCTGGAGGCATCATGCTACCTGACTTCAAACTATACTACAAGGCTACAGTAACCAAAACAGCATGGTACTGGTACCAAAACAGATATAGATCAATGGAACAGAACAGAGCCCTCAGAAATAATACCACACATCTACAACCATCTGATCTTTGACAAACCTGACAAAAACAAGAAATGGGGAAAGGATTCCCTATTTAATAAATGGTGCTGGGAAAACTGGCTAGCCATATGTAGAAAGCTGAAACTGGATCCCTTCCTTACACCTTATACAAAAATTAATTCAAGATGGATTAAAGACTTAAATGTTAGACCTAAAACCATAAAAACCCTAGAAGAAAACCTAGGCAATACCATTCAGGACATAGGCATGGGCAAGGACTTCATGTCTAAAACACCAAAAGCAATGGCAACAAAAGCCAAATTTGACAGATGGGATCTAATTAAAGAGCTTCTGCACAGCAAAAGAAACTACCATCAGAGTGAACAGGCAACCTACAGAATGGGAGAAAATTTTTGCAATCAACTCATCTGACAAAGGGCTAATATCTAGAATCTACAAAGAACTCAAATTTACAAGAAAAAAACCTCATCAACAAATGGGCAAAGAATATGAACAGACACTTCTCAAAAGAAAACATTTATGCAGCCAAAAGACACATGAAGAAATGCTCATCATCACTGGCCATCAGATAAATGCACATCAAAACCACAATGAGATACCATCTCACACCAGTTAGAATTGCGATCATTAAAAAGTCAGGAAACAACAGGTGCTGGAGAGGATGTGGAGAAACAGGAACACTTTTACACTGTTGGTGGGACTGTAAACTAGTTCAACCGTTGTGGAAGACAGTGTGGCGATTCCTCAGGGATCTAGAACTAGAAATACCTTTTGACCCAGCCATTCCATTACTGGGTATATACCCAAAGGATTATAAATCATACTGCTATAAAGACACATGCACACGTATGTGTATTGTGGCACTATTCACAATAGCAAAGACCTGGAACCAACCCAAATGTCCATCAATGATAGACTGGATTAAGAAAATGTGGCACATATACACCATGGAATACTATGCAGCCATAAAAAATGATGAGTTCATGTCCTTTGTCGGGATATGGATGAAGCTGGAAACCATCATTCTCAGCAAACTATCGCAAGGACAAAAAACCAAACACCGCATGTTGTCACTCATAGGTGGGAATTGAACAATGAGAACACTTGGACACAGGAAGGGGAACATCACACACCAGGACCTGTTGTGGGGTTGGGAGAGGGGGGAGGGATAGCATTAGGAGATATACCTAATGTAAATGACGAGTTAATGGGTGCAGCACACCAACATGGCACATGTATACATGTGTAACAAACCTGCACGTTGTACAGATGTACCCTAGAACATAAAGTATAAAAAATATATATAAATAGTCAAAAAAAAGTGTTTTGAAGTGAATGAAAATAAAAATGTGACATCAGAATTAAGACTAGGCCACTAAAGCAGTAACTAGGGTGAAATCTACAGCATGAAAGACCTATATTCGAAAAGAAGAAAGGTCTGAAATCAGTGAGTTCATCTACTTTATGAAATTAGAAAAAGAGCCTGGGCAACATAGCAAGTCCCCATCTCTACAAAAAATTTAAAAATGAGCCAGGCATGGTGGTAGATGCCTGTAGTCCCAGCTACTTGGGACATCGGGGCAGGAGAATTGCTTGGTCCCAGGAAATTGAGGCTACAGTGAGCTAATATTACGCCACGGCACTCTGGCTAAGCAACAGAGAAAGACCTTGTCTCTAAAATAAATAAATAAACAGAAAAATAGGAAAAAAAATCAGAAAAAGAACACATATTCAAAGTAAGCAGAATAAAGAAGATAATAAAGGTAAAAGCAGAAATCATGAGACTTCAGAAAACAAAAACAACAGAAAAAAACCAGTAAGTCCAAAAGCTGTTTCTTTGAAAATATCAGTAAAATTAAGAAACCTCTACTAGACTAATTGGGAACAATAGAGAAAAGAAACAAGTTAACAATGCCAGGAATAAGATAGGTGACTATAAACACATTAAAAGAATGATAAGAAAATATTATGAACAACTTTATGCTTAAACATTTCACAACTTGGATCAAATAAATTTCTTGAAAGACACAACTACCAAAGCTCACTCAAGAAGAAATAAGTGGCCTGAATAGCCTAACATCTACTTTTTAAAAATAATTTATAGTTAAAAAAAAAACTGCCCACAAAGAAAACTCCAGGCCCAGATCACTGGTGAATTCTACCAAACATTTAAGAAAAAAAAGACACCAATTCTAACGAAACTCTTCCAACAAAGTGAAAAGAAAGAATTATTTCCCAAAGTATTCTATGAGGCCAGAATTACCCTGATATCAAAACCAGAGGCATTACAAGAAATCTACAGGCCAATTTCCCTCGTGAACATAGATGCAAAAATTTCAAACAAAATCTTAGCAAGTCAATCATAAAAAAGACCAAGTTCTGGCTGTTTGTGTGTATAGGAAGAAAACAAAAACAAAAACCAACCGAGGTTTATCCCAGGAATGCAAGGTTGGTTTAACATATGAAAATCAGTTAATGTAATTCATTATAATAACGCAATATCACCATATTACATTCTCAACAGATGCAGAAAAAGCACTTGACAAAATTCAACATCCATTTATGATAAAAAAAACTTTTGGAATAGGAAGGAACTTCCTGAGACAGACAACAGCAAAACAACAGAGGTAAATCAATAAACCAAAAGCTGGTTCAATTAAGCCAAAAATTAGGAATAGAGGGAGTTTCCCAATCTGATAAACAATATCCATGAAAAAGTTATAGGTAATATTATATTATTGGTAGAAACCAGACAAAAATACCTGCTCTCACCAGCTCTTTTAACTTTAATACAGAGTCTCATTCTATCTCCCGGGCTGGAGTACAGTGGCACAATCTCAGCTCACTGCAACCTCCACCTCCCAGGTTCAAGCAATTCTCGTGCCTTAGCCTCCCGTGTAGCTGGGACTACAGGCACGAGCCACCACACCACCCCCGGCTAATTTTTGTATTTTTAGAAGAGAAGGAGTTTTACCACGTTGGCCAGGCTGGTCTCAAACTCCTGGCCTCATGTGATCCACCCACCTCAACCTCCCAAAGTGCTGGGATTACAGGCGTGAGCCACCGTGCCCGGCCTGCTCTCACCACTTCTATTCAACACTGTATTGGAGGTTCTAGCAGTGCAACCAGGGATGAAAAAAAGAACTTAAAAAAAATTAGGAAGAAGTAAAGCTGTCTTCATATCTTTATTTGCAGAGGACATTAACATTTATGTCAGGGATCAGCAAACTACAATCCAAAGGCCAAATATAACTGTTGCCTGGTTTTTTGTTATTTGCTTTTGCAAATAAAATTTTATTGGAACACAGCCACATCCATCCATTTACTTATCAACTATGGCTGCTGTAAACCCAAAAGATCTGAGACAGGTCTCAATCAATTGAGAACTTTATTTTGCCAAGGTTAAGGACATGCCCGGAAGAATAAAACATGGAATCACATAAATGGTCAGTGGTCTGTGCCTTTTTTCAAAAATGATTTTGAGGGCTGCAATATTTAAAGGGAAAAAGTGGGCTGGAGGGGAAAGAGGGAGAATGTGGTAATCCACATGTTGCAAGAGAAAAGGAGCAGGTAGGGAAATAGTCAATTATGTATTCATATTGTGCCCAGTAAATAAATACTTTACATAAGATAAGGTGAACATGGAGTAGCTACCTGGGGAGATACTGAACCTTTTCTCTATAGCTGTCTGCTTAGAAACAAATGGAAAGGCAGCTTCTTGTAGGACACAGCTTTCAGCTTAGTTTTTTCCTTTTGGCAGAGTGAAGTGGGGTCTGAGTTTTTATTTTCCCTTCACATTGCTTTCACTCTAAAATGGCAGAGTTGAGTAACTGTAGCAGAGATCTTATGAATGGAAAATAAATACAAGATGCTTAACCTAATTTGCATCATTTAATTTGCACCTTAATGCAAATTAAAACCACAGTAAGATACCACTGTGCATCTATCAGAATGACAAAAACTAAAAAGATTGACTATACCTAGTGTTGGTGAGGGTATCAAAAACAAGATTTCCCATCCATTGCAGGTGGGAATGTAAAATGGTAAGACCAATTTGGAAAAGTGTGATTAAAAATGAAAAGATAGACCTATTATTTGATTCAGTTATTATACTCCCACATACTTATGTAAGAGAATGAAATCATATGTTTATACAAAGATTTGTACACAAATATTTATTTGTAGCATCTAAAAACTGGAAATAACCCAAATGCCCATCAATAGTAAATAAACATCTGGTGGTATTTCCATAAATGGAATATGACTATTCAGCAATAAAAACTAATAAATTATTGATGCATGCTGCCACATAAATGAATCTCAAAATAATTATGCTGAGTGAAAAAGGCCAGACAAGAAGAGTACATATGGTATGATTCCATTTATTTAAAATTCTAGGAAATCCAAACTAGTGACAAAATCGCTAAGTGGTTGCCTGGGGACAGGGCAGATGGGGTGAATAAGGAAGGAAGGGCAGAAGGGAAGGATTACAGGAGCATTAGGAAACTTTTGAGGGTGGTGGGTAGGTCGGCTAGAAACCTGGGAGTTGCTGGATATGTTCGCTATTGTGGTTGTGGTGGTGGTGGTTTCAAAGCTTTACGTATATGCTAAATTTTATCGAATTATATGGTATAATTTAAATATGTGCACTTTATATGTCAATTATACCTTGATTGTTTTTTTAAAAGTCCAAAACCAAAAAATTGGGCTCTGATGTGTGGCCATGTGAATGAGTGATCTGGTGAAAAAGGATACACTAGCTCTGTACCAAATCCCTGACTCCCAAAACTGGACATAGATATGGAGGTATTCTCTCTCTCCCTCTGTGAGAAGCTTAGGGTATAAGAATATATGGCTCATATGAATCCTTGAATTAATTCTTTGTTCTCACTCTACCTTTCCTATGTCTACACTACATGCCTGTACCATACCCAACACACATCCATCTTTTTTTTTTTTTTTTTTTTTTTTTTTTGAGATGGAGTCTCACTCTGTCGCCCAGGCTCGAGTGCAGTGGCGCGATCTCGGCTCACTGCAAGCTTCGCCTCCTGGGTTCACGCCATTCTCCTGCCTCAGCCTCCCAAGTAGCTGGGACTACAGGCCCGCCACCACGCCCTGCTAATTTTTTTTGTTTTTTAGTAGAGACAGGGTTTCACCATGTTAGCCAGCATGGTCTCAATCTCCTGACCTCGTGTTCCGCCCACCTCGGCCTCCCACCATTCATCTTTTAACTATGGAAAAATACCAGTGAAAATCAAGGCATTCATTTTGTGCCATTATGCACAATCATAAGGGAAAAGAAAAGAGTCAGTAAAATCCTAGTGTTAAAGAGGAAGAAACTCTACTTCTCCTCATACCATTAATTCGATGTTAGGGAAGGATCATTGCATGGTATGACAAGAATCAGAGTTTCTCAGCATTCAGTTTTTGGCCCTGTTTTTGAAATTCTGTAGAATGAGACCCTACAATGTACCAAGGAATAAGGAAGAAAATGGGAAAGCAGGAAAATGGTTAAAATCACAAGGTAAAAGAAAGCTGAAGCTTAGAAAAAAAGTTTGCTTTCATTCCATATAAACAATAAAAAGGGAATCTCCATTTTCTTTTAGATAATGCCTCTCAATTAACAAAAATTTCATTTTCAGCTTCTGTAGATCCATAAATTAATAAGATACCTACACATCAAATGTCCCTCAGTTATAATGGAAGCCCAGTGTGCTCACAGGATCCAAACACCTCAGCGATCTGAAGTCCAGCCTCTCCACCTACCACAACCTCCATAATCACACTAATTACATTTTTAAAATCAAGGAAGACAGTGGATCTCTAAACGTGAAAAAAGAAATACCTTCTACTATGTGAAAACTGCCCATCTCATATGGCAACACTTTTATTACGGTAAAGCAATTTATTTATTTATTGAGACAGAGCCTCGCTCTGTTGCCCAGTATGGAGTGTGGTTGCATGGCCTTGGCTCACTGCAACCTCTGCCTCCCGGGTTCAAGGAATTCTCCTGCCTCAGCCTCCCAAGTAGCTGGAATTACAGGGATGCACCACCACGCCCAGCTCATTTTTTGTGTTTTTAGTAGAGACGGGGTTTAACCATGTTGACCAGGCTGGTCTTGAACTCCTGACCTCAGGTGATCCACCTGTCTCAGCCTCCCAAAGTGCTGGGATTACAGGCGTGAGACACCGCACCCAGCCAGTCAATCAATTTAAAATGGGCTGTATACTTGGCATCAGAGATGGAAGTGCAGGTTTCAAGTCACTCTATCTAAATGAAACTACTATGTGTGTGTGTTCATTATATAAATTATATATGCTGACACAGATATACTTAATTATGTACGATGACACACACACATATTTTGCTAACATTTCCTGCAGTATATACTATGTGTCCACCACCAAGTTCCTTACCAACACTGAACTTTTATTAACATATTCCTCCCAACAATCCTATGAGGTAGGTACTGCAATTACCCCAATTATAGACAAGGAAACTCACTCACACAGAGGTCACATGGCTACTAATTGGTACCGGTGGAGGAGATCAACTCAAGTAGCAACTCCAGAGTACATGCTCTTACTCGTTTTGCCTTGCCCAAACTTAAGATAGCTGCCTTCATGTCGTGTAAGAGGATATGACCTCCAATATGAATGGAGAGGGGTAGAGCATGAAATAGAGCATGAAAATCTTGTCTCATTTGAGGTCTGAAGCCACAGACCAAAGAGAAAGTTATATATGCTGTCTTCTGTGTGATGGGCTAGGGCCTGGAGTGGGCTCCAAGTAATACCCAGCAAGGTCATCAACAGAGCACTCCAGTCCAGTGCACTCTGGGAGAGGGATCACTTGAACCCAAGGGCTAGCATCTCGGTCACTTGAATCTTCAGTACCTAGCATGGTAACTGGCATATATTAAGGGATCATAAATGTTTTACTCAATGAATTTCAACAAATGAATCTTTTACAGAGTAGTAATTGACAATGTGGGTTCTGGGACTGGACTGTCTGGTTTTTTTTTTTTTTAATACTTTAAGGGTACATGTGCACAACGTGCAGGTTTGTTACATATGTATACATGTGCTGTGTTGGTGTGCTGCACCCATTAACTCGTCATTTACATTAGGTATATCTCCTAATGCTAACCCTCCCCGCTTCCCCTACCCCACGACAGGCCCTGGTGTGTGATGTTCCCCTTCCTGTGTCCAAGTGTTCTCATTGTTCAATTCCCACCTCTGAGTGAGAACACGCGGTGTTTGGTTTTTTGTCCTTGTGATAGTTTGCTGAGAATGATGGTTTCCAGCTTCATCCATATCCCAACAAAGGACATGAACTCATCATCTTTTATGGCTGCATAGTATTCCATGGTGTATATGTGCCACATTTTCTTAATCCAGTCTATCATTAATGGACATTTGGGTTGGTTCCAAGTCTTTGCTATTGTGAATAGTGCCGCAATAAACATCCGTGTGCATGTGTCTTTATAGCAGCATGATTTATAATCCTTTGGGTATATACCCAGTAATGGGATGGCTGGGTCAAAAGGTATTTCTAGTTCTAGATCCCTGAGGAATCGCCACACTGTCTTCCACAACGGTTGAACTAGTTTACAGTCCCACCAACAGTGTAAAAGTGTTCCTGTTTCTCCACATCCTCTCCAGCACCTGTTGTTTCCTGACTTTTTAATGATCGCAATTCTAACTGGTGTGAGATGGTATCTCATTGTGGTTTTGATGTGCATTTGTCTGATGGCCAGTGATGATGAGCATTTCTTCATGTGTCTTTTGGCTGCATAAATGTCTTCTTTTCAGAAGTGTCTGTTCATATCCTTTGCCCACTTGTTGATGGGTTTGTTTGTTTTTTTCTTGTAAATTTGTTTGAGTTCATTGTAGATTCTGGATATTAGCCCTTTGTCAGATGAGTAGGTTGCAAAAATTTTCTCCCATTCTGTAGGTTGCCTGTTCACTGTGATGGTAGTTTCTTTTGCTGTGCAGAAGCTCTTTAGTTTTAATTAGATCCCATTTGTCAATTTTGGCTTTTGTTGCTATTGCTTTTGATGTTTTAGACATGAAGTCCTTGCCCATGCCTATGTCCTGAATGGTTTTCTTCTAGGGTTTTTATGGTTTTAGGTCTAACATTTAAGTCTTTAATCCATCTTGAATTAATTTTTGTATAAGGTGTGAGGAACGGATCCAGTTTCAGCTTTCTACATATGGCTAGCCAGTTTTCCCAGCACCATTTATTAAATAGGGAATCCTTTCCCCATTTCTTGTTTTTGTCAGGTTTGTCAAAGATCAGATGGTTGTAGATGTGTGGTATTATTTCTGAGGGCTCTGTTGTGTTCCATTGGTCTCTATCTCTCTTTTGGTACCAGGACCAAGCTAAAACACTTTTTAATTTCCCTTTTGATTCTTCTTTGACTTACAGATTATTGAGAAATGTGTTAGTTTCCAAACATTAGGATTTTTCAGATGCCTTTCTGTACTGATCTCTATTTTAATTTCACTGTGGTCAGAAAACAAACTTTGTATGACTTGAATCTTTTAAAACGTATTGTGATTTGTTTTATGGCTCGGAATATGGTCTACCTTGGTAAATGTCCCATTTGCACTTGTCAAAAATATGTATTCTGCTGTCTTTGGGTTAGGTGTTCTATAAATGTGAAGTAGGTCAAGTTAGTCGATAGAATTTTTAAAAATCAGCATTCTTACTGATTTTCTGTCCACTTGTTCTGCTATTGAGAGTAGTGTTGAAATCTCGAACAAAGAATCCTATGGATTTGTTTATTTCTCCTTGCAGTTCTTTTCAGTTTTTGCATAATATATTTTGAAGCTCTGTTACTAGGTACATACATGTTTAGAATTTTTATGTTCTTTTGATGAATTGACCTCTTTATCGATTTTTAAATTTATTGTTATGAAATGACTTCCTTTATCATTATGAACTAACCTTTTTTATCCCTGGTAATATTCTTTGCTCTGAAATATACTTTGATACTAATATAGCCACTCCACTTTTCTTTTGGCTAGTGTTAACTTAGTATATCTTTTTTCATCCTTTTATTTTGAAGCTTTGTATCTTTATATTTAAAGTTGCCTTGCTTTTTTAGGAGAAAATCTAATCTAACAATATATGCCATTTAATTGGGATGTTTAGACTATTTACATTGCGTTTACTGATATAGTTAGGTTTAAGTCTTTTCTCTTGCATTTGTTTTCCTTTGTTTCATCTGTTCTTTGTTCTTTTGTTCTTTTTATGCCTTCTTTTCTATTGGGTAACTTTGTTTGGTCTTTTTTGTTGGTTTATTAGCTATAACTTATGACCTTGATATATTTAAAGAGTAGTGGTTAGGTGTTTTGCAGAAAGTCTTCAATTTGAGTTTATCTGATGTTTTCTCATGATTAGACTTGGTTTATAGATTGGGGGAGGGGGTCAGGTGCTGTGCGGCTAATGCCTGTAATCCCAGCACTTTTGGAGAATGAGGTGGGAAGATTACTTGAGCCCAGGAGTTTGAGACCAGCCTGGGTAACATGTGAGATCCTGTCTCTTAAAAAAAAAAATTAGCAAGGCATAGTGGCACACACCTGTAGTCCCAGCTACTCAGAAAGCCAAGGTGGGAAGATGGTTTGAGTCCAGGAGTTTGAGGCTGCAGTAAGCCATGATTGCGCCACTACACTCAAGCCTGGGTGACAGAATGAGACCATGTCTCAAAATAAATAAATAAAAAATTGGAGGAGGGGATAGATACCATAAAAGTGCAGTGCCCTTCTCATCATATCAAAGGGTATATAATATCATCATGACATGTTGCTGGTATTGCTACCCTGATCACTAGGTTTAGGTGGTGTCTACAAGGTTTCTCCACTGTAAAGTTAGTATGTTTCTTTTTCCCTTTCTATTTTTTAGGAGTTCAGCCCACACTCAAGGAGATGGAAATTAAGCTTCACTTCCTGGAGGGAGGAGAATCAGATAATTTGTGGATGTATGCTAAAATTACCATAATAATTAATAAATATTTCGGTGGATAAGATGTTATGAGGCTATTCAAGTATTCTGATAAAGTTTTTTCATGAATATTGGCAGTCATTAGTGGATGTTCCCTATAGCAGTTATTACTATGGTGTTCTAATGATTATTTCCTATTTCCCTTATTCTTTCTACATTTGTTCATTGTAATTCTCCTGTAAAGAAAATTTGGCCTCTGTCTCTCATTTATTTGCTTATTCATCATTTATGCATATTAGTGTGGATTTATGGGTATTGTATTCTTTGTATTATAATCCAATAGTATCATAATTTTTTTTCTTAAAATCTTCCAGCTTTGGCCACTGGAAGCTCTTTCAGGTGGCTGGGATTTTTTGTCGTTGTTTGTTTTTTAGCACTTTCTTGCTCTCTGACACTACAGGGTGCTCCAGGCTTATCTTGTATTTTCCCTGTCCTAGAATCAGCCATTTTTCAGGGAGCCCTGATTCTTTTTACTAGAGAATGGTATATGGGAAACTAGACCTGGGTACTAGAAATGCTTTTGGTTATCAGGTGTCACTGCTTCTAGGCTCTCGGTGAACAGGGCTAGGAGATACATGTATTTATATCCACGTATACACACATATCTATACTATTTCTCTATTTGTATCTATGTTAAAATAAACATTAGTTTATAGTGGTATGTCTGACTCAAATTCAGCACTACAGGGTTAATTCTAGCATTTTCCCCTTGCATATTCATTCTTTGATGTGAGAAACTTGGCTGTCATTACCTACAACGTATTTATAGTTATTTGTTTAACCAAGACAAGGATATCTGCTCACACCATTTCTACTCAACACCATATTGGAGGTTCTAGCCAATACAACCAGGCATGAAAAAGAAACTTAAAAAAAAAACAATCCACGGCCAGGCACAGTGGCTCATGCCTGTAATCCCAGCACTTTGGGAGGCTGAGGTGGGTGGATCATCTGAGGTCAGGAGTTTGAGACCAGCCTGGCTGAGATGGTGAAACCCTGTCTCTACTAAAAGTACAAAAAATAAAATAAAATAAAATAACCGGGGATGGTGGTGGGCACCTGTAATCCCAGCTACTCAGGAGGCTGAGGCAGAAGAATTGCTTGAACCCGGGAGGCGGAGGTTGCACTGAGCTGAGATCACACCATTGCACTCCAGCCTGGGCGACAAGAGCAAAAAACTCCATCTCAAAAAAAGAAAAACAATCCAAATTGGCGGGGAAGAAGTAAAGCTGTCTTGATGTCTTCCCTTATTAGAGAGAAATATTTGGTAGTTTGCAGTCTGTTCTACCTCAGGAGAGACTGCAGTAAAACTGATGTGAACATCTCAGAATTCAACTGTTTTGTAAATACCACCACCCCTTCCACTTTCCTTCAGCATCCCAGTTACCACTGGAATATTTTATAGCATATTTATTTTTCCTTTAACATGTTAAACCTAAAGCCCAGGTTTTGCAGCTTGAATATGTTTCCTCTTGTTGATATGACAGTGGGATATGACAGTGGAGTGAAACAAAGCAAACGAATAACTGGTCCCTGTCTTCCATGCAATGGTCTTTGATAGGTGAGATTCCCTTATATTTTCAAGTTCGGTTCCTGAAGTAGCTCATCCATTCAGATTCTGAAGAAGGGTGATCACTCCTGCACTGTCTTCAAGATAACAGTGAAGGCTAGTTCCATGTACCTCCGAAGGGTACTGTGAGCCCTAAAGAGGCTATACTGGATGGGGGTTAATGCAGAATGTCTGCAGTTGGAATGCAGGTGTAACTTTGAATTATTTTTTTGTAGCATATGAGAGCACACATTCCTCTCTTGGAATTCTGATACCAGAATCTGTAATCACATGCAAATAGTGTTTATGGGACTGGGCTCACACAGAAAGTAGCTTCATGCCAAGGTCTTATGCTCAGGGCAAATATTAGGGATAATGTATTTCCAAATGAGTTATTTTACTGAACAAGAATATGCCTTGACACATGTTCTGTGTTTAGTCATACACATTTGTCATGCCTCAGTACCTCTAAGATGGGTCTCATGGCAACAGGCAGGAGGATTTTATGTGTTCATCTGTGCTTTAGAGCCAAGAATATTTTATAATTGGTCTGACTGGTCTGCAGTTAGAAAAAGTAACAGTGCCAGGCTCATGCAAAGATGGTGACCCTCCCTCCACCCATCATTTTTATATTTCCATTATTTCAGTGTAGAACTGAGCCCATGGTGAGTCAAGCCAAGTGCTGTACAGTTCCATCTCCTTTGCACAGGTTCTCCCTGAGTTACTGAAAACACTGGGAAGTCATTGCACCACTACAATGGAAGTGGTGCTGTCCTTCAGGCTATTCTCACTTCCTCCTCTCTGTCCTCTCTTTGTCTCTGGCCTCCCCCTGCCTGTCTCCCACCAACCCCAACCTTGTCTGCTCTGCTGCCTTCACCCTGCCTTTACTCTTCCTCCTCTCTCCCTGCCACCACTCCTTCTTTGATATTTTATCCACGTTTTTACTTGGTGGTTTGATGGTGAAAGTGTATATAAGACCCAGCCATTCCCTTTCTCTTTTGTCTTTCCTCATAGCTTCGATTAACATGGCAATAATTTCCTCCCCATGATAATCCTGGACTTTCCACTTATGCTTTAAAAGCCTTTCAATTGGAGATGAGAGCGGGGTTGGTTAACGGTCTTTCCAGGTTAGCCGTTTCTTCGAACACTTCTATTTAAGGTGGCTGCTAGGTGGAGTTTTACTCTGGTGTTATCTGACTGGATTAATCAGATTTGTGCTCAAGAAATCTTTTTTTTTTTTTTTTGATACAGAGTCTTGCTTTTGTTGCTCAGGCTGGAATGCAGTGGCATGATCTCAACTCACTGCAGCCTTTACCTCCTGGGTTCAAGCAAGCACATCGGCTAATTTTTGTATTTTTTTTTTTAGTAGAGACAGAGTTCCGCCATGTTGGCCAGGCTGGTCTCAAACTCCTGATCTCAAGTGATCTGCCCTCCTCAGTCTCCCAAAGTGCTGGGATCACAGGCATGAGTCAGCACGACTGGCAAGAAGTCTTTGGTGGTTTGGGTTTGGAAATGATAGAATCAAATAGAAAGAAAAGATTGTACACTCAAAGAAATAGCACCTGCTTTGAGGTCTTCCTGCTGGCTTAACCCTGGGGTGTTACATGGTACTGCTCTGACTCAGCTTTTAGGATCGCCACTGGAAGAGCTTTTCATATAATGTCTATACAGTGAAATGACTTAAGATTTTTCTTTTAAGAAGTGCCATTGCCAGAGTATTAGTGTTTAGGATTCTCCAGAGAAACAGAACTATTAGGAGATAGAGAGATAGAGATGTATTATAAGGAATTGACTCACACGATTAAGAAAGCTGGTGAGTTCAGAATCTGCAGTATGGGCTAGCAGGCTGGAGACCCAGGAGAGTCGACGATGCCAGTGAAGTCTGCAGGGCAGTCTGCTGGAGGAGTTTCCTCTTGGAGAGGAGGCCAGTCTTTGTGTTTTATTTAAATGATCAGGTGAGGCCCGCCCTCATTATGGAGGGCAGTCTGCTTTACTGAAAGTTCACAAATTTAAATGTTAATCTCATCTTAAAAACCCTCCAAGTTGACACATAAAATTAACCCTCACAGCTAGGTTTATTTGGAATTCCATGATACTTGGTTGGGTCTTTTTGTACTTTCATTTTCAATGGTCTGTTTTGTATATAACCATTTAGTTAAGCCAGGTCACAAAATATAACCAGGACTTCAGCTGGCTGTGCTCTTGTCAGAACCCATATTTGATCGATTTACTATATACTTTGCTGTGTGTATGGGTGAGTGGGTCTGTAAAATGCTGATATGTGTTCTTTATCCACCCCCACCTCCCACCCCCCATTTTCTCTTAAATTCCTTAAAAAATTGGTGAAGGAACTAAGACATTGCTGCAAAGATGCTATTTTATGGGATATATTCTTCTCTAGGGTAGACTCTGCGAAGCAGCTGTACAGCAGCGGTCTGCTGTGAAGGGTAAACATGTAGCCTTTCTCCACTAGAAAGCCTGCGCTGCCGTTGTATGTTTAGGCTTGAGCCTCAGCGGCTAGTGCAGCCTCGCAGTAATGCATGCTGACGTGAGTCCTGGTCAAGGAAAAATGTCTTTTGAGCAAGAGACAAACTGGACAGAATGCCAGCAAGCTAAATATAACTCCTTAGAGAGCCAGACATGCATAAACTAGTTCTTAGTGAGCAACACATCAGATTCAGAGTGGAAACATTTTCTAAAAGAACTTCTTTTCCTTCTTGGCTTACTGTAATGAGTATAAACCCAAATTAATTTAATTTTTCGTGGAAAGCTAAGACAACCATTGATTTTTCTCTCAGCATCTCTGCAGTTAAATGTTAGTAGCCATTGTTAATGTTGGAAGCCTCCCGTCTCCCAGTGCCCCAGCATTCTGTTCATGAGTCAACAAGTCTGCTCTGCTATTCCGATGAGTTTCACTACCACAAGGAAAGAGGACGGGGAGTTTGCACATTCAAACCTTGACGAATCTGGGAGTTCAGTTTTTCATGGACCCTCACTCTGCTTCAGGATGCTCACGCCATTATGTGAAAACTCTTAGCAAAATCCATCAAAATGAGCCAGGCTCTATGGAATCAGGAAATTTGTGGGCTGAGACTAACATTACCTCAATATCTGTTATGGCTTAAATGTATTGTTTTAATAATATTTTATGTTAGTTCTTTTTGCCTGAAGCTGTAGAAGCATTTTATAGCCAGTAACTCTTCAGAATAGTACAGGAAAGCAGGCGTCATCCTCATGCTCAACAATAGAGCTGTGTTTCTGTGCACCAACCGCAGATGCTGGGTCTGGCCCCCACAGAAGGAGTGCCTCAGTAGGGCATCCCAAATGGGGCTGTGCATAGCGTCACTCCAGAGGCTGGGGACAGTGCAGATCCAGACCTTTCCCAGCCTGTTGAGTTAGAACTGGGGGACTGTGCTCCAGGGCGTGAGGAGGTGGGTTGGGAAATGGTATTTTAAACAAGCGAAGTGATTGTCATATAACTTGTCTGGCATCAGATCCGCAGACTCTGGCAGAGTTTCCGGAAGGTCTCTCAAAACTGAAATAAGAAACTGCAGTTGTTGTCCACAGCTGCTAAAATTGTTCCAAATTAGGAAAGGGAAGGGGAAACAGAACACAGTAGTTCCAGAGAAGAATCTGAGGAGCCGTGTGAGCTAGGAAGGCCATTGTGAGCAGAAGCGAGTCAGTATTTCCTCATTTCCTCTCCTGCCTTATCATTCCCATCTGCCAGCTCCCTCCTTTTTTTTTTTGAGCATGTAAAACATGTTTTGTTGTTCTTTAAAAGGGTTCAGGGTTTGGTTTTAAATCAGGCTGCACACCTTTCAAATCATTCTGACATCTCTCTATGTCAAACTGGCTTCAGCTAGCAATACTTCATTAAATCCAAAAGAAAAAGATTCCTTTAATTTTAAGGAAAAAAATCCAGTTTTGAGAACAATTAACATTAGTCTTTAATTTAAAAGAAAATGAGGGCTAATGTTTCATGTTGCTTTATACATCCTTCTCCTCAATACAGAACCAGGAATGTAATTTTCCTAACTTGGGCAGGCACTGATACTGATGGACACTGCGTGCATGTGTGCGCACACACACACACACACACACACACACACACCCTCCTCCCAAACAAAATTCAGAGTGTGTCAAAGGGAAAAGGTTTGTCATGGTATTGATCAAAACACTTGGAGTCAACACTGTCTACCTTAGCTTAGCACGTGTGCTGTTTTGATCTTGAGTCTATATTAATGGAATCTGTTGTTGTGTTTTGAAATGGAGAATTTTGGATATACCATTATTTTTTTACTTTTAAGTCCCAGAAACAATTTCAGAAAGCATTATTTTGTTTTGTTTTCTGGGATGGGAGAAGAGAGAATCTACAGATTTGTATTTAGTTAAAAATCAAAACTCCAGCAATAGGAAATAGGCAGTTCACATAGCCGGCCAACATTTGAGGTATCATCAGTGTGAGACAAGGTCCCGGTCTGTTCCTACTGGCCTAGCTGACGCTAACAAAATGGGAGGCTTATGGCTCTGCACAGCAAATTCCAGCAAGATAAGATGACTTTAAGCCTGTATTCAGAGCCTTAGAAGCAGGGCACTACTGAGAATGTAATATTTAGAGGTAAAAATAGTGCAAGAGCCCCTGATGGTACCCCTCTACCTGCTTTGTCCATGCAGCCTGATCGTAACTGCCTTCCACAAAGGATCAGAAAAACACCTCTTCTGGATCAGTCCACTAAACCCAGCCAAGAATCTGCAGAAATGCTGCTACACCGCTTCACCAGCAACACAGTCCCTGCGCTACTCACTGCGTTGCCCAACGTTGCTTTTCTACCCTGTTATGGCCTGTGGACACATACTCACTAGGCATCATCGCTGGTTTTAAACCAGGGATATTTTTTAATCTCAAAAGAACCTAGTAATAACAAGGCAATCAATGGTTAAACTGAACTTTACATATAGGGGGCAGTTTGGAAAACACCACAAGCATTTCTCAAGTCGAAAATATGTGAATTCGCTGCTATTTCTTTGACCGTTTCTGAACATTCACAGTACAAGTCCTAAAATAAAAATTTTAAGCTACCAGCATTCTCTGATACTAGACAGAAAATCAGAGTAACGCTACAGCCCACAATTGTACAGGGTGTAGAAAGTAGGCCCACTGCCTGGACATCTTTGTTGATGGCCTGGAGTCCTCCCTTTTAGAAGACAAGTTTCTGGGATATCCACTTAGTTTCACTGGTTAGGGAAGAGAAGAATTCAACTCTCAGCTAACTTCTTTGAGAAGAGACTCCTCTTAAAATGCCATTTCCCCACTAATTTATCAAAATAAAACAAAAGGCTCTTGGCTACTTTGTCTAGTATTAGATAGGGTTTTGAGGAAAAGAAGCTAACATGAACACCCTTTCATCAGTAAAGACTAAAAACCACCTGGATCATATAATATATCTATATGTCACTGCTTTTATTTATTTAGTTATTTGTTTGTTTATTTATTTAAAAGTGCCCAGGTGGGCTTAAGGCTGCCAGACTGCACGTACATCTACGGCAACAAGGGCTTCTATTCCATCTACAACTTGCATCAGGGGAAAAAGGGACATGTAGGAGAGGAAGGAAAAAAGGAGAAAAATACACCACCACCCCCCCCCCCCCAAAAAAGGGAAAAAGATCCCACCACAGGGAGATCTATGTGCCAAGCATAATGAAGAGTGTGCTCCCCAGACAGATGGTTCTGCACAGGCTAATGTTCTGCTGGTTTTCCTTAGAGACCTATTTTGAAAAAGTTTAAAAAGACAGATTTCAAAATAATTCAATCCTGGCAGAAATTCAAACTCCAAAACTAGGAGCAAAATCATCCTTCACTGAATTAATTCCTTTTCTCTTTCTCTTTTCTTAAACATTTTATTCATTTTATAGAGAGATTTCTTTTTTGTTTGCTTTTGTTCCAATCATGAGGAGAGTGGTTGAGGAGTAGTGAATCCATCACTACTTTGATGACACAGGTAAGATTCCAGATTCACATTTCCAGGTACCAAGGGTTCCCTCTAAATGCCACAATCAAGTGAGCCTTCATTTACATTTCTTTCTACTGAACACAGCAGTGCCCGTTGGTATCTCTGAAGCGTAATCACATCTTAGGTCAGTATTTCTCCAAGTAAAGCAGCTGTTTGGAATTGAAGGCCCCCCTTCTTTTTTGTGTTATAAACTGAACTGCATCTTCGTACTTCATTCCATATTCAATCAAAGCAAGTGCAACCAGCACAGGTGCCCTTCCCAATCCCGCAACACAAGGCACTGCAACACAGCCACCTGGCTCTTCACAGAATTTGGTTTATAACAGGTTTAACCAATCATCTACTATCTGATTAGGGGGTGGAGCTCCATCATCAAATGGCCAATCTAGAAGGTGGATTCCTTCTTTTTCAACTGGAGCTTTATCATACGTAGCATCACAAACTCGAACCAAAGTCATCACTCCATACTTCTTAAGTTCCTCTGGGAACTCGTTGAGAGTAGCACTGGTAGGGTTGTGAGTTACAAGAAAACGCATGTTCTCACAGGAAATCTCCACAGGGGCTGGACGGTTCATTATGGCAAATGAAAAATGTGAGTGTGCGTGTGAGTGTGATGGGAAAAGTGAAAGAAATCAATAAATCAAAATGTTTCACAGCAGAAAACATTAAAAAGACCACTAAAATGCCTATTATCAATCAGTGTTTTCTCTATTCAACTTGTTTATTCCTTATGAAGCTTCTGTCTTCAAGATAAGCAAAGTATTTAGAATCCACTTGAATCCAAATTCAACTTGGGCCTCAATTTCTGCAGATGGATACCTTCGGACTCCAAAAAAATCCAACTACATAAGCAGCCTTTACTACATTTAGGCACTAGTGAGGCAAGTTAAAAGTGTAGGTCGCTTTCCACTTGTTTCCTTGATGCCTAATTTTACTGGAGTCATTAAAAGAAATATGCTTGCAATTAAAAAAAAAAGCCAGCTATTTCTGAGGCCGGTCGGTGTGTCCAGGAGTGTTCAAGGCAGTGTTAATTATGGCACATAGAACCTCTAAGCTTGTCAGCGAAAACGCTGTGCTGAGCCCGGCAGAAGTCTGCCCTCACACTCAGAATCGCCGTAAATGTGCAACGTATATTCCAACGAAAAACGCTGGCGAGCGGGGACCGGGCATTGAAGTCCGGCGGTGGCAGGAGCGAGGAGGCGCCCCTCTCCTCAGTTACCTCTGCGGCAGCGGCGACGACACCCCCCAGCCTCAGCGCGCGACACCCGCCCGGTGGCGGCGGCGCGTCTCCACGAGTCTGTCTTGCTGCTGCTCCTGCAGCCGCCGCTGCCCTGTGGTGTCGCCTCCCGAGGTGCACGGCCGCCGCCACTGCTGCTCCAGCCGCTCCCGGACGGACAACGGCTACAGCCCGGCCGATCGTGCCGCCGCCACCGCCGCTGCACGGGCAGCCAAAAGCAGCTCCCGCCCCCTCTTCTCTCTCTCAACTTAGTTCCACATCTTCCCTGGAAGGAAGAGATGGCTGTGTTGAAGATGACGGTGCCAGCTGCACATCATGTCAGAGGCTTTTTTTAGGTCGCTTCCCTTGCAGACTCATCCAAGATAGGGTTTTACTCAAACAATGGGATCTCCTTTTAGGCTTCAAGGTCTGATTCATGTTTTCCTTTTCGTACAGATCCTCTTCCCACTTTATTTGTTGCTTTCTTTTTTAGTTCTGGATAGATTTTAATATTGTATTTCTTCTTATAAGATTATACAATAAAGCAAGAAGTAGGGAGTAAGAGGCAAAACTCCCAGCTTCTGGTTTTTACTTTGTACTTGTAGCCATTGACCTCGCTAGCATCCGATCCCCTGTCTGGGACATGAGTGTAGTCATCTTTCCATCGATGGATGCTGGGAAGCTGAATCGGTGTTGAGAACGTGCTGTGAGACGCAGCACAGAATGTGAGCCCCGACAATACTCAGGAGAATGTACAGCTCGTTCAAGTCCCAGCAGCACTGTGTGCTCATCCTGTAGCTCCTTCCTGCTTTGCTAATTATCAAAATGTTGGTAGGAGAAAGCACAGTGTCTGCTTTGTTTTTTCTCTACATTAGACATCAGTCCTACAAGCTGGTTGACAGGCCTCTTCAGAAAAAGCACCCCGATGGGTTCATTTTCCTCTTCAGCAGAATAGTCAACTGATCTACAGGAAGCAGCGTACCTTCACACTTGCTCTATGTCAAAATCATGCTCTTTGTGAAACTAAAGGTCTCACTTTCCTCTGTCCTTCTCTCTCTGCACACTGCTGATTGGCTGGCTCCTCATATGTGAAAATTCGTGTTCTGTATAGCTGGTAGGTTTTCCTGCGACATCCCTTCCCTGTCCCACCCTTGTCTTCCCAGGAAAAGCATAGATTTTCCTTGTGGACAACTGTCCATAAAGGTAGAATGCTAGTAATACTTGAGCCTAGAAATTACTTAACCAGATGACAGTAAAACTTAGAAATTGATCCCAAGGTCCTCTGGCTCTCTACCCTGCATTTGCTTTGCTGAGGCTCTCTAAACAAATGAGGAAAAGGCTGTTGTTCAGAGGTGGTGACTCATATGCAGATGGATGGCCACAGTGCGCTCCATCCCTGCCATCTCTCTTTGTCATCCTCTGTCTTGCCCATGCTGCAGTGCCTTGCAGATTTGTTTATATGCATGACTTTGTCATCTGTTGCTGAGAGCTGAGGAAAACCTCCTGACTGGTAAGTGCCTGTGCTGTTTATCTTAGGGCAACCCACATTTCTACATGCTTTAAAGCAGGCTTCAGAACTGGGTTACTTTTTATACAGAAGTGCATGTTGCCTGAGCCTCTTTATTAGTGTGGTTCAAACATGAGCACACAGATATGGGAGGGATTTTGCTGAGGACTGTGAGTTGGAGATGATTCAGGAAGTCTATGACAGAGCTAGGATAGCAAAGTCAGTTTCCTGGTCAGGTCTTCCTGTGTAGAAAACTGTGCTAGATACCACTGTGCATGGCAAGGGGCATGAATCTGGAAGTAAAACTGTCTTCTGTCTAAACTCTGAATCCTAATTTTGTCTCCACTCTAAATCCCACTGATTATTAGCTGTTTAATACCTAGTTCTGGCCTTAAGGATAATAATAACTTCTCCTTCTCTGTCATTGTGACAGATAAACTGGCACTGATGCATTGTAGGATAGCTTTGCCTTTGGGCCATCTTAGTGTCACTTAGCATTTGAGAAATAAGTGGCTAGATTATAGAGAAGGAATTATCAAACTATTATCTCTTGCCACATTTCTGGTCAAGCATGCACACAATAAAAACAAAACACCAAAGCGTGTAGTTAATCTCTTGCATGAAGTCATAGGAAGAAGAAGAATTGTAGGCATCAGAATGTAATAGAAAGAGTGTTAGACATGGAGTTTAAGAATACAGCTTGAAGTGCTGGCTCCATCACTTGGCTGTGGACTATAGGCAAGCCACTTGGCCACATCATCGGTTGTAAATTGGAAATGATACCACTTGCTCTGACTGTCTTGAAGAGTGACCCTAAGGAATTAATCTGAATCATTTTCACTTCCTTCCCTACTTCTGGAACTATGATGTCTGATGGCCCTGGTTTCAAGAATAAGAACTAATGCCATTGTAGTGAGTCATTTTAAAACTTGATGCCTTTTGGCCGGGCGTGGTGGCTCACACCTGTAATCCCAGCACTTTGGGAGGCCAAGGCAGGTGGATCATATGAGGTAAGGAGTTTGAGACCAGCCTGGCCAACATGGTGAAACCCCGTTTCTATTAAAAATACAAAAAATTAGCCGGACGTGGTGGCACATGTCTGTAGTCCCAGCTACTCTGGAGGCTCAGGCAGGAGGATCACTTGAGCCCCGGAGGTGGAGGTTGCAATGAGCTGAGATTATGCCACTGCATTGCAGTCTGAGCGACAGAGTGAGACTCGATTTCAAAACAAAATAAAACTTGATGCCTTTGAAAATAAATACAGAATTAGTTTAATATATTTCTAACAAGTAGGCACAACAGAGAATGGAGTGACAACCGCTGCTCCTAGAATCACATTAAGAAAGGCATAGAAGAGAGGAAACAGAAGAGAGTAAGTGAGGCTGGTCAGTATTCAGGGGACCTCTCCATCATCACCTGTGCACTCTCTGGGCTCTTCTTACTCCTCTCTGCACTGGATGTCCAGACAGACATGCCTTTCTTGTTGGGAACCAAGTGCCTCTAAGAAAGCACATATTGACCCCCACTATGAATCAAACAGTGGTTTTTTTGTTTATAAAAGTGAAATCAGTCTTTGGGGTGTTGCTTACAGTTTAAAAAAAAAAGGAAAAGAAAGAAAAAAGAAAGGTTTTCCTCTTGGGCTTTTTAGCCTTGGCCTGAAACTGAGCTGATATATTGTTATTATCACTTGAGAACACAACAGCCTGAGGTCCAGTCGTCTCCTTAATGTAGCTGGGGATGCCATTCCATGTGGTTTTAGAAATCCTTTGTTATTTCTGCTCACCTGCAGAGACAGCCCTCCTGGGAGTGGACCCCAGAGTCTGTATCATCAGAACTCACCTCTCTCTGAGCTGGGATTAAATGTCATTGAACAAAATACTTAACAGCCTTTGTCAACTGTGAATTCAAGCATATTTTGGTACTCAAAAATTTAGAATTTCTGTATTTGGTATAAAGTCAGATGATATGGTTTGGCGGTGTGTTCCACCCAAATCTCATCTCAAATTGTAATCTCCATGTGTCAAGGAGGGGGCCCTGGTGGACGTGATTGGATTATGGAGTTGGCTTCCCCCCATGCTGTTCTCATGATTGTGAGTTCTCATGAGATCTGATGGTTTAAAAGTGTGTGGCAGTTCCCCCCTTATTCGCTCACTCGTGTGCATGTGTGCTCTGTCTCTCTCCTCCTTTCCCCTGCTGCTTTGTGAAGAAGGTGCCTGCTTCCCCTATGCCTTCCACCATGATTGTAAGTTTCCTGAGGCCTCAGCCATGTGGAACTGTGAGTCAATTAAACCTTTTTTCTTAATAAATCACCCAGTCTCTGGTAGTTCTTTATAGTGTGAAAATGGACTAATATATTGGAAAATACTATTTTTACATTTTTTGTATCTTTCTCTTGCTCTGTATTCATTTCCATTCCCCTCTGTATTAGTTTACTAGGAGTTGCCTAACAAAATACCATAAAGAGGTGGCTTGAACAGCAAAAATGTATTTTCACATAGTACTGCAGGCTGGGAAGTCCAAAATCAAGGTGCTGGCAGGGTTGGTTTCTCCTGAGACCTCTCCTTGGCCAGTAGGTGACTGCCTTCTTGCTGTGTCCTCATATTATCTTTCCCCTGTGCAGGCACATCCCTGGTATCTCTTCAAGTTCTTTTTTTTTTTTTTTTTGACAGAGTCTCGCTCTGTTGCCCAGGTTGGAGTGCAGTGGCGTGATCTCGGCTCACTGCAAGCTCCACCCAGGTTCACGCCATTCTCCTGCCTCAGCCTCCCAAGTAGATGGGACTATAGGCACCCGCCACCATGCCTGGCTAATTTTTTGTATTTTTAGTAGAGATGGGGTTTCACAGTGTTAGCCAGGATGGTCTCAATCTCCTGACCTTGTTATCTGCCCACCTCGGCCTCTGAAAGTGCTGGGATTACAGGCGTGAGCTACTGTGCCCAGCCTCTTTTCAAGTTCTTATAAGGACACTAGTCATATTGGATTAAGTCCACACCCTTATGACCTTCTTTAACATTAATTACTGTCTCAAATTTAAAGCCTTTAAATTTGAAACTTGCTATTCTCTGGACCTCTGGAAAGTCATTGGTCCCTAGATAGCAAGTAGAATAATGATAATAAATGGTCCCTCTTCTAAAATGTTTAACTTACTTATCTTCAGTTATTGGTGAAAGAAGGGTAAGTTTTTAAATAATATTTTACATTTGAGAAAAATTGGAGTATGCAAAATCATATTAAAAGTCACTAAGAGGCCAGGCGTGATGGCTTACGCCTGTAAGCCTAACACTTTGGGAGGCCGAGGTGGGCAGATTGCTTGAGCTCAGGAGCGCGAGACCAGCCTGGGCAACACGGTGAAACCCCATCTCTACTAAAATACAAAAAATTAGCCGGGCGTGGTGGCAGGCGCCTACAGTCCCAGCTACTCGGGAGGCTGAGGCAGGAGAATCGCTTAAACATGGGAGGCGGAAGTTGCAGTGAGCCGAGATCGCGCCACTGCACTCCAGCCTTGGTTACAGAGTGAGATTCTGTCTCCAAAAAAAAAAGTCAGTAAGAGTATTAAAAACGGCCCCAGATAGTTCATAGCTTTGTCATGTAACAGAGTTTTGAAGATGGAATTATAAGCACATCGAGTAGTTACCTCTGTCCTGGATTAAGCTACCTAGTTCTGGATTGAAAACACATTTGCTAGTTCTACCTGAAGCAATTAAATCCTGGGAAAACATAAGCCCACAATGCCAGTTTACCGACTTACAGTGAGAATGAGAGCTCCGTTATCAAAGAAACATTGAAAGAGCAAAGACACTAACTCAGTCTATGTTTGGATTGGTGTAGATTTCTCTCATGCCATTTGCTATATTGTATTGAAACTATCTGTGTCTTTTTCCCCTACTTAAAATAAGTAACTTTTCCAGAAACTTCTTGGGTTCTTAGGTATTATGGTTGGGAATCAGATACAAAGATGAATAAGAATTACTAAAAAAAAAATAGTGACAAGGCTAACTTACAGTGATCTCAGCAAAATGGTGGACTGGGAAGTTCCAAGCTCCTGTTCACCAGCAGAAAAATTAAAAAATCACCCAGTAGCTATTTGAACCGACGTTGTAGAAGCTCTGAAATCAGTCAAACGAAGATTATAGCAACCAAGCAAATATCTAACCAAAAAGAGCCATCTTTAAACCAGTAGGAAAGATTTGTGGTATTTTTACACACCCTTGCCCTACCCTCTCCCTGGCATAGTAGCTGATTTGGTCTTGAAGAGGCAACAGCTATTCCGCAGCTTTCCTCTCAAACCGGAGGGAACAGAGCAGACATTATTTGCAAATTAATGTGTATGTCTATTCCAGCCTTTCTGGGGGATACCTGAAGGCCTAATGCAAGGTGCTTGTCTCTGTCTTGTATAATCAGGGAAGCAGGCAGTAAAACCAGTGGGCACTGCTATTAAAAGCTACAGAGTGACTATAAACCTACAGACGCCTGAAGAGATTCTGGCTGGACATGTACAATAGGCCCTGTAAGGCCCAGAGGAGAAACTGGGTGAGATTCTTAGGAAATTACGACTCTCAAAAGCAGCCACATGTATGAAGGAAAATAGAAAGCTGTGATCATGTCAGGCAAGACACATGATCAGAAAAGCCCTGACAAGATGCTAAGATTCATCCCAGGCTGATCTCTAGATTCAGAATAAGCCTAGCTAAGAGATGAAGGAGTACCCCTGCACAGAGCCAGTCTCCAAAGACTCAGACGGCTATAATATGCTCTTTTTTGGGGGGGCGGGGGGGTGGTTGTTGTAGTGTTTGTTTATTTCAGCTTTTGGCACTTAAGACAGTCTTGATTATACTCTTATAATAGCTGAACACAAGGTTAAGGAACCTCAGTGACCAAACTTGAAAAGGAATAGTCTTCTGAGTCTCAAATGGACTACTACAGCCTTAAACAGTAATTTTTTTAAAAAACACAGCAAATCTTGGGGGAGGGGGGACAATCTGATTTCCAGAGTTAACCGTATTATAATAATCAAATGCCAGATTTTCAACAACAGCATCAACAACAACAACAAAAAATAACAGAGCATACAAAGAAACAGGAAAACATGGCTCATTTAAAGGAACTAAAGGGATTGACAGAAACTGTCCCAGAGGCAGCACAGATATTGGACTTATTAGCCAAAGACTATTTGTTTAAAATATGCACAAACACCTAAGGGGAGAACATGGACAAAGAACTAAAGGCAATCAGGCAAACAGTCCCTGAAGAAAAGGACACTATCAATAAAGACATAGAAATTACAGAAATGAAACAAATTTTGGAACTGAAAATACAATAACTGAAATGAAAAATTTACTAGAGGGTTTCAACAGCAGATTGATGCAGATAGAAGAAAGAACTAGCAAAGTAGAAGTTAGGACGATTAATTATCAAGTTTGAGGAGCAAAAAGAAAAAGGAAGGAAGAAAAGTGAACAGAGTCTAAGCGACTCATGGGACTAATAAGTGGACCATCATATGCATTGTGGGAGTTTTAGAAGGGGGAGAAATACTGGGCAGAAAGATTATTTTGAGAAATAATGAAGAATAAACTCCCCAAATTTGATGAAGGGCATAGACCCACAAATCCAAAAATCTCACTAGACTCTAAGTAGAATCAACCAAAGAGACTCACACTGAGACACATGATCAAACTTGACAAAGAGAAATTCTTAAAAGCACCCAGAGAGAGGTGACTCAGCAGATACAATTAATCTTCAAGAAGACTATAAGCTGAATTTTTACCAGAAACCTTGGAGGCCAGAAGGAAGTGGGGTGATATATTTAAAGTGCTGCAAGAAAACAATTGTAAAACACAAATTCTATATCCAGCAAAACCATCCTTCAACTATGAAGCAGAAGTTAAGACATTGCCAGATAAGTGAAAGTTGAGGGAGTTAATTACCACCAGACCTCTATAGGAAATATGAAAGGGAGACCCGCAGGTTGAAATGAAAGAATACTTAGACAATAATTCGAAGGTGTATGAAGATATTAAGATCTCCGATAAAGCTAATTTCACGAGTTAATATTTATAATTTTGGTTTATAATTGTGATTTTTGAAGAAATTATAACACAAATTCAGGTCAGTTATGTCCTGATTATATCCCAGTAGGTTAGACTCTGGTAAGACAATTTCTCTTTTGGGCAGGCCTTGTTAAGGACAGAATGCTTCAGAGGTATTTCAAAATGGCTAACATTTCCCCTCCCTATGCCAGGAGTATGGGGGGATTTTTCTCCCATCTTCACTGAGAGAACCAGGGAGGACCCCTGGAGATAAAACTCACGAGAATGTCTGGGGGGGCCTGCTAAGACTGGGCCCCATAGAGTTTTTAACTCTCAGACTTGTTGGCACTGAGCCTCCAATGATTCATCATTTATAGTTTAGGTTTTCCTACTCTGGTACTGGTGGTTCCTGCAGAGGCTTCTTCTCCTGAGTTTCTGCTCTGCAGGTTGGGATTCTTTATCTGCCTGTCTGTCTCTCCAATCTGGAGACAGTGTTTTGACCTGTGACCTCACTTCTCTGACAAATCTAAGAAGAGTTGATTTTCAGGTTGTTCAGCTTTTTACTTGTTGTCAAGATGGATGAGGGTTTCCAAGCTGTTTGCATGCTAGACTGAGAACCAGAAGTTCTGCATGTTGGTTTTGTATCCTGCAGCCTTGGTGAACTCATTTATTTATTCTAATATTTTTGGTGTGTGGAATATGTAGGGTTTTCTACATCTAAGATCATGCCAGCTACAAACAGAGATAATTTTCCTACTTCCTTTCCAACTTCGATTCCTTTTTTGTCCTTTTCTTGACAAACTGCTCTTGCTAGAAATTCCAATATCATGTTGAATAGAAGTGGTGAAAGTGGGCATCGTTGTCTTGTTCCTGATTGTAGGGGAAAAACTTTTGAGTCTTTCACCACTGAATATGCTGTCAGCTATAGGTTTTTCATATATGACCTTTATCATCTATAGAAAGTTCTTTCTATTCCTAGTTTACTGAGTGTTTTTATCTTGAAAGGATTGTTGCATTAGTTCAGATGCTTTTTCTGCATTAGTTGGGATGATCATGTCATCCCAACTTTATTAATATGTTGTAATACTGTAATTGATTTTTATGTGTTTCAGGAAGAAATCCCACTTGTTAGGTACTTAACTCCAGCCGCCTCTAGTCATCTTTCCACCCAAGGGGAGTGGGGACTGAGACACAGTGGTGAAGGTCACAGCCCAAGGGTATAGTCTTACTGAAAGACTGAGACCTAATCATAGGTCTATAGAATCCTTCCCCCCTACACACACACCTTACCACCACAACACTAAAGCCTTGTTTACTACAGTTTATTTTCCTGGGTAATCATGTCTGGCTTTCAGCAAAAAGTACAAGGCATACTAAAAAGCAAAAACAGTTTGAGGAAATGGAGCAAGCATCAGAACTCTGATATGGAAGAGATGTTGGAATTATCAGACTGGGCATTTAAAACAACTCTGATTAATATGCTAAGGGTTCTAATGGGAAAAGTAGATAACATAAGTAGATAACATGCAAGAACAGATGGACAGTGCAAGCAGAGAGATGGAAATTTTTAGAAAGAATCAAAACGAAACACTAGAGATAAAAAAAACTAGCAGAAACGAAAAATGTTTTTGATGGACTCAACCTCTGAGCTTGAGGATATGCCAACAGAAACATCCAAAACTGAAGGCACAGAGAGAAAGATGACCTAAAAAATGGAACAGAATATACAAGAAGTGGGCAACTACAGAAGATTAACATACTTGTAAATGATAATACCAGAAACAGAAGATGAGAACAAAAATATTTGAAGCAATTATGACTGAGAATTTCCCCAAATTAATGCCAGACACTAAACCACAGATCCATGAAGCTCAGAAAACACCAAACAGGATAAATGCCAAAAAAAAAAAAAAAAAAAAAAAACATCTAGGCATATCATAATCACACTGCAGAAAATCAAAGATAAATAAAACATAAGAAGACAGAGGGGAAAAGTACCTTAGCTATAAAGGAGGAAGAATAAGAATTACATCGTACAGTATTTGGATTGTATAGTAATTCTGTGTTTAACTTTTCAAGGAACTGCCAAGCTTTTCATGGTGGCTGCACCATTTTACATTCCCATCAGCAGTGTACAGGGTTTGGGATTCTCCACACCCTCACCAACTCTTATTATTTCCCCCCTTTAAAAGAAATCATAACCATCCTAATGGATGTGAAGTGGTATCTCATTGTGGTTTAGATTTAATTTCCTTAAAGGCTAGTGATGTTGAGCAACTTTTCATGGTATATCTTCTTTGGAGGCATGTCTATTTGAACTCTTTGCCCATTTTAAAATTTGTTCAATTGTGTTTTTTTGGTCGGTGAGTTGTAGGAGTTCTTTATATATTGTGGATGTTAATCCCTTATCATATATATATGCTTTGTACATATTTTCTCCCATTCTGTATGTTGTCTTTTCACTTTCTTGGTAGTGTCCTTTGATGTTTAAATTTTTTTTGATGAAGTCCAGTTTACCTATTTTGTTCTTTTGTTGTCTGTGCTGTTGGTGTTGTATCAAATCATTGCCTAACCCAGTGTCATGAAGATGTTTCTCTATGCGTTCTTCCAAAATTTTATAGTTTTAGCTCTTAAATTTAATAGTTTTAGCTCTTAAATTTAGGTGTTTTATATGTTTTAAGCTAATTTCTGTATTTGACTTAATATAAGGGTCTAACTTCATCATTGTGCATGTGGATATCCAGTTTTCCCAGCACTGTTGTTGGAAAGGTTGTCCTTTCTCCATTAAATGATGTTGGCATCCTTGTGGAAAATCACTTGACCATATATGCAAGGATTTATTTCTGGGCTTTCTGTTCTATACCTTTGATCTGTATGTCTGTCTTTATGCTGTGGGGGGACCCCACACTGTTTTGATCATCTAGCTTTGTAATAAGTTTTGCAATCAGACGTTGAAATGTAATAAAGATGAATAAATACGGTATTTTTTAATCCTAAAATGTTAGCTCCATGAGAGCACAGATTTTTATCTATCCTTTTTTTTTTTTCTTTTTTTTGAGATGGAGTCTCACTCTGTCGCCCAAGCTGGAGTGCAGTGGCCTGATCTCAGCTCACTGTAACCCCCACCTCCTGGGTTCAAGTGATTCTCCTGTGTCAGCCTACTGAGTAGCTGGGATTACAGGTGTGATGCCCGGCTAATAGATTTTTATCTATCTTATTCATGTATTAGCCCTAATATCTAGACAGGTATCTAGTATATAATAAGAGATAAATAAAAGCTGTTGAATGGCCAGGCGCGGTGGCCCACCCCTGTAATTCTAGCACTTTGGGGGGCCGAGGCGGGTAGAACACCTGAGATCAGGAGTTCGAGACCAGTCTGGCCAACGTGGTGAAACCCCATCTCTACTAAAAATGCAAAAAATTAGCCAGGTGTGGTGGCAGGCACCTGTAATCCCAGCTACTTGGGAGGCTGAGACAGGAGAATTGCTTGAACCTGGGAGGCGGAGGTTACATTGAGCTGAGATCACACCATTGCACTCCAGCCTGGGTGACAAGAGTGAAACTGTCTCAAAAAACAAAACAAAAACTGCTGAATGAATGGAATCTCCCAGAGAGCTTAAGAGTATGATGGACAGGCCAAAATAGGAAATTGAATAGGAATAACAGCATTTGACAAATTAGCAGTTTTCCTTTTTCCGCCTTCCAAAAAACCCTTTCCTCACTCTTAAATAATGTAACTTCAGTATGAGTATTCCTGTAGCACTGGATTCAGTGTGTGCACAATTAAACTTCAGCAGCCACCGCTGCAAGTGGGCTCCCAGAACCCATCTCCTAAGTACTTCTGTCCGAATCTTATCCCCAGGCATTGGGCAGGATTCTGGATGAGTTACTTACGATGTCTTCACGTGTTAGATTTGTGCCTTCCAATCCTCACACTACCATTCTTTTATACAGTTACTACTACATTTTAAAGTGGCACCTTGGTCTGTTGGGGATGGGCAAGAAAGGAGCTCTAGAGTATTAGTAAATTTAAGGATTATTTGGAAATAGAAGAATTGTGAGGAAGGACTCTCAGCTTGGGACCTTATCTGATGTAGTGCCCAGCCATTGCAGATAGTCATTTAAGCTAGAACTTTACATGACTTGTAGTGGCCCTCTGCTCTGGAGTCTTCCTGGGATATACTGCCTTCTAGGATTGGCATAAAAAGCTACCTGTATTTAAATCTCATGTGTAGTTCATGAAAAATAAAATACAAAGCTGCTTGTGAAACTTACCTAGGATAGTTGAACAAGAGAGTGGTCAGGCCAAGGCTTCATTAAGAAGTATAAAAAGGCCGGGCGCAGTGGCTCACGCCTGTAATCCCAGCACTTTGGGAGGCCGAGGCGGACGGATCACAAGGTCAGGAGATCGAGACCATCCTGGCTAACACGGTGAAACCCCATCTCTACTAAAAATACAAAAAATTAGCCAGGCGTGGTGGTGGGCGCCTGTAGTCCCAGCTACTTGGGAGGCTGAGGCAGGAGAATGGTGTGAACCCAAGAGGCGGAGCTTGCAGTGAGCCGAGGTTGCGCCACTGCACTCCAGCCTGGCTGACAGAGCGAGACTCTGTCTCAAAAAAAAAAAAAAAGAAGAAGAAGTATAAAGCATTCATTTCTTTGCCATAATGCAGAGGGATAAAAGAAGTGACGATTGCCATTATTTAGCTTCTTTGAAGTTGTAAGAAACAAATTGGTTTAGTTTACCTTCCAAGTTTATTATAAAGATACATATCTCAGTTGGCCTTCACGAAAATTAAACACCATTTACCTTTTATGTCCTCTAGTTCACCTGTTGTTACCAACTCTAGTATTTCCACCATTTTGACCAATCAGCCTGTATCTCCTTATAATGTACTTCTATTTCTCTAGACTATAAGCTCTCCCATTTTCTTATTTCTCTTGGCTTCATACTTCTTAAGAGAAAAGATGTGATTGGGTTGTCCAGTCATCATCCAGGTGAGCAGTGCTCTCATGACTCACCTCTCAGGTCCTTGATGGTCTTTGGGCCAGAGCTGATCTCTGGTCATAGTCCCTTAGAGCCAGTGGTGGTGCCTCGTCGAAGTCATGGTGCTCATACTGAGAGAAATGTTTATGGCCAATAGTCCCTTAGAGCCAGTGGTGGTGTCTCGTCTAAGTCGTGGTGCTCATACTGAGAGAAATGTTTATGGCCAGTAGTCCCTTAGAGCCAGTGGTGGCGTCTCGTCAAAGTCGTGGTGCTCATACTGAGAGAAATGTTTATGGCCAGTAGTCCCTTAGAGCCAGTGGTGGCGTCTCGTCAAAGTCGTGGTGCTCATACTGAGAGAAATGTTTATGGCCAGTAGTCCCTTAGAGCCAGTGGTGGCGTCTCGTCAAAGTCGTGGTGCTCATACTGAGAGAAATGTTTATGGCCAATAGTCCCTTAGAGCCAGTGGTGGCGTCTCGTCGAAGTCGTGGTGCTCATACTGAGAGAAATGTTTATGGCCAATAGTCCCTTAGAGCTAGTGGTGGCGTCTCGTCAAAGTCGTGGTGCTCATACTGAGAGAAATGTTTATGGCCAATAGTCCCTTAGAGCCAGTGGTGGTGTCTCGTCTAAGTCATGGTGCTCCTACTGAGAGAAATGTTTATGGCCAGTAGTCCCTTAGAGCCAGTGGTGGCGTCTCGTCGAAGTCGTGGTGCTCATACTGAGAGAAATGTTTATGGCCAATAGTCCCTTAGAGCCAGTGGTGGCGTCTCGTCGAAGTCGTGGTGCTCATACTGGAAGAAATGTTTATGGCCAATAGTCCCTTAGAGCCAGTGGTGGCGTCTGGTCGAAGTCGTGGTGCTCATGCTGAGAGAAATGTTTATGGCCACTAGTCCCTTAGAGCCAGTGGTGGTGTCTCGTCGAAGTCGTGGTGCTCATACTGGAAGAAATGTTTATGGCCAATAGTCCCTTAGAGCCAGTGGTGGTGTCTCGTCGAAGTCGTGGTGCTCATGCTGAGAGAAATGTTTGTGGCCACTTTCCTTAGAAGGAGCCCGTGTGGCCTTGGTAGAGACTCGGAGCCTCACATATCATTCTTTACTAGTGCATCACTGGGCGCTTTCATTTTGAAGGAGAAGTAGAAGGGGCTGCACATGCATGGTATGTATTTCTGGCTCCCAGAGGGAGTAGCCATGGTTATCCAAACAAAATAACATTATCTTCACTTGTCCTTTGTTCTATAACTTTTTGTGGAAGTGTTTTAGGAACCAATAGCAATTCAGGTATATTACACTTCTGTTTTCCATCCCTTTTTATTGAATTATTGTTTAGGGCTTTTGCTAGAATTAGTGAAATCTGACTATTTAGAAAGAAAAGATCCATGTAGCTGGGCCATTAAAGAAGATAAAGGAAAAGAATGGGCTGTGTGAGGCTGCCCAATATGCAAGGAGTTAAAGCAGCTTGGAGCAGAGTTGCTCTGTGATTTTCTTTAGCGGTTATCATAAGCCAGGACCCAGAGACCTTCATCAAGGTGTTCTGTATGAAGGCCTTCTTTGGGGATGGCATGTTTTATTAGAGGCATGGCAGCTAAAGAATAATATTTTGTAGGTAGTCCATGTACCTACTTGATCTTCTCTCCAAGATTAGTTGAGAAATTTTGAGACCATGGTAAACAGGTTTCTGATGTTTGCCCAAACCCATAAGGAATCAGATGCTAGTTTTGAAAGGGATTGCCATGCAATTAGTTATCTTGCTTTCATCAATGATATAAACTCAGCTTCGTGAAAATTACCGTGTTATATTATTATTTTTCTCATTTCAACAAAGACCGGTGAAAACTTCTTCGTGGACTGGAACCACCGGGTTGCTCATACAGCGAGGTGGACTCCTAGCTGGTTGATAACCATACCCAGAGAGTGTTGATGCCGTCCCGAAGGGAAGAGTTCCAGCCCAAGAGTCTGGCCCATATCACGTGCCACTGAGGGTGCCTGTGCAGGATTGGAAGCCTGGGGAAGAGGGGAAGATGGAGGGAGAAAGGGCAGAAGGCCCGGGCAGGTCTGGGAGGAGAGGTGTCGAAGGGTCAATAGGAAATGCTTAGACAAAGGCTTTAAAGCTCTGAGGGCTTTGTTCTGGGACTAAAAAGGAGAAGGAATTCTTAGAACTCTTCTCTTTCCCTTGGCTCCTTCCAGTGAAGGTCAGATTTGAGAGAGAAAGCAGTTAACTTGGCTTACCTAAGAGACTTTATTGTGGAATATTTTTCCATCCTCTGTGGTTAGTAACCATAGCCTACGCAGACGGGAAAACCTGACCTCAGTGCAAGGTTTCTCTGCCGTTTGAGATACATTGTCTCTGATTTTACTTTTCTTTCTCCTTCAGGCTGCCTGATAGGGGCTGTAAATCTCAAATCCAGCAATCGAACCCCAGTGGTACAGGAATTTGAAAGTAAGTACAAACGAAATGCCTAGGATAATGGGCACCATCTACTGGACATTTGATGTCTTGCAGCCAACTCAGGACACATCTGTCTCTGTAAGTGTGCCAGGGAGATGTTCCGGGTGGACTGCTCTGCGGTGCACAGGCCTGGAAGCATGGCATCAGCAGGCCGGCAGTGAGCCCTGTGCAGTTTTCCATCAGCTGTCATCGCACTCCTGCCTGGCTTTGTGATCACACAACAAATAAATTTCTTTTTTCTTTTTGAGATGGAGTCTCGCTCCTGTTGCCCAGGCTGGAGTGTAGTGGCGCAATCTTGGCTCACTGCAGCCTCTGCCTCCTGAGTAGCTGGGATTACAGGCACCCGCCACCACACCCAGCTGATTTTTGTACGGGGTTTTGCCATGTTTGGCCTGACTGGTCTCAAACTCCTGACCTCAGGTGATCCACCCTCCTTGGCCTCCCAAAGTGCTAAGATTACAGGTGTGAGCCACCGCGCCTGGCCAAGAAATTTCTTATATACAAGCAGGGTGTTTAAGGGAGGGGTACACTATGTAGTAAAATCCTTGCTAATTATCTTTATTGTTTTTCTGGCAAAAAATCCTTTCTCAAAGTCTCTTGGAGTGTGGAGTTGGCTACGTTTTTAATCTGCATGAAAGGCCTCTTGAATTAGAGCTTGCAGGGTCTGGGTGCAGCTGAACGTAGAAGCACTCCACATTCACCGAGAGCTCTTTTTCTTCTTTGCGTGTTAGGTGTGGAACTGTCTTGCATCATTACGGATTCGCAGACAAGTGACCCCAGGATCGAGTGGAAGAAAATTCAAGATGAACAAACCACATATGTGTTTTTTGACAACAAAATTCAGGGTATGATCCTGTAGTCCTCTTGCCTGCTGACCTTTCCTCTGTCCATAGACCTGGGTATACACTCTTGGCCAGAAACTTACCTCAGACTGGTAACCTGCATCTGTAGCTAGGACCGTTTTTTTTTTTTTAAAGATTTATAATTATGGAAAATTTCAAATATATGCAAAAGTAATGCAAATGGTATATCAAGCCTCCCTGTCCCTGTCCCCCAGCATCAACAAGTGCAGTTCATTAGCTAGGATCTTAATCTGCTCACAGCCCCATTTCTTTGGGGAATCAAAGTGAACATTTTCCTAGGCCATCTTCTCATGATCCTGATGTGAGTGATGTAGGTGAGTGAATGAGAAGGACCATATGTTTCAGCAAGGGCACAGCACAAATGGACTGAGCCACCCACTGTGTTTCTGGCTTGGTGCTGGGGTTGCCGATGGGGAGAAAACACGGTGTACCCTGAAGTGACATCCTCCCGGGTGGGAGGATGGTGGTCAGGGAAGGCTCCCCAAAGTGGCCTCTCTGGGTGCGGTGTGAAGGGTGGCTGGTTAGCAGGCAAGATGGTATGGAGGGAGGTGGTGATCAGGAGAGAATGCTGTGTATGAAGACGCAGAAGCAACAGACGGACTGGCTGATGGGAAAGACTGGAAGTTCCCCACTGTTGCCGGTACATGGACAGGGAGAGAGGGAGGAGAGGGGGGAGAGGGGCTGGAGAGGTTGCCTGGCCAGGCAGACTGCACTGAATGCCAGGCGAGCATGGGCGGTATCTGAGGGCCCGCTGTGAGGCTCTCAGGGGAGGTGCCGTGGCTGCATCTATGTTTCAGAAGACTGAAGTGGCTGCTGTAGAGAAGAGATTGGAGGCGGCACAACTCAGAGCAGAGGCCCAAGTCAGAGGCCTTCTGCAGAGTCCGGGAGAGGGCTGGTGGGGGGCCCCAAGCTGGGGTGCAGGCAGGGAGAGAGACTCGAGGGGAGGCCTGCTGGGGCTTGGCTGTGCCAAGGGGCACAGAGGGAGGCAGGCAGGTGGCTGGAGAGGAGGATGGCATCCTTTTTCTGACAGGAGGGCGGGAGCTGCAGGAGGTACACATGCAGGCTCGTGCATGAGTCGGAGCCTGTGGAGTTCTCAGAGAAGTTGAGAGTTGAGAGGGATTTGTGGAAGCAGCTCCAACACAGTCTTGCTTTGGGTTCTCAGTGTCGCCGGGAGCCTGAGTCTCCTCAAAAGAGTTTTGCTTCCCACTCACGTGAAGTCCCTCCTTTGCCTCTTATTTTTGGAGTGATGGAAATGTTCTTCTCAGAACACAGATCTGTTTTCTTTGGCTACTCAGGCTGACCCTGCTAAACCCTGAGCATGTAGTTAGAGCATCAGAGGAACCAGGTGAGAAACTCTTTAAAGAACTTTCCTTTTCTGGGGATTAAACATTTTGCTCTTAGCCACAGGGATGGGGAGGCCGAGGGAGACGGTTTCCCGCACAGAATGCCGGGGTTCGGGGAGGATGCAGCTGTACTTGGCCTCTTTCCTCGCCTCAGTGCAGGGCTGCACCAGAGGCACCCTGGTGGGGTTTATTTACTCTTTTCTCACATGGTAAAGGTTCGAATCCTCCACTAATGGGTGGGTGTATAACAAAGCTTCCCATTCGAAAATGTTGTTGCCAACGTCTGTGCTCCATCGGAAGCATCTTTTAGTGTGCTGTTTTTAGTGTATTATGGCAAGCCCTTCATGTCCTTGTCAGCAGTTGTCAGGTTTAGCGATGAGTAGTTGCTACTCTTTTGTGTCATGTTTTCCTAACTCCTTCCCCTATTTGTTGTTTTCCAGGTTCTTCCTGCTTCTTTGAAAGTGTTATTATGTCTTATGTTTAAAATGTTTTTTTATGGAGCTGTAATTCGTACCGCATCCTTTTAAAGTGTGCAGTTCAGGGGTTTTTAATATACTCACAGTTGTGCAACCATCACCACTATCAAATTCCAGAACATTTTCATCATCCCACAGAGAAAGCCCGTACCCAGCAGTAGTCAGTCCTCCTCCCGCATCCCTGGCAGCTCTGATTCCACTTTCTGTCTCTGTGGATTTGCCTGTTCTGGACACTGGATAGAAACTGTGGTCTTCCATGGCTGACGTCTTTCACTCAGCATCCTGTTTTCAAGGTTCATCTGTGTTGTAGCCTGTGTCCGTACTTCATTTCTTTTCACGGCTGAATAATGTTCCATTGTAGATATACCACATTATTTTACCCATTCTATTGATGGACATTTGGGTTGTTTCCACTTTTTGGCTATTATCAGTAATGCTGCTATCAGTATTTGTTTACAGGTTTTTGTGTGAACCTAAGTTTTCATTTCTCTGGGATAAATGACCAAGAGTACAACTGCTGAGTCTTACAGTAGTTGCATGTTTAGTTGTTTAAAAAACCGACAGAGTGTTTTTCAAAGCTGCTTTACGATTTTACACTCCTACCAGCAGTGTATTTTCCCACATCCTTACCAACACTTGTTATTGTCTGACTTGTTAAGTTCTAGCCATCTTAGTGGGTTGGAAGCGGCGTCTTGTGGATTTGATTTGCATTTCCTGGTGACTAATGATGTTGAGGGTCTTATTTGTGTATTTTCTTTGGAGAAATGTCTGTTCAAATTTTATGTCCATTTAAAAATATTTTTTTTTCTAGAAACAGGATCTCACTGTGTTGCACAGGCTGGACATGAATTCCCAGGCTCAAATAATCCTCCCACCTCAGCCTTCTGAGTAGCTGAGACTATATGTGTGCACCACTGCACCCACCCTTATGTCCAGTTTTTAAATTAGGTTGTCTATTTCTTACTGAAGTGTGAATTCTTTATTCTGGATGCTAGGTTGGATGTACGATTTGCAGGTATTTCTCCCATTGTGTGGATTGTTTTCACCTGCCTTTGTCCTTTGAATTTTGATGAAGTCCGGTGTAACTGTTTTTAGTGTGTGCTTGTGCTTTTGGTGTCATATCTAAGAAACCATTGCCCAATCCAAGGTCATGAGGGATTTATGCTTATGCATTTTTCTAAGAGTTTTATAGTTTTAACTCCTATGTTAGGTCTTTGTTGTATATGGAGTGAGAGAGAGGTTCAACTTCATGTGTTTGCAAGTGGATATCAAGTTATCTCAGCATCATTTATGAAACATTGGTTGTTTTTCTAGTGGTGTTTTTTTCTATTCATGGGCGGTCCTTCCTGGAAATGAGGAGGAGGAGGTGAAGTTCCTGGTTTTAATGACGGAGACACATGGTAATGAGTGTGTCTTGCACACCAGGAACTATTTTTGGTGTTTAGGTTACAGATAGGAATAGGTCATGGTTCCTGTCCTCAAGAGAGTTCACTTCTGTACTCGGGAATAGAAATAAATATTGATCTGCAGGCTTCCTTGCTGTGGCATCTAGTGCTAGCCCCAGAAACCACCCTCTTCAAGTGGCAAAGATTTCTTTAAAGAAGTTTTTTAGTGCCTCGTGTCTTTTCTGTAGGAGACTTGGCGGGTCGTGCAGAAATACTGGGGAAGACATCCCTGAAGATCTGGAATGTGACACGGAGAGACTCAGCCCTTTATCGCTGTGAGGTCGTTGCTCGAAATGACCGCAAGGAAATTGATGAGATTGTGATCGAGTTAACTGTGCAAGGTAGGAGCTCATGCGAAGGTGAGACATTGCCACCATAGGATGCAAGAGATCAGTTAGTGTCTTGGTTTCTTTCCTTCTAGAACTGTATCCCTGAGGGCTTCACATGGCTTAGGGAGGGGAGAACTGTTGAGAGCTGAGACTGCCTGAGTTGGGGTAGAAGGTGAGAAGGGAAGTGAAGTTCCTGTCACTTCCTTCCACCAGCTAGAGGAGGCGCTTTAACATATGGGAGGGCAGGATGCAGCGGTGGCTTGTCAGTCTGCAGTTGTGATCCTGGGAACAGCAGTGGCGTGGGAACCCCTCGACTGGCTGTCTTGTCTTTGGAGCTGATTTCTTCTGGGCTTTAATAAGAATAGAGCCCTGTCACTGAGATCTTAAACACCACCCCTTTTTCCCCACAGTGAAGCCAGTGACCCCTGTCTGTAGAGTGCCGAAGGCTGTACCAGTAGGCAAGATGGCAACACTGCACTGCCAGGAGAGTGAGGGCCACCCCCGGCCTCACTACAGCTGGTATCGCAATGATGTACCACTGCCCACGGATTCCAGAGCCAATCCCAGATTTCGCAATTCTTCTTTCCACTTAAACTCTGAAACAGGCACTTTGGTAAGATCTCTTCTAAGAGGTGAGGATGGAGATGTCTTTGTTGGGGCAAGAGATGCTTATTGTGAAAAGAAGATTAGGAGAGATACTGAAACTTCTTGATAAGACAGGAGTCAAAAATCTAGAATGTTAGGGATTCTACAGGAAAAATGACCCTTCTTCCTTTTATAAACAAGTACATTCTTAGGGGGTAAAATAAGGAAGAGAAAGAAACCATAGATTGAGACCGAAGAGGGATATTAAGCAAATGTTACTAGGGCCCTGATCGGATAATCAACTGTAAAAGTCATTAGACAATCGGGGAAATTGGATTACTAGGTGGTATTTGATGATCTATTAAGCAACTGTTCATTGCTTTAGGCATGATGAAGGTATTGTGGTTACGATTTTTTACAGTCTTGTAGAGATACTGAAGTATTTATGGATAAAAGGTGTTTGGAATTTGTTTCAAAATAACCCAGTGGTGGTGGTGGGAGGTGGGGGAGGAGAGGAAACAGATTGGTCATGCACTAGAGGACAAAGTGACCTGGCCAGCAAACCACACCAGGCTTTTACTGCATGTGGTTCTCTCCTGGGAGGTACCTTCTGATCTGTGGACCATCCAGTTCCACGTAGTCATCAGACAGATTTTAACAGGGTCCTCTGTGTTCATTTTGCCAAAATGTTGCCCCAGGAGCAGTCATCATTGAAGAGCCCTTTTACCAGAATAAAAGCAAGGTTCCACCTCCCATTTCGGATGTTGCCAGGCTTTGGTGTCTCCAGTCCCAAGGGGATTGGTTGTTGGGGAGCTGTCAGGCAGGTATCAGGGAGTGGGTCAGGGAGGAACATGCACAGTGCTGGGGAAGCTGAAAGCAAGCGAGCAGGTGTCGACCTAGTTCTGGACCCAGCTGGCTGTGCTCTCAGAAATCGGCCCCATGATGGGTCCGATTATTTACTTGTCATTCCCTGAAACAGGTGTTCACTGCTGTTCACAAGGACGACTCTGGGCAGTACTACTGCATTGCTTCCAATGACGCAGGCTCAGCCAGGTGTGAGGAGCAGGAGATGGAAGTCTGTGAGTTTCTTTTTTGAAGAGGTTTCATCGCAAGACTGGGAAGTGAATAGAACATTTTAATTTAATATTATACCATCAGCTTAGAGAACTCTTCCGCCATGGGTTAGCTTTCTTCTGGAGCTGCCTAGGTCCACCAGAACCCACTGCACAGTGAAGGGAAGGCTGAGAAAACCGAGTCCAGATAAGCAGGTCCTCAAAACAAAACCTTCTGGGATCTGCTGGTGTTGGGAACGTGGCCAGCCTTGCAACTTTCACTGCAAGTTTAGTAAACTCCATTCTTTGGTAATTGATAGAATTATCAAAATGTAAGGTGGTGTCAGGTCTCCAGAAATTTATCCAGTTATAACCCTCTTGTAGAAAACTGACAGTTTTAGCCCGAGTAATTTTACCTGCAGACAAAGCTTAGCCCCTAGAGTAATGTTATCTCAGGGCTCTGGTTCCCCTAATGGAGGGGCGTTGAGAGGAGGGTGGGGGCAGAGAGGATGTGTCCAAATCACTTGGGGAGCTTTTTTTTTTCTTAAAAAACAAAAAACAAAAAACACCACAGGGTCTTGCTTTGTTGCCCAGGCTGGAGTGCAGTGAGTGCAGTCACAGGTCACTGCATCCTCAAACCCAGCCTTCAAGCCATTCTCCCACCTCAGTCTCCTGAGTAGCTGGAACAACAGGCACACACCACCATGCTCAGCTAATTTTATTTTTTGTAGATACGGGGTCTCACTGTGTTGCCCAGGCTGGTCTCAAACTCCTGGCCTCAAGCAATCCTCCTGCCTCGGCCTCCCCCAGGTGCTGGGATTAACAGGCATGAGCCACTGTGCCCAGCCAGGAGCATTTTTTGAATCCTTCCCTCCTCCCTATTTGGAGCTCTCCTCAGAGCAGCATTTTCCAAAACTGCCTGGTGATACCCATTTGGGACCACTGTTTCACATACAGATTCGAGCCCACCTCAGACATATGCTAGAAATGTCTGTGTGTGAGACAAGCGTTCCGAAGGATTCTTCTCATGTGTCACGTTTGAGAAACTCTGCTCTAGGGTTGTTTTCTCCTGCAGTTTTGCCCCAGACCTACTTTAGCCTATTGACTTTTTAGTGATGAAACTTGGGAATTGACATTTTAACATCAAAATTGCATGCCAGGCGTGGTGGCTCACACTATAATCCTAGCACTCTGGGAGGCTGAGGCGGGTGGATCACCTGAGGTCAGGAGTTCAAGACCAGCCTGGCCAACATGCCAAAACTCTGTGTCTACTAAAAATACAAAAATTAGCCTGGTGTGGTGGCAGGCGCCTGTAGTCCCAGTAACTTGGGAGGCTGAGGCAGAAGGATCCCTTGAACCCGGGAGGCGGAGCTTGCAGTGAGCCGAGATTGCACCACAGAACTCCAGCCTGGGTGACGGTGACGGAGCAAGACTCTGTCTCAAAAAAAAAAAAAAAAAAACGATTGCAAGTTTACTTTTTGTTTTTGAGATGGAGTCTCGCTCTGTCACCCAGGCTGGAGTGCAGTGGCACAATCTCGGCTCACTGCAAGCTCCGCCTCCCGGGTTCACACCTTTCTCCTGCCTCAGCCTCCTGAGTAGCTGGGACTACAGGCACCTGCCAACACGCTCAGCCAATTTTTTGTGTTTCTAGTAGAGACGGGGTTTCACCACCTTAGCCAGGATGGTCTCGAATCTCTGACCTCGTGATCTGCCCACCTCGGCCTCCCAAAGTGCTGGGATTACAGGCGTGAGCCACCGCGCCCGGCCTGCAAGTTGATTTTTAAGTGTACATTCATCTTTGAGAACCAATACACTAGGATAAAGGAGATTTTTTTAAAACTTCCAAGTTACTTGGCTCTTGTTGATAAATTCCCTGCATAGTTTTCCATGTGTCGCTTGCTTGAAGGAACGGCTGCCAGAGCCCCATATGAAAGTGACCCAGTGCCTTTGCCCAGTGTATAGACATGAGAAAAGGGTTCCAGGGGGTTTCCTCTCAGAGGGCTTATAGATCGGAGGTCAGGCAGCCGGCAGAGACAAAGCTCTAGTTCTTACCTAGGATTCTTTACTTGTTTGTTTTTTGAGACAGATTCTTTAAGGCTTGAAGCTACCTTTCTTCCCCGCAGCAATCTGCAACAAAGGGAGGCCCTGGAAATTAGGGATTCTTTTCTTCTTGGGATCCTGGCTCCTAATCTTGTCCTCATAACCATTTCCTCCATAAGTAATCTCAGGCATTCAGCCAGAGGATTTTTAAGCCTACAGTGCCAAGCCCACTTTAATACACTTTTCAGTGCGACTGCATTTCAACTGTAGAAGTCTCAGTACTTTTCACGTGTGAAGTTAGGAGTTATGGTGTCCTATATGTTCTAGGCTAGAAGGATTGTAAGTGTTCTCTCTTCTAGCTGGGGTAGGCCTGAGGGGGCAGGGGGCAAGTGGGTTTGGGGTGAAGGAAGGAGGCACAGCAGGGCCAGGGCCTTTTTAAATAACAGATAGTGTGTATCATGGCTTCCACCAAACCTCCTTTTCTTCAGATGACCTGAACATTGGCGGAATTATTGGGGGGGTTCTGGTTGTCCTTGCTGTACTGGCCCTGATCACGTTGGGCATCTGCTGTGCATACAGACGTGGCTACTTCATCAACAATAAACAGGATGGAGAAAGGTGAGCCTGCCTTATGTGAAAAAAGGGAAGTTCAAGCTGGCAATAATATAACAACCCTGTTGCTAAACTGCTCTCTTCTCCTCATAGTTACAAGAACCCAGGGAAACCAGATGGAGTTAACTACATCCGCACTGACGAGGAGGTAATCATTTAGTAAACCTGGAAACCTAGGTGTACCCAGCAGGGAAAACAACATTCCCCCTTGGAAACCACACGGGTCTCCTGGGAAGATTTCTGAGTGATTGTGCAGCTCCTGAGCTCCTCAGCCCCTTCACAGTAACACACACACACACACACACACACACACACACACACACACTAATGGGATTTGTGCTTTGCAAGCGCTAGTGATGGTACTTTTTAAGAATGATTATTCCATCT